>NC_000003.12:43040303-43343333 GCF_000001405.40 Homo sapiens | reverse complement strand
CAAGGTGAGAGCAAACGTCAGCCATATCAGGAGGTTTTTTTACAAGAAGCAGAATTGATTTTTAAAAGTACAAGCAAGTTAAATTCAATGGCTGGAATCTTTAAAATTATGCAAAAAATGCAAACCAGAAAAAAACCAAACTAGTAGTTATTTAGGTCACTCAAAGTTCTAAAAACAACTGCATAAAAATGTTCATATTTTTATGAAGATTTTTCGTAAATGAGAGAAAAATCCAAAATGCCAACAGCAGCTGAGTTAGACGTCAGTTTTAGACACATAAGATAAGTGCACGCATTATTCAAAATTTGAATTTGTGTGTACAGTGTTTGTATTTGTTCAGGTGGTTTACTTGCTTCCACTAGAAGTACATGAAGACGAAGTCTGTGTTACATGAATGTGCACTGAAGTACTAATATCAGTCAGAAAACTTAGCAAATGTTTTTATTTTCATACTCCCTCTGCATTTACTGGCAATTTAGGCACTACAGAATTATTAAAGAAATTGAAAGCATGTCACCATCAATTGCTTTGAATAAAATCAATGTAGTCATTGATCCGTTTAAAAAGTAATGTTCACCGAGTACCTAGTCTGGCTAGACACGGTGCTGGGACACAAGGCCCACCAAGGCCCACAGCCCTGCCCACTCTCTTGTAGCTGACCTGTCACAGGACATACATACTAGGAGTGTGCTTTGGCTTTGGCGGATTCCACAAGGCCAGGAAATACGTAACTACGTTTTCAGAAACTTTCTGTAGTTACTGAAAATACTCACACAATGAACACTTAGGAAAGAAGCAAGAGACACCATTTTTCAAAATGTACACTGGGGTCACAACTAATGGGGGCAGGGCAGGCTGAGGCATGAGATTACAAAGGAAGTATCCAAGGTGAAATTCAAGGGTAGAATGACTTATTAGTTTCTTCAGCCAAGTACTAAATACAGGAGTTGGCTTGGGTTTGGAAATGTATTGTGAGAGAAAGGTGTGTGTTGGAACTCAGGAGTCACCCTCAGAACAAGCAGCTTCTCATGATGTGAGCAGCAAGCACGGAGTGAGGCTAGCTGAGAGGACAGCAAGACGCTCACCCAGCTATCGGGAAACCAACAAACTGGCAAACTGGAGTCACCTGAACCATTTAAATTGCACTACCTTTTGGATTTATAATTGAATTTATATTAAGTAGTTCTAGATGACACTACTACATGTATATATGTATTTATTTAAGCTAAGAACGTAAGGCCAATTCAGAGAGATACAAACAGCCTTTTACCCACTCAAAAGTGAAAAATCATTTTCTACACATTCCAAAAGTCAGTGTCTGTAGCAGAAACAGCAAGTGTCCCGTCTCCACCACATGTTTAGGTCATTTAAGTAGCTGTGAGTCAATACTGTAAAGAACCATAATACATTTGGAAACTTATAGAAAATTGTGCTTAAACCAAAATTAAGAACCTGGGTTTATTTTTATAAACCTTTCTTTCCAGTAATGTAAAACACTCTAAAGTGTCCTTTATACAGACACTGCCCTTCTCAGGGATCAGAGCCTCCCAGTGGGCATGTGTGTGGCACGAAGACACACAGCAGGGGTCTGCAGGTCCAGCCAACAGGCTTCTCTTCCCCGAAGTCAGGGAACTGGATCAAATCCTGAAAGGGCCCTCCTGATGGGAGCCCCTTTTTTGCCTCCTAGAGCATACTCTCTTTCGAACATACCCAACTGTTTCATTCAACAAATTAAATAACTTCTGACCTTTAATTTGTGGAAATATTCCTTGTTTTTACAGTCAGGACCTCTTATAGAAATTAATCATTATCAGAAAAAAGCAAATGCCTCTTTCCTCTGTATTATCTTTGATTCCAAACTGTTTATTAAAATCTGGCTTTGGGGCTGGGCACAGTGGCTCACACCTGTAATCCCAGCACTTTGGGAGGCCAAGGCGGGCGGATCACGAGGTCAGGAGATCGAGACCATCCTGGCTAACACAGTGAAACTCCGTCTCTACTAAAAAATAGAAAAAATTAGCCGGGCGTGGTTGCAGGCACCTGTAGTCCCAGCTACTTGGGAGGCTGAGGCAGGAGAATGGCGTGAACCCGGGAGGCGGAGCTTGCAGTGAGCCAAGATTGTGCCACTGCACTCCAGCCTGAGCGACAGAGCGAGACTCCATCTCAAAAAAAAAAAACAAAAACAAAAAAACAACTGGCTTTGGTTTTAAAGGATGTAATTAACAACTTGTATAACTTGCAGGCTCCAGGTGGCTGCAGCAGGGGCTCTCAAGGGCCAGATAATAAATATTTCAGGCTTTGTAGGCCAAGTGGTCTCTCCCACAACCACTCTGCCATTATAGCACAGTGCAACCACTGACAATACTTAAATGAATGGGCATGGCTGTGGCCCAATAAAACTTCACTTATAAAAATGTGTGGCCAGCAGCATTTACCAACTCCTGACTTAGAGGACTCTAGGCAGGTGGTACTGTTCTCCCTATCACTGTGGGGACCGGCAGGAGACAGAGGAATGAGAATAGTGCCACAGATAAGGTACATACTGGGATACAAAACAAGCTGTTTCATTCCACCCCTATAGAATGGGGAAAAGGCCACAGCACTCACTGAAACCACCCAGCAATGGCTTACTTGTTCACTAGCATAAAAACCAAAACACCAAAAAAAACCTGTGTCAGGCCCTGGGCCAAGAACTTTAGAGATAAATGACACAACTCTTGCCAACTGGGAACTCTTATCTATTACACAGGTGTCCAAAGGCTGTGTTAAGTAGAGAGAGCCCATTCCAAGAATCCTAAACCTGTGGCCCTCTGTACTGACGGGCATTGACGTACTCTACAATGGCGTCTCGATCCGCTATGTCCCCAAGCACCATGCGCTGAATGATGCTGTTGTGCTCCTCTTCCGAGAGATTTTTGTATGACACAAGGGGAATGTTATACTTTGTAGCTGGTGAAGGGTCCACTCCCTGAAGCCAAGGATGATTTTCAATCTCTTCTAAAGAAGCCCTTCTCTTGGGATCTCTCTGTAGCATCCGTGTGATTAGGCTGGAAAGGAAGGTAAGTCCATTGTTAAAGCAAACTGCTTGCAAGGATCAGTAATGATGGATCATTTTATTAACAAAAATGATTTCCTATACCATCAATTAAATTAGGTGCACTAGTGGTGGCAGTGGGGCAGATGGGAATAATAAAAATTTAGTGCCACTGCAGTCATAAAATAAAAAATCACAACCTCCAGGTACGCTGATAAGCCAAATGCACAAATAAGAGCTCCCTATCATCCAGAATTAACTATAGGTATCAACATCTGTTCTTGAATTAACTGCTGGCTTAGTGACATACCAGAATTAAATTCAAGGATCAGCAATGACATACAGAATAAAGTATACAAGCCCACTTCTGTTTCAGAAAAAAATGAATGATGCTTCTGATGACAACAACTAAAATACCATGTAACATATATATATATATATATATATATATATATATATATATATATATATATATATATATTTTGGAAATGGAGTCCCACTCCATTGCCAAGCTGGAGTGCAGTGGTGCAACCTTGGCTCACTGCAACCTCTAACTCCTGGGTTCAAGCAATTCTCCTGCCTCAGCCTCCTGAGTAGCTGGGACTACAGGCACGTGCCACCACACCCAGCTAAGTTTTGTATTTTTGGTAGAGACGGGGTTTCACTATGTTGGCCAGGATGGTCTTGATCTCCTGACCTAGTGATTCGCCCGCCTCGGCCTTCCAATGTGCTGGGATTACAGGCATGAGCCACCGCGCCCGGCCCATGTAATGTATTTTTAGGAAACTATTTTATTTAAAGGCACCATTTTAGCAGAATAAATAAGTAACACTCAGCAACTAAAAATGAAGTAAAACAGAACCCTTACGAAATGAATGACAAAGCTGGCCTTTGGCCTGTTTCTGCTTCAGCTTTACAAGCTATGTTGGGTGCATATAACAGAATATAATGTGTAAGGCCTACTGAAGGTAGACAGCACAACTAGAGCCCTTGCAAAGAGCTAGGACTCCAGCTTCAGTGTAAGGATAAATGAAAAATGAGAAACAACTTAGATCTTCTAACTACAAGCTGGTCCTCACACAAGTCTGTGTTCCAAACTAATGATATCTGTGTGGTACACAGAAGTTAATTTATAGTGCTTTCAGCTGGAAGCACTCCTAGGCAACTAGTAGAGAAGTAAATACACCCACCCTTCCTGTAGGAATGTAACTTAAAACCAGCCTCAAATAATTCTCCAAATAATATTACAAAGAATATCAGTCAAAAACAAAAAAGAAACAAGGTACCAACAGCAAGACCTAGGAAACACAAGCAAAATCAGAATGCGAATACTTCAGATACTGAAATTTTCAGATGTAAAATGTAACTGTGTTAAATATGTTTAAGACATGAAAGAGAATCTTGAAAATAATATAGCCAGGGAACTAAAGATGATACTTTATACTATAAATAAAGCTACTATACATAAAATTACTAGGCAGTTGAGAAAAAACTAAATAGGGCTTCTAAAAATGAAAAATAATCAGTGTAACTAAAAACAAAATCAATAAACAAAATTTAAAAAGACACAGAATTAATGTAAGATAAAATTAAGGAAATAACTATCAATAGACTGCGTTAGGAAATACAAAACAATTTTATAAAAAGAAGAGGACAGAGTGAGGGAAATGAGAAAATGAGGAAGAAACTGTATTTGAAAAGATAATGGCTGAGAATTTTCCAAAATTCATCAAAGAGCACACATCTTGAACCACTAAGCCTAACACATCCTAAGCACAATAAATAGAAAATCTTAAAGCAGCCTAAGTGAAGACAGGACACCTACGTGGAGACAAGAAGATGATAAGATGGACAGCTGACTTCTCAACAGCAACAATGGATGCCAGAAAACAGTGGAATAATATCTTCCATGAGCTGAGAGAAAATAACTGTCAATCTAGAATTCCATACTCAATGAAACCATCTTTTAGGAGCATAAATAACATGAAGACATTCCAAATAAAAACTGAGAATGCTTATCACCAACATATGCTCATCCAAACAAATTCTAAACAATTTTATTTTGACAGGATAGTGTGATTCCACTTGGAAGGGTAAACAGTTTCTGTCAAGCATCTGGGTAAATATGAAATTTTTAACTGTGTAGAATGATAATCATATCTACTTTGTGGCATTTGAAAAGTTATTAAAATATTGGATGGTAGTTAAAATATTCTAAAGATTTTGTGTTGTTCAAGAAGAGAATAAAGAGGCCAGACGCAGTGGCTCATACCCGTCATCGCAGCACTTTGGAAGGCTGAGGCGGAGGGACTGCTTGAGCCCAGGAGTCTCAGACCAGCCTGGGCAACATATCAGACATTGTCTGATATGATTAGGCTTTGTGTCCCCACCCAAATCTAATTTTGAATTATAATCCCCATAATCCCCATGTGTCAACAGAGACACCAGGTGGAGGTAAATGAATCATGGGGGCAGTTTCCCCATGCTGTTCTGATAGTGATGGTTCTATAAGTGTTCAGTAGCTTCTCCTAAGTTCCTTTTCCTTCCTGCTGCCTTGTGAAGAAGGTGCCTTGCTTCCCCTTCACTTTCTGCCATGACTGTGTTTCCTGAGGCCTCTCCAGCCATGCTGAACTGCAAGTCAATTAAATCTCTTTCCTCTATAAATTACCCAGCAGTTCTTTGTAGCAGTATGAAATGGACTAATACACCATCTCTACAAAAAAATTAAAAAAAAAATTAGCCAGGTGTGGTGGCTTGCACCTGTGGTCCCAGCTACTTGGGAGGCTGAGAGGTCAAGGCTGTAGTGAGCCATGATTGCACTGAGGCATTCCAGCCTGGGTGACAGGGTGAGACCATTCCCCCGACACCCTCCAAAAAATAAGAATAAGCTATAAATTTTGTTAAATTAAGTATAAAAACATGAGGCCCCTGGGCACAGTGGTTCATGCCTGTAATCCTAGCACTTTGGGAGGCTGAGGCGGGTGGACTGCCTGAGCTAAGGAGTTCGAGACCAGCCTGGGCAAAATGCGAAACCCCATCACTACTAAAAATACAAAAAATTAGCCAGATGTGGTGGCGTGTGCCTGTAATCCCAGCTACTCCAGAGGCAGAGGCATGAGAATCACTTGAACTTGGGAGGTGGAGGCTGCGGTGAGCCAAGATAGTGTCACTGCACTCGAGCCTGGGCGACAGATCGAGACTCCACCTCAAAAAAAATAGAAAAAAAAGGTATAAAAACATGTATATTTGGCCAGGCGCGGTGGCTCATGCCTGTAATCCCAGCACTTTGGGAGGCCCAGGCAGGTGGATCACGAGGTCAGGAGATCGAGACCACCCTGGCTAACACGGTGAAAACCCGTCTCTACTAAAAATACAAAAAATTAGCCAAGCGTGATGGCGGGCGCCTGTAGTCTCAGCTACTTGGGAGGCTTGAGGCAGGAGAATCACTTGAACCTGGGAGGCAGAGCTTGCAGCAAGCCGAGATCACACCACTGCACTCCGGCCTGGGCAACAGAGCGAGACTCCGTCTCGAAAAAAACCAAAACCAAAACAAACAAACAAAAATGTGTATCTGTGTTAAAACAGGTAGAAAAATCACTAAAATAACAGACTATAACTTCCTAGCTAATTCAGGGGGAAAGTCAAATGAGGGGAAAAAGAAAAACCTTGGCAGGGTGTGGTAGCTCATGTCTATAATCCCAGCACTTCGGGAGGCAGAGGCTGGAGGATCTCTTGAGACCATGAGTTCAAGAACAGTCTGGGCAACATAGTGAGACCCGGTCTCTACAAAAAGTTTAAATATTAGCCAGGCATGGTGGCACACACCTGTAGTCCTAGCTACTCAGGAGACTGAGGCAGGACAATCACTTGAGCCCAGGAGTTGAAGGCTGCAGTGAGCTATGTATGATTTTACCACTGTATTCCAGCCTGGGCAACAAAGCAAGACCCTGTCTAAGAAAAGAAAGAGAGGGAGGGAAGGCGGACAGAGGGAGAGAGCAAGGGAGGGAGAGAGCAAGGGAGAGAGGGTGGAGGGAGGGTAAGGAGGGGAGGAAAGGGAAGGAGAGAGGGGAGGAAGGAAAGGGAGGGAGGGAAGAAAGAAAGAAAAAGAGAAAGAATGAAGGGGAAGGGAAAGGAAAGGAATCCTCCATCAACTCCAAAGAATGGGGTAAAAAGAAAAAAAAAACTGAAGTAGGACAAACATAAAACATATAAAAAGATGGCATAAATAGATCTACATCTATCAGTGACTACAATAAATGTAAATGGAATAAACTCTCCATTTAAAACACAAAAATGATCAGATGGGATTAAAGAAAAACTCGGCTCCAGCCTGTTAAAAAAAGATGTATTTAAAACCAGGACAATGGGAAGTTTAAGAAAAGAAAGAAAAACTCTACAGCACACAAATGGTAGCCAACAGAAGACTGGTGTGGCTGAAATTAGACAACACAGACTGACTTTAAGGCAAAAAAGCAGTACTAAAGAGGGCCATTACCTCATTGATACAAATTGATAGAATGGGAAGATACGACACTTTTCAACTTGTTTGCACCTAATAACATTACCTCAAAACACTCAAAGCAAAAACTGACAGAGCTCCAAGAAAAAAAACAAATCCACCATCACAGTGGAAGAATACCTCAGTAACTGATAGATCCAGTAGGAGAAAGAAAAACTCATACAGGATGCAAATAATTTTGAACAGCATAATAAAAAAGCTTGATCTTAAGGATTTATGCAGAACTCCAAAACTGGAAAATATACACTATTTTCCAGAACAAAAAGACCTTATGCTAGGCCATAAGCAAGTCTCAGCAATTTGAAAAAACAAAAAAACAAAAACAACACTGGTACCATAGAGGCTATTATTATTGGACCACAACACAATTAAGTTAGAAATCAATAAAAAGCTAATTAGAAAAACGCCATACATTTGGAAATGTAAAACACCCCTGTAAACAACTCACACATGAAATAAATCAACACAAACTAGAAAATACTTATTAGAACTGAATAACAAAAGGACTATAAATCAAAACTAGTGGGATGCAGCTAAAATGGTATCAGTAGGCAATTTATACCCTTAAATTATTACAACAGAAAAGGGAAATTTGTGAGCTAAGTATCCAACAACAGAAAGAGGAAGAACAGAATTAGCCCATGGAAGTGAGTGGCACGAAATACTACAGACAAGAGAAAAGAAAATTAATAAAACATAAAACAAAAATTATAATTGTTAATAAAAGCAAAAGGTAGTTCTTAGAAAAAGACTAATAAAATAACAAACTTCTGGCAAAACTGATCAAGACAAAAAAAAGATAAGGCACAAATTATCACTATTGAAATTAAAAAGGACAATATATCCACACTTCTTATAGACTTAAAAAATATAACTAAAAGATATTATAGGCTGGGCGTGGTGGCTCATGCCTGTAATCCCAGCACTTTGGGAGGCCGAGGCAGGCGGATCACGAGGTTAAGAGATTGAGACCATCCCGGCCAACATGTTAAAACCTTGCCTTTACTAAAAATACAAACATTAGCTGGGCACGGTGGCACACACCTCTAGTCCCAGCTAACTGGGAGGCTGAAGCAGGAGAATCGCTTGAACCCAGGAGGTGGAGGCTGAAGTGAGCCGAGACTGTGCCACTGCACTCCAGCCTGGGAACACCACTAGACTCCATCTCAAAAAAAAAAAAAGATAATATAAATACTTGAGGTTAATACATTTGAAAAATTATATAAAGCAGACATGTCCCTTAAAAAACACAGCTTAGCAAAACTGAAATAGGAAAAAATTTTAAAAACCTAAATAGTCCCAATAATTTTTTTTTTTTTTGAGACAGGGTCTTACTCTGTTACCCAGACTGGAGTGCAGTGGTGCAATCGCAGCTCACCGTATCCTCGACCCTCTAGGCCCATGCCATCCTCCCACCTCAGCCTCTCCAGTAGCTGAGACCACAGGCGTGAGCCACCGTAACTGGCTAATTTTTCTTTTTGCTTGTTTGTTTAGTAGAGACAGGGCCTCCCTATGTTGCCCAGGCTGGTCTTGAACTCCTGGGCACAAATGATCCTTCCATCTTGGCCTCCCAAAGTGCTGAGATTACAGGAACGAGCCACCATGCCTGGCCCCAATAATAATTATTAGTTTTTTGAGACAGAGTCTCACTCTGTCGCCCAGGCTGGAGTGCAGTGGCATGATCTCAGCTCACTGCAACCTCCACCTCCTGGGTTCAAGTGATTCTCCTGCCTCAGCCTCCTGAGTAGCTGGGATTACAGGCGCCAGCCACCATGCCCGGCTAAGTTTTGTATTTTTAGTAGAGACAGGGTTTCACCATGTTGATCAGGCTGGTCTCGAACTCCTGATCTTGTGATCTGCCTGTCTCGGCCTCCTTAAGTGCTGGGATTACAGGTGTGAGCCACTGCGCCCAGCCTCAATAATTATTAAAAATAATCCTTCTAGGAGGGAGACACAGACAGCTACTAAGATACTAGGAACTGTTCTATTTCTTAAGCTAGATAATGGGTACACAGGCCCTCATTTTACTACATATACATTGTATACTTATTTGAATGATATATATATCAATATAAAAATAAGCTTTTTCAGTAGAAGCTGTGGAAATACTCCTTGAATTACAACATGCATCACAAACATCCAACATGCAGACAACGTATGCCCCCAGACAACTGCCCTGCTTCTTGGGGTAGAGAATAGTTAACAGTAACGTCATAAAAATAATCATCATCAATATTCATAGTTTCCTATGTGCTAAGGACCGAGCTAAGAGCTTTACACATATTAATTCACTTAATTTTCACAATAACCCTATATGGTAGTTTCTACCACTCTGACATCATTAGTAAATGGAGAAGTCAATATTTGAATCCAGAGTTTCAATACCTAAGTTCTTTTTTTTTTTTTTTTTTTTTTTTTTTTTGAGACAGAGTCTCGCTCTGTCGCCCAGGCTGGAATGCAGTGGCGCGATCTCGGCTCACTGCAAGCTCCACCTCCAGGGTTCACGCCATTCTCCCGCCTCAGCCTCCTGAGTAGCTGGAACTACAGGCGCCCAGGTAATTTTCTGTATTTTTAGTAGAGACGGGGTTTCACCATGTAAGTCAGGATGGTCTCGATCTCCTGACCTTGTGATCTGCCTGCCTCGGCCTTGAATACCTAAGTTCTTAAACATCCACCTGAGATGGGGCTTCATTTAGAGAAAAAAAGTCCTTGGGCAATCAGATTTCCTTCTTACCAGCTGATAGGAGAAACTCAAAACTCTGTTTCTACAGCAAAGTCCTGTAAGTAGTGGCTATAATCTCAGCTGAGCTCATTAAAAAATGTCACTTAAAATGTCAATACTGAACTTCCAACAGTTCTATTCCATTACTATATTTCTCACTACACATATCATAGTACTATGTACTACTTTAAATTCCAAATAATTGAGTATACTTTTTATGCTGGCTTCCCATAGTCACATAAACCTAAACAGCTCTTTAGTCAATTAGCAGAAGGTGTGTGAAGAAAATTATGAGACATACTATGTAAACCCTAAAATAGTGTGTTGATGGTCTATTCAGGAAAGAAAATGCCCTAACTCTTCTCTGGAACTTAAAACAATTCCAGGTGATCTTGCTTTTTGCTCATGCAGAGAAAGGTAGTTCCCATGGTATTTCTTCAGTTCAAGTGAAATAACCACCACTCCTGAAGGTTGAAGAGGCATGTAATAGATTTCTTGAATAAGAAATAGATGAATACATTTTGTACTCTAATATTAAATTTCAGATCATATTCAGGGGCTAACCACCCCCACCCCCGCCGACCGAACACTCTGAAACAACAGCAGAAATATTAAATTCAAAAATTAAAATCAACCCAGATGCTTGGATGTTTGAAGTCCTCTCAAATTTTCTTGACATATTAATGGAATTAAAACTTCTGGTTTTAATCTGAGTCCTTAAGGTTTCCACATACTTTGTTTTACTTACTCTTTACACTCTTTAGACACATGGGATGGTACTGTATATTTGCAATCCATGATCATTGTCAGTGTTTCACTGTCATTGGCTTCTTGAAAGGGCGGCTGCCCACACACCAACATGAAAAGGATCACTCCCAGACTCCAAATATCTATAAATCAAAGACATACTTTAAAATATTGGACTAATTAGAAAACCAAAAACATTAAAAGTGCGCTAACAATATTATTTTATCTTGAGCAGTCAAAAGCATTTATATCTCAAAGTACAAACATCCATGAAGGAAAAGAAGCCCCAATAGGGCAGGGAAGGTGTCTATCTTCTTCAATGTTTTTACAGTAATTGCTAGTACACAGTGAATGGTCAATAAATGTTCGATGAAGAGACAAATTAATGCCTTTGGTAACAGAGCAATAATATCAACTGAAAAGTATCCAGGTGCCCAAGCCAACAGACAACACACTGCTATTTTTCCCATTAGAATATATACCAGAAATAAAACTAATATATTAATACTCTGAGACCGGAAAAGAATTTTGCCTAAGGTCACAATTATGTCAAGTTGTTCTTTACCTCAACGCTAGTGAGGTAACCAGGTGATGTAACTCATGTCATTTTATACGCAAGAAAATTAAAGCTCAAGGAGGAAAGAAACATGGCCATCAATATAGTCAATCAGGAAAAAGACTGGTTATATATTACTCCAGAGGATGAAACTTGGTTACTTAAGAGACACATTTCAGCTAAAAAATGGGGAACTACTCAATGGAGCCGTTACAATACCAGAAAAGGCAGTGAGTTATCCATCACTAAAAGTATTCCAGCAAAGGCAGGGCAAACATCTGTCTAAAATTTTGCATAAGGCATTTCTGCACCAATGGTAAGGCTGGGCTAGCTGACATCTAAGGACCTCTCAACTCTAGCATTAGACGAACTCTGACAGTAACAAACAACTCCTTACCTCTTTCATCATTAAATAAAAAGCAAACCCATCAATCATATGGGAAAATGATCTTTTGTTCAGATGAAAAAAAATTTTTAAGATGAAAAGGACTTAGGAAAGGCATCACAAATCATTCATTCATTCCAGAAACTAAAGAACAGGCATGATAATATAAACATTCACATAATAAGAAACGAATTCAAGAAGTATTCTAGACCACAAAAGGCTTAAAAGAGAATGGAAGGGCAGACCACATGGCCTTTGTCATCACATCTGTTAACATTCAACTGCTGTTTCCATTTAAACTTAAAACACCCAAAATAATGTAGGTTCCATGTTATTTCCCAAGATAATTAAAACTTAATAAAATATCTTTTCCTTGGTTCAAACTAAACAAAGATTGGCAACAAAGGCAGAAACCCAAAAGTTACATACAATGTGATTTTTTAATACGTACAATAAATTTTACTAAGGATACTCTGATGGAAACTAATGAATCAGATGAAAAAAGCAGACTGAAATTAAACATTTACGTAATTGAAGATGAAAGGGACCTATGGATCATTCAGTCCAAACCCTTGGCTCTGCAGTCTCCCTAAGAGGTCTGACATTGCTTTTTGAATGCATGCATTATCTGCCCTAGGACAGCAAGCTGACTCAGGAGTCCACTCCATTCACTGTCATTTCTTTGCCCTGACTTTGGAATCCAGAGAGCCATCCCCATTCAAAAATCAAACATATCTTAATAATGGCGACTAGTCACATCTATTCTTTAAATAGCCAGTGAAACGAATTTATAACCCCAGTCGAAGTAGTACCTTATTAAGATTTTTTAAAGGAAATTTATATAGTTTATGTTTAACTTAAATCCTCCTCTTTGTACCACTCAAATCTGCTATTTTGGGTCACTTGTCCCAACTCCCAAGCCACCACTGTGAACAAGTGGCAATTACAATTATTCTCCCTTTATTGCAATGTGCACTTCATTTACAAAAAGTTATGTTTTAGAAATTCACTGTAAAGTAAATGCCACCTTTCCAACTATGTCCATTATCCAAGGAGGGAAACCTACCAAGTTTTAAAAAATAATATATACTTGGCTATCCCTCCACAGCAAAAAAAAGGGGTGATTTTAAATGGCTGACAATGAAAATACATAAACAATAAACATCCAGGTAGTTAAAAACTTTTTCTTCTATTGTTCAAATATTGACAATGTTTAATGCGACTACTTATAATCATACCTAACCACTAATACATATGTATTTGAAATACAATAAATTCATATCTTTCCATATAAGTCCTATAAAACATCAACTTTTATAAAATGAGTTTAATGACATTATTTCCACTACTATCTCATACTATAACTGTACATAAACTAGTTTGGTTTTTTACCTCTTGTCCATGCCAAACTGGATATCTGATAGTGCAATTATTCAAAATAATGTTTTAAAAATATAATGAATAATATAAATATCAACTAACAATTACCCAACATTCTTATTTGACCGAAGAAAACTTTCTTTTTCTGTTAAAGATTAGCCTCACAAACAACAAGAAGTCCAATTATTTGGAAATTTTCTCTTCAGGATGATTTGTCCAATCCCCTTAACACACTCGGCTTGTTATGATGTGATACATGATTAGAATAATAAAAAAGAAGAAAAGCAACATAAATATACAGTCCCACAGTTTTCAGTTAGGGCTCAAATAATTTCTAAATATAGAAATGCTAAAAGATTGAAAAAATTAGAAATACAATTCTATGTCAAGTAGTTGGCTAAGCTAAATGACATAATTTGAAGCATTTAAACTAGAAAAGAACAGCAGGGTAACTAAGTTTCAGAGAGGGCAAATGACTCTCCCACTGAGGCAATGTGATTATTCAAGGGGCCATTTATTCCATATATTTATTTCCCAGACTTTTTTTTTTTTTGAGACGGAGTCTCGCTCTGTCACCCAGGCTGGAGGGCAGTGGTGCGATCTCGGCTCACTGTAAGCTCTGCCTCCCAGGTTCATGCCATTCTCCTGCCTTAGCCTCCCGAGTAGCTAGTACTACAGGCACCCGCCACCACACCCGGCTAATTTTTTCTATTTTTAGTTGAGACGAGGTTTCACTGTGTTAGCCAGGATGGTCTCGATCCCCTGACCTCATGATCCATCCACCTCATTTTCCAGACTTTTTATTTCTCTTCTTACTTTACTTTTGTCTTTGAATAATTTTACTTTTTCATCCCAAGGGCCAAAGGAAAGAGATAAAAACAGGCCACTCAACAGAGCGCTACGACTTTAACCAAATTATTTTAAAATGTGTTCCCAATCTTTAAAATGGAAGTACTAATAGTAATCTACTTTCTTGTAAAGCTGCTGTGGACATTAAATGAATTAAAACAGAATCCATGCTAAGTATTCAGCACAGAGAAAACATTCAAAGGTGGCTGCTGCTGCCCTGCCCTGCTTCATCTGTGGCAGGCACTGTTCTTGGCATAGCAGACAGAGATGAGTAAGAGATGCCCTTGCCCTTACAAGCCTCCCAAGCCACTAAGGATGCTCCAGTGGAAATTAGTGAAACAGATGTGGGAAACAGACAGTAGGTAAGTTCAAGCAGGCACAAAGCCAACACAGTTTGAGATGGGAGAGAGAAGAAACAGGGAAAGCTTCTTATTCTTAGTAATTCAGGTTTTTTTTAAAAAAAGGTGATGATTCAGGAGCTTGGGTCCCCAGAACTAGACATCTGGTATTATAGGACTAAGAATGGCATCAACAAAAATTATCCACCATATTCCTCCACAAATGGGGGTGGGAAGTGGTACCTGTCTTAATATAACATTCATTTTAAGCCAGGCACAGTGGTGCATGCCTACAGTCCCAGCTAGCAGGAAGCCTAAGGTGGGAGGATCACTTGAACCCAGGAATTTGAGTCCACAGTGTGCTAAACCACATCTGTGAATAGCCATTGTGCTCTAGCCTGGGAAACATAGCCAGACCCCATCTCTTAAGAAAAAAGAAAAACCATTCATTTTAGAGAATATTTTAAATTATCTTTTTCCATAAGAAAAAAAAAAAAACCGTGTTAACAAAACTACAAACTCCTAAGGTATAGACCACAGCCTCAGCTTGAGATCCTAAGACTGCAAGGGATCACTGAAACCGTAAATGGGGGATGGGGGTGTAATGGAGCGAAATGTACAGGGGACCTTATTATAATCATTTCCAAAAAATGTTAATGGAACTGTCTCTTCATATTAAAGATCCACGGGTTAACAAACATCAACCATCTGAATCAAATATCATATAGATACAACTATCTGAAGTGTATGTTTTTATTTCAGACCCAGCTATAGGCACTTGGTTAATAAAAATGAAAAAAAGGAAATATTTAATAAATGTAATTGGCTTGGTTTAAAAAAAAAAAACCCAACTCATGGAACTATGGGAAGGAGTAAAGAGATAATGAAGTTTTTCATAATATAAAGGGTGGGAGTTACAAGTTCCCCTTACTGGCTGCCTTCAAGCTAGCTGGAAATAAGGTCACAGAAATGAGCACTGAAGTCTCATCTGGCTAACACTCAGCAGGTCTATATAATATAACTGAATTATGCTATTTCTAGGGTTGGGGTAGAGTTCAAGATCAAAATGAAAACAAAACAGAATAAAAGAACATGCTAATCATTCATCTGAGGAAAAGCAAATGCCAACAGGGTGGGGAGGGGACTTCAGGACTACTGAGAGGTTTCCTAAAAAGTCATTTCTAAACTGAATTATCTATACAACAAAAGAGGAGGATTAGAAAATAATAAAAATGGGAAGTCCAGAAGAAGGATTTTAGGTAGAAACCTCTATTTTTTTCCTTTTATCAGCTTTCTTTTATCAGTATAGCCATAAATAATGAAAGAAGCAATAGAACTAGAATGTTCTAAAACCACAGCAGATAAAATAGGGGCACCTTTTACAAGACCACTTCACAGCTGCCAGGATTTATGCAATCACTTTTCAGTTCCAACTACGGTCACAAGACACTGACATATGACCTAACACTAATGTAGAAGGCAATGCTTTCTTAGAATAGCAAGTACTGTTTCAGAAGTGTGTAGGTCCCAGGAGTTCTATAATAAAACCTAAGACCTTTGCTTTTTGTACAACACTGAGAAACCTAATTGCCCATGTTTATCCATCTGAATTCCTATTTACACAGAAGAACTACTTGTCTGCATTCAAAATCATGTAGAGCTTTGGTTACTAAAGATTCTTTCTTGTAAAACAAGATCAGTGGTTAGTTTTAAGGAACATGACTAGAAAGCATTCCAAAAGTAGAAAACTGTCAGATCATCTGAACTAACAGCATACGAAAGAAGCAGAAGAGGAATGAAGAACTTGGACAAGTTTTTTAGATCTATTTTCTGATATGTCTAGTATTCCTGGTTTTATCGATACTCTAGTTAGAAGCAAGGTTTTATTATTTAACAGGGAAATGTTTCCTTTTCCCCTAGAAAGAACGAATGCCATCATCTGATACCTACTTTAAAACACTCCTTTCCCAGATCTTAATTCATCTAAATGTCCCTTGGGGACTTCAAAAATCAATGCTGCTAAAACTAAGCTTATCATTTTTTTCCCCCAAGTTTATTTCTCCCCATCTACCCTGGTGGGTACAGTCTAAACTTAGGAGACATCCCAGACTCCCTACTCTGAGGGTCCTCTGACTTCCAGATCAAGAAGGCACTGCCAATTCTATGATGTGCTTCAAATCCTCCAATGATCCTCATCTTCCCCAAGGTCTTCCCACACTGCCCTCCAACTCAGAAACCTGGGCTACCTAACAATTTCAGCATCATTACAATGGGCTGTGATTACAGATATTCTATTTCCCTCCAATACTTGGAGCTCCTTGAGCACAGAATAGGGCCTTCTGTTGAGCAGGCCCTAGTCTACACTCAGCCAGGGCCTGCTCAACACAAGTTTGCTGAATGAAAACCTGAAATTTTTCAAAAGAGTTCTGCAAATATTGTGGGGCCCCCTCAAAAGACAGCTAAAGCAGAGTTTTAGGGTACAGAGGAAGGTGGTGGTTATTCCCAATCCTACACACACACACACATACACAAAGCTAAGAAGAAAAGGAGACTAAGAAGTGCTCAGAGCAGACTGTGGTGGGATAAATCAGGGAAGATAAGCTGCAGTTTATTTCAGTCACCTTTTTAAGGCCCTGTGCAAACTTGTTTTTTCAAGTTAAAACAGAAAAAGTTCAAGAAGTCAAAGTGTTATCAATCACATATTGTGGGACTGCACACATTCACACAAATCCAAACCAGACAAGCAGCAGACACCCTTCCAACTCAGCATTCCTTCATAAAATCATTTTACAAACCTGCTGTTGGTACCACTCAGGAAAAGTACAAATGAAAACGGAAAGATAAGATGGCGAAAACATCATACTTGGGCGATTTCTTTCAGTGTGGCCTAATGAAAATAGCATGCCTGGCCTAAAGCTTCAGAGAGACCTGGTTCAAATCCTCTGATGGCTGCTTAGCTGAGTTTCAATATGGATACTCATCCAAGGGGGGACCCATTGGAGAACTGCTTCACCAGGGATACAGAGTGGCTTTTTAAATTTAGTTTCAAGCAGTGATTTCACATTTCAAATTTCCCACAAGATTATGACAAATGCAATGCAATTTTTAGGCTTATTATATGGTTAACTTCGAACTAGAAAGAAGAAACATTTAAATTTAGCACCACATCTAAAAATGTCCAATTCTATTTGTCTAGTCAGTCAAATGCAACTAGATTAGAGACCTATATGAATCAGCATTTTATAAATTTGGAGTGTCCATCAACTAAACGTTTTAGTTTGACAGCTAGTGGAGTATTTTGATGTTTTCTTAAGTTGATGTTAAAAACACAGTCTTTTGGGCCGGGCACGGTGGCTCACACCTGTAATCCCAGCACTTTGGGAGGCCAAGGCGGGTGGATCACGAGGTCAGGAGATCGAGACCATCTTGGCTAACACAGTGAAATCCTGTCTCTACTAAAAATACAAAAAATTAGCCGGGCGCGGTGGCGGGCACCTATAATCCCAGCTACTCAGGAGGCTGAGGCAGGAGAATGGTGTGAACCCGGGAGGCAGAGCTTGCAGTGAGCCAAGACAGCGCCACTGCAGTCCAGCCTGGGTGAAAGCGCGAGACTCCGTCTCAAAAACAAAAAAAACAAAACCAAAAAACACAGTCTTTTGTGTGAGGCTGAGGTGTGCTAACATAAGATGAATATACAAGCTATTAAAACACCAGTTGATAAAAATCACCTGCTGCAAATGGCAGGCTAAGAAAATGGGTTCTCTTTCAAAAAGCAAAGAAAGTTTAATGAAACAAAGCTTTCTGGGCACTGGGGATAAAAATCAAGCAAGGTATGTTCTTTAACAGAAGATACATTATGCAGGTTTCTCTAAAATGTTTAAGCTTGCCAGGAAACTAACTTCCTCATTTGAGAGTAAAGAGAAATGAACTTTAAATAGCAAATTTAATATAACAAATTTCAAAATTCAAAATATTAGCTCTTGAAATGTTTGTTTTGGCTAGTTCTCCATGCATAACACCTAAATTAGACATGTGGTTTTAAAATGTATGCAACCTATTTTCCTGTATTAAAAAAATCAGTATATCTTTCTAGGAATTACAATAAATACACAACCTGGTTGGTTCCATGTAGGATTATAACTTTCAGATTTTCCTTCGTATTAAAAGTTTAGAAAAGTTCTCTCAAATATAACCACACATCTCCTGTTTTTCAAATTAACACTTACTTCTTTCAGATTATGAAAGCAGTGCATATTTAATGCCAGTAAGATTTATTCTTTTTTTTTTTTTTTTTTGAGACAGAGTCTCACCCTATCACCCAGGCTGGAGTGCAGTGACACGATCGCAGCTTACTGCAACCTCCACATCCCAGGTTCAAGCGATTCTTCTGCCTCAGCCTCCGGAGTAGCCGGAACCACAGGCATGTGCCACCAGGCCTGGCTAATTTTTGTAGTTTTTATTAGAGACGGGGTTTCACCATGTTGGCCAGGCTGATCTTGAACTCCTGACCTTGTGATCCACCCGCCTTGGCCTCCCAAAGTGCTCGGATTACAGGCGTGAGCCACCACGCCCGGCCTAACGCCAGTAAGATTTATTAGCAGCCTGTGGGAGGGCCCCATCCTCACCAACACCATAGATAATCCTTACTATTAGCCTATTAGGTAAAATTATAAAGATCTGTTTCAATGTATACTGGCCTGATTATTTTTTCCCTAATTTCTTTAAGGTATAATTTATATACAACAAAATTCACCATTTTTAGGGTGCATTTCTCCAAGTTCTGACAAATGCAGTCACATAACTACCACAATCAAGATACAGAGCAGCTGTGTTACCCCAAAATTTCCTTTGTGCCTCTGTGTAGTCATCCCTTCCCCAAGCCCAGCCCCTGACAACCACAGCTATTGTGTGTCCTTGCAAGTTTTGCCTAGAAATGGAGTCACAGAGTACGTAGTCTCTGTTTTTCTCAATAATGCAGACTGTTTTGCAGTCTGGTTTTTCTCAATAATGCATTGAGATTCACTCATGTTGTTGTACACATCAATAGGTCACCATTTTTCATGGCTGAGTAGTATTCCATTGTGTAGATGTTCCACCATTTATTTCAGTTTGGGACAGTTATGAATAAAGTCACAAAAAAAGTGTGTACAGGCTTTTGTATAAACATAAATTCTCATTTCTCTTGGGTAAATACCTAGGAGTGAGTTTGCTGGGCCATTGCTGGGTAAGTGTATGTTTATCTTTCTAAGAAACTGCCAAATGATTTTTCTAACTGGTTATACGATTTTACATTCCCACCAGAAATGTATGAGCATTTCAATTGCTCCATTCACACCCTTGCCAGCACTTGGTATTGTCAGTTTTAAAAATTTTAGCTATTCTAATAGGTGTGGTTTTAACTTGCATTTCCCTAATGACTAATGGTGTGGAACATCTGCATGTGCTTATATGCCATATTATGTCTTTTCTGGTGAATTATTCAATATTTTTCTTTTTTGGATCATGCTCTTGGTACTGTACAAAATATCTTTGCCTAACCTAAGGTTGCAAAGATCCCCTATGTTTTATTCTAGAAGTTTTATAGTTTTTCATTTTACATGTATGTCTATGACACAGATCGAGCTTTTACACATGGCGTGAGGTACTGATCAAGGTTCATTTTATTGCATATGGATATCCAACTGTTGCCACAGCATTGCTGAAAAAAACGGCCATTTCTCCATTGAATTGCTTTAGCACCTTTGTTGAAAATCAACTGGCCACATATGTGTAGGTTTATTTATGGACTTTCTATTCTATTTCACTGATCTATCAGTCTACCCTTTGCCAATACAGTCTTTTTTTTTTTTTTTGAGACGGAGTCTTACTCTGTCGCGCAGGCTGTAGTGCAGTGGCACGGTCTCGGCTCACTGTAAGCTCCGCCTCCCGGGTTCACGCCATTCTCCTGCCTCAGCCTCCTGAGTAGCTGGGACTACAGGCACCCACCACCACTCCCAGCTAATTTTTTGTATTTTTAGTAGAGACGGGGTTTCACCATGTTAGCCAGGATGGTCTCGATCTCCTGACCTCATGATCTGCCCACCTCGGCCTCCCAAAGTGCTCGGATTACAGGCATGAGCCACTGCACCCGGCCTACCAATACAGTCTTTATCATTGTAGCTTTTCTACTAAGTCCTGAATACTCTAATTATTTGCAAGGTTAAACTTTTTCTTCTTTTACTGGCTAGTTACATAACTTCTTTAATAAATTTTCTTTTCATTTGTCTATAGGGGAGTTTGTCATTGATTTGTAAGAACTCTTTCTACCTTAAGAATAGTAACCATTTCCTATATTACAAATATTGCCCCAACTTGTTTGCATTATAATTTTGTTTCGAATAATATGTGTACTACATCCACGAACTGTAATCAAAGCTACTACCCTTTTTCTTATGACTCTTTCTTAGAAAGGTCAAGATCATATGAATATTCACTTTGTTCTTAATTATTCACATACAAATCCTTAATTCACCTGGAATTTATTTTGAAATAGACATACATAGAAATCAATCATTTCTTCTCCAAATGTTGAATTTTTCCAGTCAATTAATTAATTCTTCCTCTTATGTTGTCTAATAATAGAGGAATTTAAAATGATTAGACCCTGTTCTTTTTTCTGCATCACTCAGAATGACCAGCTGAAGAACCATGCTAAGATACAGCAGTGCCCCTGGGGGCATCAGTCTCTATGCCAAAAAGCCACAAAGCAGACACTGATATGTATATTCAACAAATGTGCGGCAGCACTATTTGCCAGGCGCTGTGCTAGGTGCTGAGATATAATCATAATGAAACCTAAAAAGTTGGCAATGAAGGGACCTAGGTGAGACAGCACCACCGCACTTTGTGTCCTGGGACTTGCCAAAATTCACCTGCTCATTAAGTCACACAGAAAGTAACAACCACCTGGCTTTAAAAGATGCCTCCATCTTATCTTCCATCAAAGATTCCCCTTTTAGAGCTGCTTCCATGGTAAGTAGGCGCCTCGCCTTACCTCCAGAGGTGCCCATAAGCACTGTTAAACACTCGGACTTCAGGTGGCAAGGAGAGGCGCACACCGTGTTTTTTAAGTTTTTGATGATGATTTCATGATTCTTTCTCATCTTGCTGCTATCAGTCAGGGCACTTGACTTTAGGAGGTCCCTGTTACCTATCAGCTGACAGCTGGAAATACGAATTTACTGAACTTGCTAGAATTATACGTAAAATTAACTAAATAAGGGTCTGAGTGAGACCCTGAATGACAGCTACGAGCAAAATACATGAGCTTTGTACATGCACTTAGGACAGTCCATTTCATCTACCAGGAGTCTTTATTTGCTTGCCTCCTGGTGCTCTCCTGGGTTTAGGACAACTCAAAAACTGGTAAATGATCAATAGGCAGTCCTCTAATTGGTAAGATTCATGGATAGCTAAGGATTCTGAAGATTGTTTATCTTACATAAAGTAACATAAAAACAATTTTGGAAAGACTCCTTACCATAAGAAAAGCTGTCCCCTTTGTTCTCCTGACAACAGCTGGAAGAGTCAAAGGTTACAAAGTCAGGGGACACTCAAGTTCTCTCTCTATTCTTGCCTCTACTAATTAATAAATTCATTTTGATACTGAAGCTAGATGGTAAACCCAAGAAATTCTTATGAAGTTGTTTACTGACACTGATAATACAGCCTTGAATGGGATACAGGGCAAGGTACCTCACCTCACAAACTGATAACTGAGTACAAAACTAGAACTAATCTAAAACCAAGAGAATCTTCTGCCTCCAGATGGAACATAAT
This sequence comes from Homo sapiens, assembly GCF_000001405.40. Classification (NCBI taxonomy): domain Eukaryota; kingdom Metazoa; phylum Chordata; class Mammalia; order Primates; family Hominidae; genus Homo; species Homo sapiens. The sequence goes on along the minus strand of NC_000003.12, from coordinate 43,320,985 downwards.
GGGTTTCAGCCAAATGAAGGTTCTGCTATAATAACTTAAAAAAAAAAAAAAAAAACCTTGAAAAAATCATGTTTGTAAAGTTTTGGGAGTAACAGGAATACATGAGCTAAAATTCAAAGTCATGAAGAGCCCTTTCTAGATCTAAAGCAAAAATTCATATAAGAATCTTAAAAGTGTGACCTCAGGAGTTTCAATGGATCACAAATGTTCCTAAAAATGATTAAACCTAATCAACTTACATTATGCACTAATAAACAGGCTTTTTTGGTAGAATATCTTATTAAAACTCTGAAAATAGGTAAATTTGGGGAAAAAAAAAACCCAGCTACTCTGATACAATACAAGCTTGGCGTTGACTAACATTTAATACGTCTCATTGTAAATCAACTGATTGGTGTTCTAGTGTATTCATTAGTATATATACAAAACACTTTGTTAAGCCAGTTTCAGTCCTCTAGAAACTAATCACTACTGAATACAAAGCTGAGAATCACAACCTGGAACGTGGTGATGAATCAGTCACACCATCTCAGGGGCTTCCTTCCACCTACTGGAGCTCCCAATCCATGTTGTTTCTCTTAAACCCTAACAAGGGCCTCCAAATGTCAGTGGAGAGTTGACGCATACGAACTCTGTTATACAAAATGGGTTTTTAAGAAAACCATATAAAATATACCAAACATCTACAAGTCTGTCTGACTTTAGGAAATAAAAAGAATACTGTACCCAATGACTTGATGTTTCCTTTGGAAACAGACCCATTTATAACCTTACCTCCAATTTTCCATTACAATCTCCTACTCAAGTCATATCCATGAAATTTAAAACACAATAGGGAAAATGGGAGATCTAGTATATAAAACAGCAATGAATGAGTCACGTATTCAAAGGCACAAAAATAAGAACACTATTTTACATGTGTATTTTATGTTCCAAAGCTTATTTCAAAACTGTTTGTGTTCATCCAAATAGTTGCGGGTCCACTTGTTTCTCAACCTCATAAGCTTGCAAGATCAGATCCAAAAAAGGGCTTCATAGTGTTCAATAAACACCTCTGAAACTAACCCAAAATGCATGTTTGTATCTCTCTGAAAACAGGAATCACAGCTTTCACTGGGTCCTCTAAGAGTCTAGGACTCATTAAATATAACAGATACAAGGCAAGGAAAAGGAATTACGACATCAGCAAAGAGATTGGGAAGAGCCACAGAGGGTGACCACAATTAATGTAATCTTCATTTCCTTGGTTCATCTCTGTTAACATTAATTTAAATAAATATTATGAGCTTGTTACGTTTGCCAGGTGACAGGACACTGACAAAATATAAACAAACACATGGTCCCCTCTCTCAAGGACCTTACTATTGAGCAAGGGGGACAAGTGAGCCATCTGGAGTGAGGCAGGCTTGGCACCGCCCCATCCAATTCCAAAGAGAAAGAGCAATCAGGGCATGCATTCTCCTAACTTCATCATCCTCCTTTTTTAGCCATCCACAGCCCCTCTTTTATTTTTACACCCAGCAAAATAGTATGCCTACTCTGTGCCTGGCTGCATTCCAGGTGCCGAGATTTCGATATATCTACGAAGAGCGTCTCACTCTAAAAGGTCTTGTTTTCCGACTTACCAGATACAGTATTACAAAGGCTGAGAACTTGTAATGTTTTTTCTTAGGTTTCAGAGTTTAAAATAATTCTAAATTAAAATTTTAAAAATATTAAATTAGGCACTGTTTACACTACACTAGAAATACTTTCTTATTACAACCCTATATAAGGCTAATAGATCAACCTGATGACCACACATGCAACCTCCTAACATGCTGGGACAGGGACTCTCCAGGAACTGAGACCGGTCACTAACTAGTCCCACCTGGCCCATCTCAGTGAGCACAAGAGAGTGATCAAGCATAGCAGCCTGCATATAAACAAACAAACTGATTCTTTTTTTTTTTTTTTTTGAGACAAAGTCTCGCTTTGTCGCCCAGGCTGGAGTGCAGTGGCACGATCTCAGCTCACTGCAACCTCCACCTCCCAGGTTCAAGTCATTCTCCTGCCTCAGCCTCCTGAGTAGCTGGGAGTACATGCATGCGCTACCACGCCTGGCTAATTTTTGTATTTTTAGTAGAGATGGGGTTTCATCTGCTTGGCCAGGCTGGTCTCGAACTCTCCTGGCTTCATGTGATTCACCTGCCTCGGCCTCCCAAAGTGCTGCGATTAAAGGCATGAGCCACCACGCCGGACTCGATTCTTTAGTACATTCTAAAACGCTAAAACAACTTTTAACAGTTCAGTCTGTTCGGCAACATGCAATGCGAATAACACAATTCCAAATTTGTGTTAGAAAGTTTGCTCTAATGCTGATTTTTTTGTCTTGCAAACTTATCTTTCTTCTTCAACAGGCATACATTTCTTACCTCAAAAAGTTTAAAAAAAAAAAAAAGAAAATTTAATATTTTCAACTCCCTAAAGGTTTCCCATGTTATGACCTAAGGTGAATGTAAGTTGATTCAGCTTCCATATGTATTTTTGTACTAAAATAGCTACTGTTTTGAGTGGTTTGAAAAGCCCTTCTGAAGTTCTAAGAAACTAACCTGCTATCAAATAAACACCAAGACTTTCATTTTTTTTTATCTAACATTTTAAAAAAGAAAGAAAAATCCCTACTTTAGAAGTTAACCTATTCCCTAAATACAAATAACATAACATTCTGAAAGTTAAATACAACTAAAAACATGTGAGAAAACCACAGGAGCAAAGGTCCCAGGCCTGCCCTTCCTCCCCATTTTCCCACGGCAGCCAACATTTCAGAAATTCCCGAGGACAAATTTCCAAAGGGGACAAGGGTACCTCGGATACTCTTCCTCCCACATTGAGAAAGAGGCAGGAAAGGAAAATAAGGCCAGGATCTAATGTTAAGTGTCCCTCTGGGACCACAGCAGCAACACCATAGAAACATAAAGCATCCCATGACGTTTCCCAAAGCAGCAGCACTGAGACAGTGACATCTGATGGACTGAGGGCTAATTTTGTGTCTGGCGTTATGCTAAGTACTTTACATGTATTCATTCATCTAATCCCCTCAATAATCCTAAAGGCAGGAACTATGAACCCCATTTCACAAATGGAGGTAACAGAGCCCAGAGATGCAAGTCAAGTGGGGAAAGATAACAGGCAGTGCTGGGGCCCTACACCTCTGGAGAAGAAGCTGAGGCCTCACTGAGGGGTGACATGTGGGCAAGAAAATCAGGGGCAAGAGTGGCTAGGCAGAGGAGGGAGATGGATGGCCCTGAGGTAGGACCGGGCTTGGAGTGTGCCTAACAGCAAGGAGGCAGCGTGGCTGGAGCCGAAGGAGCAACCAGGAAGGTAGTGAGAGGAAAGTCTGGGAAGAAATGGAGATGCCAATCTTTTGGGCTGTGTTGGCCACAGTGAGGATGGTGGTTTTGATTCAGACTGAAATGGAAGGTCTCTAAATAGTTTTCAGCAGAGGAATAATATGATCCAACTTGAATTGTACAAAGAAAGGGTAAACATTGTTTTCCTTATGAGTAAGGGTTACCTGAAACTGCTACCTCAGTCTGCTGACCCAAGGAATTCTCTCCTTACAGCTGCTCCCCACTGCAATTCCCGACATACTCTTGCACAAAGCCCCAGATCCTCCTCTCATCTGGAACTTTCCACATCAGAGAACTGTGGTAGAACAAAGGAAAGAAAACCTGCCCCTAAAATCCCTCCTTTCTCTTGTTGTCTTTCTAAAATACACACACTTATGCCAGTCAGCCCCATTAGGAAGTTCAGACAAACTACCCAGATTCAGCGTATGAGTTCTGCTTTGAAATTTATATAAATATTAACTTTTGGTTTTTGTTCATGTACTAGAACTTACAATGATCAATTGTGCACTTTTGTCATTTTACACAGGATTTTACAGGAAGGGAGTAAGAGGCACTAAGGACCCTTTTAAAACAAACAAACAAACGAAAAACCCCTTTCTAGTTAAAAGCACTAAGAGCCCTTAGAAAACTGCAAAGGTACTATGAACCCAAGAAAATGAGTTGGAATGAGGCGGTGTGGTAATCTGACCTGCACAGGACCAGGGGCACTAATCAGAAGCTCCAGGGAACAGCAGTGGAAAGGAAGCAGGCAGGAAGGTCTCTGGGCTCCTCAGGGAAGAGGAAAGGACAAGCAATCAATGCAGAGGAGTTTCCAAGGGGGTGGGGAGGGGGGTCTAGCTTGAAGTTCCAGACACTGGTTCTGAGGACACACATCAGAAAAAATTTCCAAGGGGTCTAAAACATGGTTTTCACTTATCCCTAAATGAGCAGAGAGTGGTTAAAAATGGGAGGCAGGGAAGAAAAAAAAAATTAAGCTCCAATTATCAACATCAAAAAAGAAATATTCCTGTTTACTCTTTAAAGAAGTTAAAAACAATTTTTAAAGAACATCAGAATTTAAAATGTTGAAAATATCTTTTTCCACTAATGTCTAAAAATATTTGATTCTATAGGTTAAAATCAGCAGTAGGCAAGGCTGGATGCATATTATAATTGCATGGAAGCTTCTGAATATGACCCTAAGCCAAGTCAATGTGAATCACAATCTCTGGGGGTGGGGCCCAGGCAACATAGGTATTTTTTAAAAATCTCCCCCAGGTGAAACTGATGGATGATGACCACTGAGAGCCACCAGTTTAAATCCTACCCTACCACTAAACTAGAATAAATTATACATTTGTATCAACATATTTTGTTTGATCTGAGCCTTATAACACAGTGAGAATAATAAGTACCACAGCTAAAAATCAGTGGGGAAAATAAAAAACATATAAATGATTTCTATCATATTTTTCAGTCTGCTCAAATACTTTTAAATGACTGAAAAACCCACCTATATGGTACCTATAGAATACCTCCCATAAACATTTCATGCTCAAGAATCTTTACTAATTCTAAATACTTTTTATTTACAGAGGGTTTATGCCAGATCAATTTTTAATTGTGGTTTCAGAAATATTTGTTTCTTATAGGCGTGTGAAATTTCAGGAAGCTTAGGAAAAGATTTTCATTCTTTCCTTCTCGTTTTATATGACAAGTGATAACATTATAGATGTATAAAGTATCTTTCAGAGTATGTGACATTTCATTTGGCAGCTGGGTGACAGAAGGTGTGTGCTACATTTCTATGGATACGTTGTTCGTTTCTTGACAATTTAATATTACACTGGTGACTATGCCTGGGCCCCAGGCTGCAACGCAGTTTGTGCTGGGCACACTTAACCAGGCAGGTATTATTTTTAATAAAACTTACTGAGGTGCTACTTTAAAGTAGATCAAACTTCTTTCCCTAACCATAGAAGAGGCACAAATCATCCCTTTAAAGCAGATAATCCCAAACTCGATAGTCAGGAGTAGTCCCTGTGACAAAAGCCTAACGTCTTCTAATCTAGAACTCATCAGGGCCTGTATATCCAAATGGTAAATAGTACAAGAGGAAGTAATATAAAAGTTAAACAAATTCTGCCTCTGGGAAGAGAAGGTCCTCTGAAAAACTGAAACGTTACTAAAACATTTGTTTCTAATAAACAATGACTTAAAATGGGACATGAAACTACACATTCAAATTTGGTGCCACTTGGGAAGGACTGTAAAAATAAATACATTAATAGCATCTCTGGAATCTGAAATAAAGGTGTTATTGATTTCTGTACAACTTATAATTGCAGATTTTTTTTTAAGAGATGGGGCCTCACTACCTTGCCCAGGCTTGTAGCACAGTGGCTATTTCCAGGCACTATCCCACTATTGATCAACACAGGAGTTTTAACTTGTTCCATTTCCAAACTAGGCCAGCTCATCTCTCCTTAGGCAGCCTAGTGGTAACCCTGGCTCCCAAGAGGTCACCATATTAATGTCCAACTTAGTGCAGGCAACCGACCGGCATAATACACTACAGCCTAGAACTCCTGGGCTCAAGTGGTCTTCCTCCTGTCTCAGCCTCCTGAGTAGCTGGGACTATAGGTGTGTGCCACCATACCCAGCTATAATTGCAGATTATTTATAAACCAAAGAGAAAATTTGATTCATTTATGACCTTTTTTTAAAAATTTTTTTTTAAGAGATGGAGTCTATGTTGCCTAGGCTGGACTTGAACTCCTGGGCTCAAGCAATCTTCCCACCTCAGCCTTTTGAGTAGCTGGGGCTATAGGCACACACTACGAGGCCTGACTTCATTTATGTCCTTCTGAAATAGTTCAAAGTTCTATCAAAAGGTTTTACGGCTTACTTAGGCTGTACTATCTTACAAGCAGGAGTGATCCTTTAAAAAATATTTAAACATCTTAACATTATACTTAATGCTATAATCACAATTCTTTTGGTGGACACCCATTTCCAAAATTCTCTAAAAGACTCTTTTATAGGAAAGAGTCTACTGAGGAGCTATTATATCACAGACTAGGGTAGACAGAAAGAAATGACAGTCTTAAGTACAACTCTTGGCTTGAATATGTCAAGATTTCCAAAAGCTGGCATATTATACAAATGATAAGAAACAGTAAGTTAATAGCTATAAAGAATGTCTCAATTTATATTTTATTAATTTACCTTTTCACAAGACAAGGCAATTCATTTCAGATAGACCAGGGATAGCAATTTTTAAATGCATACTGGATTTTAAAATGTTCTTTACACGTAGTAAGTTAAGCCAAATAAATAAAGATGCTTAAGAACACAATTCTAAGATATGTCTATATCCTTCCTCATTATGGAGGATTTTAAGGCATTATGAATCAGAAAAAGTTAAGAATCAGTGCTCTAAAATACAAGTACATACTTTTAACATGGTGAGGGGTAAATGCTCTCCCTCAGTAGAGAAATTTTTCTGCTGATTATCTGGTTTTATATTTATTTTTTAAAAATAAAAAATACCAGCGTAAGACTGATATTTGTTAGAATGCATTTGAACACTGCAAAATATACTGTGTTTCTGTCACATCAACCTTCTTTCCCAGACCATCATCAGGCATTACTGCTAAAAACTAAAACCACACTACACAATAAGCCAGAAACACTCACACTGGGATACTTGCCTTCCAGTTAATGAATAATATGTATCTATATTCAAACTTTTCATTTTGAAATAATTATAGATTCACAAGAGTGGCCAACAAAACAAATGGAAAGGTAAGTTTCATGTATTCTTCACCCAGTTTCCCCCAATAGTAACATTGTGCTTAAATACAGTAAAATATCAAAACTAGGAAACTGATATTGGTACACTCCACAGAGCTTATTCAGATTTCATCATTTCACATGTATTTATTTGTGTATGTAGTTTCTATGAAATTTTTATCACATGTGGAGATTTCTATAACCGCCAGACACAGAAGTGCTCCATCACCACAAGGCTCCTTCATGCTATCTTTTTACAGGCACACCACCCACCACGATCTCTAATTCCTGGCAGCCACCAATCTGTTCTCCATTTTTATAGTTTTGTTATATCAAGAGAATTTTATAAATGGAATTATATAGCATGTAACCTGAGATGATTGTTGTTGCCCCTTGAAATCCATCCAAGTTGTTGTATCAATAGTTTATTCCTTTTTATTGCTGCATAGTATTCCATGGTATGAATACACCACAGTATAACAATTAACATGTTGAAGGATAACACCTGGGCTGTTTCCAGTTTATGGCTATTATAAATAAAACTGCTATGAACATCCATGTACAGATTTTTGTGAATACAGGTATTCATTTCTCTGGGACAAACACCCAGGAGTGCAATTGCATATTTAGTTTTATAAGAGCATATTTACTTTTATAAGAAACTGTCAAACTATTTTTCAGAGTGTCTGTGGTAGTGATTTCTCTCGTTATTCTTTTCATAATTGTTTTAGTTATTCTAGGTTCTTTGCCTTTCCAGATACATTTTAGAATAATGTTGTCTATGTCTATAAAACCCCTGCAGAGTTTTGATAGGAATTATGTTAAACATCTAGATCCATTTGGGGAAGACTGGCATCTGTAGTATGTTTATTCCAATTCATGAACACATGTCTCTCCATTTATTTACGCCTTCTTTGATTTCTATCATTATTTTTTTGTTAGATGTGTTCTGTTAGATGTGTATCTAGGTATTTCACTTTCTTTGGCATGACTTTAAATTTCAGTCTCTACATGTTCATTATCAGTACAGAAAAGCGATTGATTTGGTGTTGATCTAATATTCTGTGATATTGCAGAATTCATTTGATATTCTAGGAATTTTTCTGTGGATTCCATGAGATTGTCTATGTACACATTCATGTCATCTGGAAGCAGAAACAGTTTTATTTCTTCTTTTCCTATCTTTATATAACTTTCAGTACTATGTTGAGTAAAAGTGATATATGTATATCCTTGCCTTGTTTCTCAACTTAGGATGAAAGCATTCAGTCTTTCACCATTAAGTAGGATGTTATCTGTAGGGTTTTTGTAGATTCTCTTTATAAAGTTGATGTTCCTCTCTATTCCTTGTTTACTTAGAGCAGGCAAAGAGTAATATTTTAATGTAGGACAAAATACAGATTTATAAAGAAAAGATGTCTAGTTTTTTACACACCAATATGTGTGAGGACACACCCCATGACTCTAAACAATTTCCATTAAATGCTGAACTGCAAATGAGAAATGTTGTAGAGAGTGTATATAGGCTTTTTGTTTATATTCAAGACTTAATCTAAATCCAAACATTTGCACTGTATCCATATGGAGCCATGTTTCAAGTAATTCAGCTTTCATTGATTATTGCATAATTGGTAGTAAGAATTAATGCAGAGACTGAATATTTCATCTTTGAAATAGTCTGTATACTAGGAAACGCCTAAAATAAGGGTTTTTAAATCCAGATCTGTAACATCCTAGAAGACTCCAAACCTTAGGTGAGATGGCGAAGTTCCCAATACCAAATTTAACTCATTTTAACTTGAAAATAAGAATTTTTAGGAAAGTAGAAAAAGGTCATAAATAATGTCAGGGTTTTACAACTATTGAAAAGTTGTGAATCTATTATTTAAGAAACAATTTTCCCATTTTAGAGTTTCTAAAATGAAGAAAATTTTAAAGTATCATTTTTTAAAGAGTAAGTTCTTTCCTAATGCTGCTCTGACAAAACCTTTACTTACCAAGAAATTCACTTGGAACCTCACTACAAGCAGGCCACCCCACAGGACAAGCAGCCAGACATCCATCGGTTTCAGCAGAGCCTGGTCACTCAGAGCAAAGACATTACTCCTGTCTTAGCCCAGCAGGCACAGGTTCATTGCCTTGTCTCTTCTTCCACTGAATAAACTGATGTGACAAGCAGCAATGAGCTCTCCAGGTGTACACCACTGCACTGCACTCTACCACAGGAATTCCACAGACTGCAATGAGAGATTCCAGGATTTTTCACACAGATCCTTTTTCCCCCTATCCTTTCTGACTCTGTGAAATCAACTTAATACACATTCTTGAAAGCCCAGAGAGCTGACTGAATCAATAGTGCATGAGCATGATCTAGCTACCCTCCCTTTTCCCAAATCCCTAGATACGACAGAAACAGTAGAAGGCAGGTAGGATCAGACTGAAAGAGGAAGCCAGAGCCCCAAAACCCAGCTGGGGGAGCTTCTGTGGTGCTCTTTTCTAGATGAGGCACACTGCAAACAGGAAAGAACTGCACCCAGACAACCATTAGAAGGATTAACTGAGGACTAATTTCCTACCTTATAATTCTACACTAGCCCCAACCATGTCCACGCAGACATGTGTTCCAGGTTTTCTGTAGATTGTCTTTATCAAGTTGAGGATGTTCCTCTCTATTGTGGACATTAGGAACACAGAGAGAGGGATGGTGTCCAAGAGGTATATTAACAACCTAACAAATAGTAAGACCAGATACCAGGGCTTCCCAGTTAGCTGTATGACCCTGCTCCTCTCCCATATCACTAGAGTACTCAGACACCATATTCACAGACAAGGTATCTGGAAATCTCAAAAACAGAGATGAACAAACAACTAACATCCCCAAGAACGTAGGAAAAATTGAGTACAATGAGAGAGAGGAACCAAGTTCATCAAACAGAAGCAGCAGCACCCAAGAAAACCTGCTTAATGAAGCACTTTCGGAACTGTTAAAATAAAAAAAACAAAATATGCTCCACCGAATCAATGAAATGTAGTTCTACAAAGAAAATTAGTCTTGCATCAGACTTCTCACCAACAACTTTAAAAGCAAAAAGATGACAGACAAGTATCTGTGAAAAACGTATCTTCAAAGTTGGGAGAAAAATGATTTTGAATATATATTTCTATATCCAGCCAAATTATCATTAAAATGTGAAGACATTTTAGACACATAAGGACTTGAATTTTTCACAAATCCTCTCTGAAAGGGTTTCAAACAAAACAAAGCACAATAAAAATAATCCAAGAAAGGGACAGGGAGGCCAAGAAATTCATAAAATTAAGTAAAAAGTAAGTATTTATTACAGACAAACACAAGCAAATAAGAATGTTATTAACCAAAAAAGAAGTAAAAACAAACGGATTCTTATTTGTAGGGTAGGAGAAATAATGTAGATACTGTCTGACTCTAGACATTAAAGGTGGACGCCAACACAGAGAGAAACAGATTACATGTCGTGCAAACCACTACTGGGGAAAGAGCAAAGAAAGCTTGAATAATTTAACAAAATATGGGTAAAGGTAATAAATAATAAGGCAAATGAAAACCACAAAATAAGATAGGACAAGTCCAAACACTCCAGTAATAATAAATATAAATAAATTAAATCCACCTATTCAAAGACTGATTCATAGATTAGACACGAAATACAGCTATACACAGGCATACCTCAGCGATACTGTGGGTTCGGTTCCAGACCACTGAAATAAAGCGAATGTTGCAATACAGCGAGACACACAAATTTTTTTGTTTCCCAGTGCATAAAAAGTTATGTTTATACTATACCGTAGTCTATTAAATGTGCAACAGCATTATGTCTATAAAAGATAATGTACATACCTTAATTTAAAAATACTTTACGAGGGGCACATTTTCTCAGAATCTCCCGGGGCTGTGTCACGGGCAAAAAATTAAAAAAACAAACAAACAACAAAAAAAACTTTATCAAGACCAGCCCAGGCAACATAGTAAGACTCTATCTTTACAAAACTTTAAAAATTAGCTGGATGTGGTGGTGCACGCCTGTAGTCCCAATTACTCAGGAGGCTGAAGTGCGAGGATTGCTTGAGCCCAGGAGTTCAAGTCTGCAACGAACTATGATCATGCCACTACACTCCAGCCTGGGCTACAGAGAGAGTCCCTATCTCAAAGAATAAAAAAAAAAAAAAACCTTATTTCTAAAAAATGAGCCTTCAATGAGTCAAGGCATAATCTTTTTGCTGGTGGAAGTTCCTGCCTTGATGTTGATGGCTGCTTACTAATCAGGGTGGTGGTTGCTGAAGGTTGGCATGGCTGTGGCTATTTCTTAAAATAAGACAAGAATGAAGTTTGCTGCATCATTTGATTCTTCCTTTCATGAAAGATTTATCTCTAGCATGCAACACTGTTTGACATATTTTACCTACAGTAGAACTGTAGAACCTCTTTCAAAACTGAAGTCAATTCTCTCAAACCCTGCCACTGCTTTATCAAACTTACTATGTAAGTTTACATAATAGTCTAAATCCTTTGTTGTCATTTCAACAATATTCACATCTTCACTAATAGAATCCATCTCAAGAAACCACTTTCTTCACCTGCATTCATGGATTTAAAAAAATTAAGATAAAACAACAACAACTAAAAAAAAACACTTTCTTTGCTCATCCACAAGAAGCCACTCCTCATCCATTCAAGTTTTATCAAGAGACTGCAGCAATTCAATCATATCTTCAGGCTCCCTTTCTATTTCTCTTCCTATTTCCACCACATATGCAGTTATTTCCTCCACAAACTGTGAACCCCTCGAAGTCATCCATGAGGGCTGGAATCAACTTCTTCCAAACTCCTCTTAATGCTGATATTCTGACCTCCTCCCATGAGTCACAAATGTACTTAATGGTGCATCCTTTCCAGGTTTTCAACTTACTTTGCCCAGATGGATCGGAGGAATTACTACCAATGGCAGCCATAGCCTTACAAGATGCATTTCTTAAATAGTAAAGACTTGGAAGTCAAAATTACTCCTTGATCCACGGGCTGCAGAATGGATGCTGTGTTATCTGCATGAAAACAACATCAATTTCCTTGTACATCTCCATCAGAGCTCTTGGGTGACCAGGAGCATTGTCAATGAGTGGCAGTATTTTAAAAGGAATGTTTTTTTCTTAGTAGTAGGTCTAAAATGGTGGGCTTAAGAAATTCAGTAAACTATGCTGTAAACAGATGTGTTGTCATTCAGGCTTTGTTGTTCCATTTATAGAGCACAGGTAGAGTATATTTGGCTTAATTCTTAATGGCCCTAGGATTTTCTGAATGGTCAATGAGCATGGCTTCAACTTTAAGTGGCCAGCTGCATTTACCCATAACAAAGAGTGTCAGCCTGCCTTTTGAGGCTTTGAAACCAGGCATTGACTTCTCCTCTCTAGCTATGAAAGTCCTACATGGGATCTTCTTCCAATAGAAGGCTGTTTTAGTTACATCAAAAATCTGTTGTTCAGTGGAGCCAGCTTCATCAATTATCTTAGCTAGATCTTCTGGCTAACTTGCTGCAGCTTCTCCATTAGCACTTGCTGTTTCATCTTGTACTTTTATGTTATGGAGATGGCTTCTTTCCTTAAACCTCATGAATCAAACTCTGCTAGTTTCAAACTTTTCCTCTGCAGCTTCCTCCCCTCTCTTAGCCCTCAGAGAACTGAAGAGAGTTAGGGCCTTGCTCTGGATTAGGTTTTGGCTTAAGGGAATATTGTGGCTAGTTAGATCTTTTACCCACACCACTAAAACTTTCTTCATATCAACAATAAGGCTGTTTCACTTTCTTACCATTCGTGTGTTCACTGGAGTGGCACTTTTAATTTCCTTCAAGAACTTTTCTTTTGCATTCATAACTTGGCTATTAGGTGCAAGAAGCCTAGCTTTCAGTCTATCTTGCCTCACTATGTCTTGCTCGATAAGCTTAATCATTTCCAGCATTTGACTTAAAGTGAGAGATGTACCACTCTTCCTTTCACTTGAACACTTAGAGGCCACTGTAATTAATTGGCCTAATTTCAATATTGTTGTATCTCAGAGAATAGGGAAGCCCAAGAAGAGAGAGAGAGACAGAGAGAGAGAGAGATGGGGGAATGGCTGGTAGGTAAAACAGTCAGAACACATACAACATTTATTGGTTAAGTTTGCTGTCTTATCTGGGTGCTGTGTCTGGCACCCCAAAACAACTACAATAGTAACATTAAAGATCACTGATCACAGATCACCATAAAAAATAAATAATGACAAAGTTTAAAATATTTTGAGAATTACCAAAATGTGACAGAGAGGCATGATGTCAGCATATGCTGTTGCAAAAATGGTGCCAAGAAACTTGCTTGATGAAGGGTTGCGGCAACCTTCAATTTGTAAATAAACAAAAAAACCGCAAGATCTGAGATGTGCAATAAAGTTATGCACAATAAAATGAGGTATGCCTTTGTTTAAAAGGGATAAATCTAAAGCAATGACAAAACAGAATTTAAGGCAATATGTATCAAGGAGTATACTTTCGTATTGATAAAAGGTATAACTCATCATGTAAAATATATTAGAAACTTTTAATATCTTTATTGTCAATTATAGCTTGACAATACCATGTATAAAGCAAAAAATGGTTAAATTACAAAATTCACAGATGAGAATAGAAGACTACCATTATTCTCTCAGAAAATGACAGGTCAGAATAAAAACATGTAAGGGTACAAAGGAACAAGGTGCATAATGCATAATCTTAAGTATGTATAAAAACTCCAAGTATACAAATATTTTAATCACATAAAGAACAGTCACCATGGTATGAATTACCATGTATCAAGCCACAAAGAAAATCTAAAAATAGTATCCGAAGCAGAAATCAATTGGGCATAAATTAACTTCAATGTACTAAAATTAGAAGTTAAAAACCAGACAACTAAAGAGAAAAATAAATCTATCCATTTGGAATTTTTAAAAAGGAACACCTTTCTAAATAACTTTTCAGTTAAGTAAGAAACCAAAGACAAATTTTAGCAAGGACAACTGCAGAGTGAAACCCCTAGAATGTCATCAGGGATTGTGGGAGAGGGCATCATATAGCATTAAAGTTAAAGATGTACACATCAGATATTGCCAAATTGTCTTCTAAATAGCATTAATAAACCATTTGTTAGAAATCAAGACACACAGAAATAAGCTTTTGATACATGATGCTATTAAAAAATAGGAAACCTCAAAGATCCTAGAAAGAATAAAGATGAAAGAAAAAAAATGACATCTAAAACAAAAAGTATAGTTGATAAAATCAAATCTGATCTTTTGAAAATAATAATAAAATAGACAATTCCTCAGCTAAGTCTCAATGCTGAGGACCAGTATACTATAAAACACTTATTCAAAAAAAAGAACCAAAGTTTTTTTATTTAGTAACATCTCACAATATAATGACAGATTTTAATATTTGTGTATGCTCATTTTACTAAACATTTGTGAAAAATCACTGACTAATTTTGGCATGATAAACTAATGTAGATTAACAGAAAGACACCTGTCCTTTTTTTTAAAAATAGCAATTCTATATTTATTTCAATCACACATCACACAATATAAATTGAAATAACTATAAATAATGAAAATGAAAAAGTTACCTATGAACTCCACCCAAGCCTACTTCACCAACACACGGTAATCATTTATCAGACTGGTGAACATCTTCCCAAGTGGTTTTCTTTTCCTTTTTTAATAGCTTTTTAAAAGTTTTATTATGCAATATTTAAGACATAAGGGGGGAAGAAAAAGGAACATTACAATGAACTCCTGTGTACCCACCACCCAACTTCAAAAATAAACATCACCAATACAGCTGAAAGCCTACAGATATGCCTGCCCCTCAGAAGTAACCTATCTTGCTCTCATGCATTCTTCAGAGTTTACTACATGTACTACATGTTCATGTACTCCTAAACAATATATAACACTGCTTTGTATGTTTTAAAATTTTATATAAATGTTGGCTGGGTGCGGTGGCTCATGCCTGTAATCCCAGCACTTTGGGAGGCTGAGGCGGGTGGATCACGAGGTCAGGAGATCAAGACCATCCTGGCTAACACGGTGAAACCCCGTCTCTACTAAAAATAAAAAAAAAATTAGCTAGGCGTGGTGGCAGGGGGCCGGTAGTCCCAGCTACTCGGGAGGCTGAGGCAGGAGAATGGTGTGAACCCAGGAGGCAGAGCTTGCAGAGAGCCGACAGGGCACCACTGCACTCCAGCCTGGGTGACAGAACGAGACTCTGTCTCAAAAAAAAAAAAAAAAAAAATTGTATATAAATGTTATATGTACTCTTCATCAATTTGCTTTGTTTCTCTTAAAAAGTATGCTTGTGAGATCCAATCATGTTGGCAAATTGTTTAATTTTCACCGTATACAGAATATGAATACTGAACGAATTATTCCCCTGCTGTACATTCAACAATGCTGTTAAAAACGTTCTTTGAAAATCTCTTGTATGCATAAGTGAGAGCTACTCTGAGGTGCATATATAGGAGAGAACTGCTAGGTTATCAGATGTGTACATCTTTACCTTTACCAGATATTGCCAAACTGTCTTCTAAATAAGAGTTCCTGATATTCTATGGTCTTACCAACACTTAGTTTTGTCTGACTTCAGTTTTTCCCAATGTGAAAAGTATGAAAGAGTATCTTATTTTTAATAGATTTAAAGAGTACTTTATTTTTAATAAGATACTCTTATTAAATCTGCACTAATGAGGGTGAAGATTTTTTCTTGGGTAGACATTTGTGTTTCCTCTCCTGGAAATTCCTGGCTTCACTGTCTGATTAGAATGGCTCCATTAATCAAAAATCTCCGCTCAGATATTCTAATGAAAGACTTCAGTGAAGTCTAGTTATCTGTAGTAGGCAGAAACTGCTCATTAACCCTTTCTTTTCCAGAACATGATAGTCATAACATGAAAATCAGTGTCTTGGTGTACAGAGTATTCAATATAACATCAACACTCTTCAATGTTAAGTGCACCTTTGTCATTAATCCTTTAACCTGCATTTCAAATTACCACAAATGCAAGCAGAATACTCATACATATGAATCTGACATCATGTGCATGTATTTTTTTCCAAGATTAACAAATTAAAAAGCTGACTGCACCTTCGGATCAACAAATCCTTTAAAAAAATTAAGAACAAATTCCTACATGATCTTCAAAACAAATACAATCCCAAGGAGACAAAGTTGACACAAACTGAAAGGCAGTAAATACTTTCACCACAAATAGATAAATCTTGACAAGTGAAAGAGCACAAAGTGTGTGGAGAGGGAAAGAAGGTAGTTAGGAATGCCAAAGGTACCACAATTCCAGAATCCACCATACAGAAAGCCTCTGTATGTCAGTTTCCTATTCTGAACAATGAGATAGACAATAACAACCCCACGGGTCGCTGTGAAAAGTAAACAAGATAATATGGGAGTGCTACACCTGTACCTGATTCAATATTATATTATGGATAAAAAATGAAGCAGAGAGGTCAAGCACTTGTTCAAGTTCACAGTTAATAAATGATTCTAATACCCAAATTCTTTATATTGCACTGTAATATTCACAGTACCTTTCCAATATGGGTCTCCAATGATTGTTAGACGATATGCACAGAGAGGAGATGGCTAAAGAGAGCCACTAAAAGAAAAATCTGAGGAAAAGCATTCAGACCTTAAGAAAAAAATGACAATGAACAGAAAAGAGATTACTTTAAATGATAACTTACTCATTTTCCTTTGTACTCACAAATATACTTTAGACATTTGCCATCTAAAGGTTGAAATAAACGAAATGCCAGCTTTAGGCATATATGGCATTTATGAAACCCAATTTGCTAGTTAAGGCCAATTTAACAGAAATTCTCTAGAAATCATTTTTAGATAAACAACCGATCTGACCAACTCTAGCTGGCAGAATTCAAATGGCCAAATACTGGACCGAGGTTACCTACCTACTGCAGGTGCATCATACTCATCACCAAGCAGAATTTCTGGAGCGGAATATGCAAGAGATCCACAGCTTGTAGTGAGCTTCTTCCCTGGTTGAAATTTGTTGCTGAACCCAAAGTCTGTCAACTTTACAAGACCTTGTTTTTCAAAGAAGACTACATTCTCTGGTTTTAAGTCTCTGTGAACCACATGGAGTTTATGGCAATAAGATATAGCATGAACTATCTGAGCAAAATACTTCTTGGCCAAGTCTTCATTAAGACCCTCCTCATGTTTCATTATATAATCAAACATATCTCCTCCATCCCCAAGTTCTAGAATAAGATATAGTTTGGTCTGGGTGTCAATAACTTCATAAAGGCGGACGATGTTAGGATGCTGCACTAGTTTCATGCATCTCACTTCCTGGAAAAGATGACCAGTAGCTAGAGTGTCCAGTTTTGTCTTGTCAATAACTTTTACTGCCACCTTTTCACCCGTAAAGACATGCCTGGCAAGTTTAACCACGGCAAAATGGCCTCGACCCAAGGTTTTATCCAGATCATATAATCCAGCAATCTTTCCATCATACCCTCGCTTAAATCCTGCCATGCTGGTCCAACAGAAGAAAAAATATTTAGACTGTTTAAAATAGATCTTCTCATATAAGAATATCTGGTGAATACAAAAAATTCATTTTCAATGTCGTCATGGATATCTACAAAATAAGAAGAGAAACAAAATTAAGTTTCTGCGACTTTTCTTCACAAACTTTAAAATCACTTCATTTTTTGTTTTTTTCATTTTAAGAGAAACTTGAAGAAAATAAATTGAGATAAAAAATGAGTCAGGGTCATTAATAAAACCTATTTTTACATTTAGACTTTATATTACAAAGGCTGAATTTAAATACCATATCAAGTTTTTGCAAACTGAAAAAAAAATTAGTTCATTGGAAGCAATTTTTTGGTGATGTGAGTAATAAGAAAACTGGCAAGTTTGATAAGCATGTTTAAAAAACAAACATTTTCTAAAAGGAATTTTAGTGTCTTAAAAAATAACGCAACAGTTGACAAGGGAAAACACAAAGAATAAACATTTGCACAGAAACCCAACAACTTTTCAGTTTCCCCAAGACCAACACCACTTCCTTTAAGTGCAAAAAAAAAAAAAAAAATCCATTCTGTGAAGGTTTCTCTAACTCTCCCAGCTGGAATTACCTTCTCTCCTCAATATCCCCAGAGCACCTTGGGACACCTCTATTCTATGTGGTCTTATTCTACAGGTATTTGGGTACACCATCTCCTCTAACCTGACAGTAGCAGGTTCTCAGGGATTTTCTATTCTAAGGTTCTATTTTTTTTTCTTCTACTTTCCCCCAACACCTAGAACAGTGGTTACAAATAGCATATAATCAAAACTGTCTTATTAAATTTTGAAATGCAACTTTTTCCAAAATGTTTAGGAGGTAATTGTTTGCTCTTGCATCACTACTGTTTAGGATAAGCTCCTGGCACATAGTAGGTGCTTAACATATCAGTAAACATATTAACATTGACTTTTTAAACTTATAATTGAATTTATATAAATGTTTTGAGGGGGTTCTAGGTATATGGTAGTAGGTACTTAGTAAATATTTGTTAATTTACTGGTACTCAGCAGTTATGCTGATTTTTAATGATTGTTTTCCAACTGTCAATCACAACCCAGCATAACGTGATTATATTCCAAGAGTAAACAGGCATGCATTCTTACAGATGATTTAAGTCTTAAAAATCATTTGGTTTTTAAGAACCACATTTCGTACTGTACTTAAAAATTTCAACTTTTACAATAAATGAATAGAAATAGGTTCCTATTTATAAATGACAATGACTCAGAAAAACAAACGTGTATAAAATTAAACAAGATGCAACTTTATATCTCACAGGCTGAACCCTCACTTTTGTTCTGACCAACATTTAATAGAACTGAGTAACAAAATCCAACAAGGAATATAGCAACCTCCTAAGGCTAGCTCTCTCCCATTAGTCAGTATCTATCCCTTTGACGAAGCTTTTTCTACTGCTCTCAATATACAGTTTCACATTTTCAGTTACATATTAAGAGCATTAATTATTGAGTCCACTTAGATAAAAATATCCCAAAAAACGAAATTTGACATATAATAGGTAAGTTTTTTTTTAATTTTTAAAAACTGCTATTTATTTTTATTAGAGACAGGGTCTTGCTATGTTGCTCAGGCTGGTCTTGAACTCTTGGCCTCATGCAATCCTCCTGCCTTGGCCTCCCAAAGTACAAGGATTACAGGCTGGAGCCACCGTGCCTGGCCAGTCAGCACTGGTCTCATTTTTATAGCTAAGGCAATAGGCTGCTCTAGGTACAAGTGACATTAACTACAAAACCTAGGATTCACACCTAATTAATACATTTCAAAGCCCACATTGTTTATAAACATTTGGCCACTCTAATCAATGCCCCATTTAGGATAATATTATTTTTAGAGTTAAAATACCAACTATAAAAGAAGCATAAAGTCACTTTTATATTTATACCACTTCAGAAATGATCTGAATTGCATACCTAGAACCCCCTCAAAAAATTTATGTATGTTAAATTATAAGTTCAAAAAGTCAATGTTAATATGTTTACTAATATATTTTTTGCACTTTAGTAATTATTGTAATAATAAATAGCACTACCATTTACTGAATGAGTATTACACACCAGTCACATACCAAATACTTCACATTATCCTCATTCAATCCTCACAATTCCCCTCAAAGACAGGAATTATTAACCCCCTTTTGAGGCACAGTAACTTGGCCTAGGCCAAATGGCCAGTGTGTAAAAGAGCTGGGACTGAAACCCACGGCTGTCTGACACCAAAGTCCGTGCTTTAAAACACTATGCTACGCTGTGTCTGCAAACTGATTTCAGAACCAAAACTATTAATCCTGCTATTAAGATTTTTAAACTATTAAGATTTTTAAATAAGAAACTGATACAATGCCTAGGTGTGTGTGGGGGGAAGCAAATTTCTTCCATATGTATATTATCCCTGTCATCTGAACTAATAACTTTAATGACAGGATTAACAGGAAAATCCAAATTGAAAGACCTTGCTTTATTTGGACAGCAGTTCCCCAAAAGAAATTTTAATTTGGGTATATTTAATTTTCAAATATAAAAACTCTGGGGGGGGGGCAGGAAACTATCTTTAAATATTTAACTTCAATTAATTACAAGGGCAATAATTATGCTTAAAATTCCACCCAAGTCTGTTGCTATTGCATAAGCTTGCAAATGCCACTTTAGCTTTCAAAACACATTCCTTCAGGCTGCCCCCAAGTTATATAACTTTGTTCTTTTCATCTATCATTTTAGTTTAGATGTGTTCCTGGAAAGTGACATATAAATCAGATTTTATAAATGAATCTGATTTTTGAAAATAAAAGTTTTATTACAAAAATAAATGAAAAAGCTTTTTTTTCAGAGCCTCAGACACCTAGAGATAAGTACTATTAAACCCTAATGTTTCTCTTCCCAAACCTTTGCCAGCAAGAGGGCACAGTGAAATGATTTTTAATCTATAGCAAGCTATAGATTAAATAGAAATAATCTAATTGGTATCTTCACAATGAGTACCCTATAGTGAAACAATCACTCTTACTACCAAATAATTTACTTTTTATATGAGCACCCCTTTTCCATAGTCTATGAAACCACAATTAAATTGTATAGCTAAGAACAGGACACAATGATTAACTGAAAGTTTAGACGAAAAATATCCTTGTTCCTGAACATCTTTTTAAACACTAGTCTACTGTCTAATCCTACTATTAAGTACATTTTGAGTTAGAGTACAAAGTAACTAAATCATTTTTTTTGATCTCTGAGGATCTTGCAGCTCCCAAAAGTCATTCTGAACATCAATGCCCAATGTTAAGATGTGGCTTATATAAAGTAAAGGTGAATTTGTACTGTCTCCAAGACATACCCTGCAAACTGCATACTGAATAATCCTTATTATCACAGTGTTTTGTTAGTTGCTTCTTTTTCCTAAAAGAAAATAAAGAAAAAGATACAGGTTTAGTTCTATTTGTTTGAATTTTGCTTAAAGTCAAAGTATATACTCTAAGGCTGGATCTAGACACATGTATAAAAATAGTAAAATTTGTCTTTAGTAACCCAGTCTCCTATTATCCTTCTGCCTTCTGTGAATTACAACTCCTTTAAGCGAAATTTAATAAACAGGGATTTCAGAGTGAACAGAGATTGTTCCAGGTAGACAGGTCAGAAAAATTATTCCACTGGAATGAAGAAATAATAATGAACAAGGCCGGGTGCGGTGGCTCACGCCTGTAATCCCAGCACTTTGGGAGGCCGAGACAGGTGGATCATGAGGTCAGGAGCTCAAGACTTGCCTGACCAATATGGTGAAACCCCGTCTCTACTAAAAATACAAAAATTAGCCAGGCGTGGAGGCGGGCGCCTGTAATCCCAGCTACTCAGGAGACTGAGGCAGGAGACTTGCTTGAACCCAGGAGGCGGAGGTTGCAATGAGCCGAGATGGCGCCATTGCACTCCAACCTGGGTGACAAAGCGAGACTCCATCTCAAAAATAATAATAATAATGAACAACAGTACAATTGCCATTTTTAAAATGCCTCTTGCAACAGGCCCCGAACTCACATTTCACTGAATCCTCCCCATGAAACTGCATAGTAGGTACAATGAGGCTTAACTTGCCTGTGAAGCAGCAGTCTCTAGCTCCAATCATGCTCAGCCTGGCACCAAAACCACCCAGTCTCTAGGAGCCCCTAAAGGCTCATGAAACCCTCACGCTATAGCAGCCAAGGACGGCAAGCTTTACAACACACTGTCCTCTAGAAGGCAAGTGGAAATCACTTATGATGCCAGCATTAG
Source organism: Homo sapiens (assembly GCF_000001405.40). Taxonomy (NCBI): domain Eukaryota; kingdom Metazoa; phylum Chordata; class Mammalia; order Primates; family Hominidae; genus Homo; species Homo sapiens. The sequence goes on along the minus strand of NC_000003.12, from coordinate 43,298,886 downwards.
GGATCACACAAAGCACCTTCATCATCCGAGGACTGTCACTTGATAGTAACAAAGAAACTATCACCACAAACAAAAGGAATGTGAGCAAATCACTTATATCCAAACTTCATGGCACAATGAGGGAATACTGACCAAGGTAGCCTTGCAGGTCTTCCCATGAAAATAAACTATTACATGAATAACAGAGAGGCCTAAACATTCACATTATGCCAACATGATAATTTACACTATACACTAATGGTGAGAGGTGTCCAGGTAAAGTTCAAATGCACTTGGGAGAAAAGGAGTGCAAGGGAATGGAGGAAACAAGATAGGACAGGTGAAAGGACGAGGAAAGGTGGTTGACCTCTGGATATGAAAGCAAGTGTCCTGCCAGGAATGAGGGAATGTGGAGCAACAGTTCTGCAGCACACACAGGGCTGGCAAAGCCATGGGCACAGGTCCATATCTAGTGACAGATGAACCCTGGGATGCCTACCTGACTGGTTCTTCAGCTCCAAGAGGGATATAGTAGCTCCTTCCACTATCCTTGCCTGCTTCTCTTTTTCCAGCAGCCCCTGTTTCATCCCTAGTCTCTGTGGCAAAGCAGTGCGGTAGTACAGTAATAAGTACTGGTTCTAAAGACCAACAACTGCATTTGAATCCCAGCTCACCAATCACTAGCCAAAGGAACTCAGCAAGTTACCTTCACCTCTCTGTATGGTCAGTTTCTTCATTAGAAAATGTTAGTAATAAGAAAACAATCTCATAAGATATGGTGAGGATCAAACGACTTAATATAGGTAAAGTGTTTAGAATAGTGCCTGGCACAGAGTAAGCATTCTGTAAATACCAGCTACCACCACCACCATCATTGTTACAGACGACGTTCCCACCATCCAAGCAGAAATTCTTTCAGTTGCTGACCCTACTTCAAGCGAATGAATTCACCAAACTATTATCTCTCTTTTGCTTTCATAAGATAGACCAGTTCAGAAACTGAACTGCTGTTCAGTTTCCTAAAATAAATTGAAAATGAGTGCTGTAAGGTATAGGAAATAATGTCTCTAGTTAGGCATCAAAGACTGGGGGTTTTTCAATAAAATATCTCACAAAATGTAAGTATTTGCTTTTAAAATGATATTAATATAATTTTCTATCAAATTTAGCTTTTCAAAAAGGACTTAATACTCCTTTACATTTTTTCACATCAAATATATTCTTACAGAAAATCTCAAAAACAATTATGAAAGAAAAATCTGTTTAATTCAGGAGAAAACTACAATTAGAACATACAGACTAGTAAAAAAGGGGGGGAGGAATTTTGAAAAAAAAATCCATTATCCCACCCTTTATGATAACATCGCTTTACATTTTGGTATAGATTCTTTCAAATTATTTTCTATTCATAATATATGGCCAGACACAATTTTAAAAAATAAAATGGGGATAATACTTACGGGCTTGGGGGGATGTCAGGGTAAAAAGAGATTTGTAACTATTTTCACAATACTTCTCTCCAAAAAACAAGCTGGAAAAGTTAATACAAGACTTTCACTTTAGAAAGTTTAGAAAATGCATAAAAGCACAAAGAAGAAAGTAAAAATCACCTATACGCTCATCTATGATGACTTCTCATCAGGTCCGAGTGTACATCCTCTATACTTAACAGTTCTTTACAAAGCTAAGATTTTCGACATGAAGTTTGATAACTACTTTTTCCTCTATTTTATAAACTGAACATTTTCCCATGCACTAAGTTCTTCTAGATCAATATTTTAAATGACTATACAGCTAAGATAACATGTCTTTACACAGCAACCACTAGATAGGCCATTCTAGAGCAACCTTTTTATTTAGCACAGGCATATAACTAGGCTGGACCTAAATGAAATAGGCCAACTTGCCAAGAGTGCTCATAATATAAAAACTTATGTCTGAGAAACAAGTACTGTTATGTGCTGCAAGAATATACTGATGTTCTCCTACTGAAGACAGCAGAAGCAACTGAAGCATGTGGGTGTGGCTGGAGAAGAGGAAGGAAGTGTGGGTGGCCCTACACACGTTTTGCAAGCTGCTGAAAACAGTTGTAGAACCAGCTTCTGTTAAACCTACTATCAATTTGGAATTCACCCTGTTATTCTTGTTAAAACTCACTTTTAGGTTTTCATCAACATCATCACCATTGCAGTCTCATCTGTACATCAAACAAATGCCTCTTCCTCACACCTCTTAGAGAGAGGTAGGGACAAAACAGTATGCTCAACAAAGGCAGCTCTGCCTGGATACCACTGTGAACCAATCCATGGCATGAGAAAGTAGAGGAGTTGAACAAAAAGGGCTGTGCACAAAAATTGTACTACTTCTATAGCTTATCTATAATAAACATTTCATTTAGAATATAAGTTTTCCTCCAAAATCAGACGACCAATATTCCTCTCAAACATATTAAATGCTTAAATATATATATATACATATATATATATATATATGCCAGTATATCCATCTAATACAAACAACTAAAAGTTGAGTTTTTGCAAAGCTACACTAAAACTGCATTTAAGCTTCTCATACATATAAATTATCTGGTATATTTTACACATACCAAGAAATGAAAACTGTAATCCTTCCTGAGAAACAGTAGACCAAATTGTACATCTATAGAAAAACCAACTTAAGTAAAGGAATTAACACTCTCTCAATGATATTACCAACCTGATTTTACTGCTAAAATTTTAAAAATGGTATAGGCTGAAAGGAAGACAGTAAACTAAGTCTTCCAGGAATAACCTTTAAGTCAAGCAAAATAAACACAACCCTATCATGCAGTCACCACTGCTGTTTTCTTTATTCAAAGTAAATAATATTTTGGCCAGGCGTGGTGGCTCACACCTGTAATCCAGCATTTTGGGAGGCCAAAGCGGATAGATTACTTGAGGTCAGGAGTTTGAGACCAGCCTGGCCAACATGTTGAAACCCCATCTCTATTAAAAATACAAAAATTAGCTGGGCGTGGTGGCATGGGCCTGTAGTCCCAGCTACTCGGAAGGCTGAGGCAGGAGAATCGCTTGACCACAGGAGGTGGAGGTTGCAGTGAGCAGAGATCACGCCACTGCACTCCAGCCTGAGCAAAAGAGTGAGACTCAGTCTCAAAACAAAAAAAAAGTAAACAATATTTCACTTTTTAAGGACAGCATGCCTCCTCCTAGGAGTTATTAATATAAGCTATAAACCAAAGATAAGAACCATAAACAGGTCAATAGGCCCTAAGTTGTAAAAGAATTCAGAGTTTTTCACTGGATTGGTTGTATTACTATGTGGTTATGCAGTTACCAGTCTGCAATCACTGGATGGAATCAAGATGGGATCTACAAATTAACAGATTAAAGTCATTTATTATTAGAAATGTTCTTTCCAGCAATTTGTACTCCTGAGTCTCTAAGAAAGCATTTTCCAAGACAAGGTAGCTGCTTACTAAAGTATGTTCTTCGTTTTCATCAATTTGATGGGCTAGGGGCCGCTGAGGGGACTAGGAATGTCATGGTGAGAAGCCTGTTCCAGTTTCTTGAGGCAATGATTTGGTTGCCAATGCAGAATCCTTGAAGTACTGGTTTAAGTAATCTTTATTTGCTCTAAGTAAAACAAGCTGCAGTCCAACATATATCAAGTAATCTGAATGTACTCAGGAGTTAGGCAAATCATTAACTGATGTACAGTACTTAGTATTTGTAGAGAGGAAGAGATTAACATCCAAGCCACAAGACCTGGACCAGCAACACAGATGAAATTCCTAAACAGATTCTGCCTCTTGGTCAAAGTGATGAAAAATGCTAAGCATGTCATCATTTCTGCCTACGTGTAAGTAGGACTTAAAAATTAGTATGGTGACAACTCCAGCATTAAGTGTTCACATAATAAGTAATGACTTAAACAAAAGCTGGGTGTATAGAAATTACTCCAAAATAAATAAAGCCAACCCACAATTACTTATTGTGCCCAGGAAAACAGAATATTAAGTTATGGAGAATTTTAATAATCTAAATCTCTGATCTAAAGCTTTTATTAACACTGTCAAAACTCACTTTAACTCCCTACCATCTTTTTATTCCTCCTAATATTTTGATAAAAGTGATCATTAAAAAATGGTCAAAAAAAGAATTGTGGAACAGAAAAAAAAAAAAACTAATCAATAAACCAAAATACTGGCACCTAACATTTCACTGACTTTGACTCAAAGACAGGCTCATTCCAGGAATTCTCTTACACTGGTGGGACTGCAAGCAAGCTACCTTTCTGAAAAACAATTTGGCAATATGTGTACAGGTTGAGCATCCCTAAGGTGAAAATACGAAATCCAAAATGCTCCAAAATCTGAAACTTTCAGTGCCAACAAGACACCACAAGTTAAAAAAAACCCTCATGTGACCAATCACAGTTTCTATTAGTTTTTGAGAGGAAATGCAGTAATAACTTTGTTTCATGCATAAAATTATTAAAAATGGGGTATAAAATTACCTTTAGCATATATGTATAGGTATAAATGAAACAGAAATTAATTTCATGTTTAGACTTGGGTCCCATCATTATGTATATTGCAAATGTTACAAAATCTGACAAAATTCAAAACACTTCTGATGCTAGGCATTTTAGACAAGAGATACTCAATCTGTCTCAAAAGCCTTAAAATAATTAATATCCTTGACTATAAACTTACTACTAGATTCATGTCTCAAAGAAAGGTGAGGACAAATATTTATATTCAACAATGTTCAGTGATATTTATACATGCAAAAGAAAATCAAATCATCTAAAGGTCTACAATAAGGAGATGGTTAAATAAAACACAATATACCCAACGTTAACAGTATGCTACCATATTTTGAGGCTACTACATTTCATGGGGAAAGTCTCACAACATAATGTTAAGTTTAAAAAAAATTGTATATACCAAACTTCACAGCATGTAATTCCAATCTTTTTTTTTTTCTTGAGACAGAGCCTCACTCTGTCACACAGGCTGGATTGCAGTGGCACAATCTTGGCTCAATGCAACCTCAACCTCCCAGGTTCAAACAATTCTCCTGCCTCAGCCTCCCAAGTAACTGGGATTACAGGAACATGCCACCACACCCAGCTAATTTTAATTTTTTTTTTTAGTAGAGATGGGGTTTTGCCATATTGGCTAGGCTGGTCTTGACCTCCTGACCTCAAGTGATTCACCTGCCTTGGCCTCCCGAGGTGCTGGGATTACAAGGGGTGAGCCACTATACCTGGCCTGTCCCAATCTTTCATAAAAAGCATATAATCTGTATGAATGTATATATTTTAAAAACTTAAAATGTTAAATTAGTAAGATTACAGGATATTTTTTCTCTTTATGCTTTTCTGTTCTTTTAAAATTTTTGACAGTGCATATGTGCTGCTTTCATACTCCAGGAAAGGCAGAGACTACTCAATTTTTGACTTTCTGTACATAATTATTCATTCCATTTACTTTTCCATTAAGAGATCTATGAAATACACCAATTTTTCTGAAAATACACTGCGTACTATACTATCTAATGCCTATTTATGTAATGTTAATAAACAAGGCATATTCAATGAAATATTTACTTCCTCTGAGAAAGAGGGTATGCAGCCCAACGTGGTGGCTCACACCTGTATGTAACCCCAGCACTTTGGGAAGCTGAGGCAGGCTGATCACCGGAGCTCAAGAATCCATGCTGTAGTGAGCCGAGATCAGCCACTGCACTCCATCCTGGGAGACAAAGCAAGAGCCTGTCTCAAAAAAAGAAGAAAAAGAAAAAGAAAAGAAAGGTATGCAACTGCTTCAGTCTGAATAACAGAAACACTAAGTCATTTTCATTAACAAATAATTTGAGCCTTAACTGTACAGGACACAACACAGTCCCTGTCCATTCAAATCTTAAAAATGATTTAGGAAAACAGGACCTACAGTTCAGCAAACCACCATGGCACATGTATATCTATGTAACAAACCTGCACATTCTGTACATGTATCCCAGTACTTAAAAAAAAGAAAAGAAAATAGTATCCCCATATAAAAAGAGAAATAATTACACAAGTGAGCCTAGGTGAGGCATGTCAGAGGAAGAATAGAGGACACTATAGATGGCAGGCTCACCAAGGACTGGTGCAGCCCACAGACCAGGGCTTATCCTTCAACAGGAGTAGAGGAACACCATTCCTGAAAGTGGGGTAAACAAGAAACAAAGTAAGAGTGCCTACAGCTGGCTGGCTTAGGAAAGAACACCAGTTTAGGTGAAGTGATGATTTGGGAGTGGAAGTCAGATAAATTTTAAGAGAGGCAGCTGATTCTGAAGAATACCTACAGCTGATTCTGAAGAATACCTACTGGCTCATCATTTAAGCAACCGTGCTGGACAAAACAAATGGAAAATTTGCCATACTAACTAATTCACCACATATCTGTGTTTGAATTATACTTAAGTTTAGTCAAAGCGTCATTAAAGAATAAAAAATGCACAGGAAAAGCTTCTCATCAAAGAGCCTCAATGAAAGAGGAAAATCCTTTACATATTAACATGAAAGCAACACAGAAATAAGCTTATTAGAGAATTCAAACAAATTTTAAAAGTTCATTGTTCACTACAAAGTTCCATAAAACACTACATTTTTGTTGTGGCTTAATAGATCTCTCTCGTTATCACCCATATACATACTACTAAAAATCTATTAGTAACCTAAGCAGGTTTATACAGAAACGAGTAAAGCAAAACCATGGATTTTTGTCTTATTTCTAATTTTTAAAATGTCTTTTGCTGCCTCAGTTGGCCATTAGAATTCCAGTTTTGTTTGAATGCAGGTCTCAAAATGAGAAAACAGATTTTAATTTCTAGGAATCTATGTATGTACTGCACTTTTTACATTATATCATTTAATTCCTTAAGAGTGATACCCATTTTACAAATGAAAAAGCAGGGCCAAGCCAATGAGGTTACAAACTCACTTTGTCCAGGTCCTACACCCAGTTAAGAGTTGCCTGGGGGCGAGGGAACATCAGAGGAGGAGCTAGGATAACAGTCCTAAGATTCCACATTTCAAAGTACCACATAGTTAACTTTTCTTATTATCTTCACCATAGAGGTACACTTCAGGAATGATCAGAATTCATTTATTAAGCACATATGCAGAGTGGCATGACAGCACAGTGGAAAGAGTACCACAGGATCTACAGCCCAACAAGTTACTCAACTTCTATGAAAAGGCATGTCTTGATAAAATAAAGATAATCACCACCTTGGACAGTTATTGTGAAAGTTAAATGGGATAATATATATTAGCAGGGTGTGAGTAGAATACAAATCACCTAAGGATTTTATCCCCCTAACTTTAGAACTGGCCTCCCTCCCATGAGATTACAGTATTTGAAAGGGGTTGTATATATAGTTCTCCATCTCATTTTCTTATCAGTAACCTCATCCTCTATTGGCCCAACAAACTGGCCCCTAAACACCTGTACTGGATACTAGGAAGGTCTCTGTCTCAACTTATTCACAGTCTCTTACGGGAACAGATACGCAAAAAGAGGTGTTCTTTTCTCCTAAATCTGCCTTGGAGAATGCCACAGACAGCATTCTGGAGAAATAAATTTTGTGTGTTTGAGCTAAGAACTGAAACTGGCAACGGTAAGGAAGAGGCTTTTCAGGAAAGAGGCCCAAGGAAGTTTAGTATGACTCAGACAACAATATATGCAGAGCGCAGGGGACAAGGTCAGGCATGTATTCCATATAATTCATCAATTTCTACTTCTTAGGTCTAGGCTAGCCCTTACCCATGCTCTAGGGCCCAGCTTAAAGGACGACTTCCTGACCATCCCCTTGCCCTCCCCAACTCCATGCACATACAGCTCCCTATACTCACTCACAGCACTGTGTCCTTTGCCATTATGACCCTTATCACAAATGTGAGGTCATATAATTATTTGTGTGACTGTGTGGTTAATAATCTGTGTCCCCCACTAAACTAAATGACAGGCTCAGTTCACATAAGGATCATGTTCATTTTATTTAGTTCTTTATCCCAGGGTCTGCCAAGTATAGCATCTACTCAAAATATACAGATATATTTTATTAAATGAACAAATGAAGGCTAGCATAAAGAGCCAAAAACAAGAGCTCAAGAAAAATCCTGAGCAGGAGAATGGCAATCAGAGATGATGGTTTAACAAATTACTCTGGCAGCAAAGTGAAGATCAGACTGAAAGGGCGAGAATAGAGCTAGAAGACAGGTAAGCAGACAACTGAAAATGTCTCCAGGTAAATTACTTAAAGACTTAAAAATGAGGGCAGCTGGTATATGGGCAGTGATGATAAGGATGTTGTGGAGGAGACACATTTTGGAAGTAGAATCCAAGAACTCAATGCACAGGAGGCTAAGCAAAGGGAGAAATCCAGAATGACTCTAGCGGAGAGTGGTAGCTGGTGATGCCATTCTCTCAGACTGGACTTTCAGGACAGGAACATCTACAACATGCTAGCAGAAAGTAGAGGATTTGCTTCTAGTTCTAAAATTGTATGATTGAAAAACAATTCAAATCCAACCCAGCTTTATTAGAAAGGGTGTGGTTTCCATAACAAGCTGATAAAATCAACAAATTAAAGATTAGATTTTTTTACCTTCTTCACCAAGACACTTCTTGGTACAGACTATGTACCCGGCATTACTTGGGTCTGATAATGTACAGATCAAAGAAGTAGTCTCTGCCTTCAAAGAGCTGACAGTATTATGGGTTTAAGAGAGATAACTGCAGGTCAACAATTAAGAAATTGAGGCCCAGTGAGGCTGCGATTTGACCACCGTTATGTTGTGTAATCCAGGTTCCTGGAGCATTTTTGTCATAACCTACATTAAACGGTCCAGGCAAATATTAGTCAAGAGGGTATGTGTTTAGATGTGCAGATAGACCTAATCTTGCTTTGGGCCTGAAGATACTCCAAAACTTAAAACATGTTAGATGAACAACTAATGATCTCTGAGTCTGAAGTAACTTTTGAGTAGCCACATGGCAGCAGACTAGGGGGCATAATAGCAAAAGGAAAGGGAAAGAGGCCTGATTTGCCATGGAACAGCCTACCTGAGCAGAGGCCAAATGCTGGGGATGCCAAAGCAGACTCTCAGGAGGCTCTGGAAGTGACAGCAGAGAAATAAATGTTCAGGGAGGGCAAAGCAGGAATCCTCTTTAGACAGGTTCCTTCCCTACCACCAGCAAGAAATGGTTTCCCATGAGACACAGAGCCACAACCCAAAGCAGATGTGCAGAAAAGCAGATGAGGATCAATGACGTAGCTCTGGATTATCCAGAGCAGACAACACAGTTCCAGTGCTCACTCGTGAGGCCATTAAATCTGAGGAATTTTATACCAGCTCTTCCCAAAGTTAAAACAAAACAAAACAAACACCTCACCAAAATCCTTCTCCTCCATCCCCCAAAGCAACTGCCCCATTTCCCTCCTTCCTTTTCAAATGCTTTAAGGAAAGAACAGTTGCATTGTCTCAGCCTTCTCAACTCCCTTTCACCCACTTGGATCTATGTTCTTCTCCCACCCACCACTTGACCTTGTCTTCTCACCCTCCCTGAACCCCCTGAGCCTTTTCCCTTTTTCTCTGCCTGGGAATTCTTCCTATTCTTCAAGACCAGTTTAACCATCACCTCCTCTGTGAAGCATTTCCATGTCAGGTTGTTCACTGCCGCCATCCTTGTGCTTCTGCAGGTTTTTCCCTATGCCTCACCACAGTTCATCTGTTCGTACTGTTACTGTTTACCTTGGTGTTCCCCAGTAGCTTCTAAGAACCTACAGTCAGGAACTGGTTTTTATTCACTTTTCTACTGCTGCCCTCCCTCTACCCTAGGGCCACCAAAAGAGACACACAAACATTCCATGAATAAATGATCAAAGGTTAAGTTTATCTTCAGAACTGCTAGGATCCACTCAATTTTTCCACCTAAGTTGTTCTAAGTTTACCTGCACATAGATACACACTGGGAAATACCTAAATTCTGAATAACAGTTTTCTTACTAAAGCATCTTAGTTATAAACACTCTATCTTTAAGCAAACAGCTGGGATGCAGTTACATTAAGTCTAGAGTTTCTCATCTACGGTTTTTAATTCCTAAGATTCTGGCCTATGGAAAGTTCATTTGTACCCTTTTCTTCTTGGGCAGTGTAAAGAGCTCTTAGGATTAGACAAGCTGCTACAGGGAAGAAATCATGTCTTATTTATACCAGTACTTAGAACCATGGCTGCTCAGTATCTCCAGAAATAAATATTTTTCTATTTGGTTTCACTTTCTGTATGAGGGAAGTACTCACAGTGAAGTTCAGATGAACAGTATTTCCTGTGACCAGTAAAAATATCACGAAAGCCCTTCAATTTTAATAAGGACATTTAAAAGCCTTTCTTTTAGGATTATGTGATTAAATCTAAACCATAAAGACCCAACCTATACTTCTGGTCTAGAAAAATAAAATTAGTACAACTTCTGAGTTCTAGCATGTTTTAGACTAATGGATCTTACTGCAGTAAAACAGAAAAAAATACTCAGAATTATTAAAAAATACGGTGAGAGTAATTTTTGTGCACAAAATGAACAATTAAAAACTGATTATACAAATTTAAAAAAAAATTGAAAGGTGGCACTGAAAGTTTCCTGCCTGAAAAGCCTTCAGGATGAGAGTATTATAAAAAGTTAGCACTGTGCACCTGACTTTCTACACTGCTTCAATATGTGACCTTGGAAATGTCATGTAATTTCTCTCATTTCTAGTTCTGTAAAATGGGAATGTCCACCTGTTCTCCTCTCAAGGACAATTACACAGATAATCAGATTAAAAATTTGGTATTTGGTGTTCTTTAAAAAAAGAAACTTGTCTAATTAGTATGCTTTAATCATCACTTGTACAGTACATTCCTCTTCAAGAATCCAATTCCAAGAGAAATATTTAAGCAGACGTTGAGGACAGATTTCCTTAAGGGAATTATTTTATAAATCTGGAAAGCAATGTAACGAGATTATAAATTAACAAACTGATTACATAAGCCTTGACAACCCGGGCTTTAAAGTACACTGCTGTATATATTCTGATAAGTTAAAGACTGGTTTGGGACATAGTGCTCCAATCCCATACAAGGAGCCCAAACTCAGGCATTTCATGTTTGATAGGAACTTGGTGGAGATTCAACAGGATGTCCAACACTTGCAAGCCATGCTTCACCTTAAAACCTGACAAAATGTTTAAGGCATTAAGTCAACTTTACCACGGTTCCTAAGACTTTAAGAATGCACATAATTAAAGGGAAGGGGGGTGGAAAGTAACATGACAGTTTGAAAGGTCCCATATCCTCAGACCTCTATAGATTTAGGAACTCCACTGCTAAATTCTCCCCAAAGCCTGAAACTCCCTATGAAACTACTGGACTGTATGCGATCCAACAGTTACAAATAGCACAGCTCCAAGAACCCCGAAGATAAAAGGCTGCCACTTTCCTGCAACCCAAGTCCAAGTAAAAGGCAGGAAGGTCCCTGTAAAATGGACCAGAAAGAAATCAACAGGCGATGACTATGGAAAAGAACGTAGATTTCCCAGTCTCCCAGTCTGCAAAAATTCTAGCTCTCCCTCGGGAATGGCACTGCTCCTCTTTCCTTACCCCTTTGCCCTTTCTCTACAGACAACATCCCCACTCTATTGTAAAGCAGTTTGACCACGGAACCCTTTTGCTGAGGCCGGATTTCTACAGTCTTCTGAAAGGGGAAAACGCATTCAAAGAACACACACCCTACCAAGCGCCCAGGGCGCGGGGCCCCGCGGGCGCCGCACTCGGCCCGCTCCGGGGCGGGGCGCGGGGATGCGGGCGCCTTCCGAGGTGCCGCAATCCCGCCGCGGCCGCAAGGGCAGGGCCTCCAGGCGACCGCGGCCGCCGCCGCAGTGACGGCTCCCGCCGGGCCCCGCCGCCGCCCCGCCGCCAGGCCGCGCCGCGGGGTCCGGGCCACCGCAGCCCGGGCCCCGCGTCCTCCCGGGCCGCGCGCTGCGGCCGGCGCCGAGAGCGCAACTTACTTTCCGCCTGCGGCGAGCGCCCCGGCCCGGGCGCCCAGCCCGGCAACAGCGGAGGCTACTGAGGCGGCGGAGGCCGGCCCCGCACCCCTGCCTACGGCCGCCGCGCCCCGCCGCGCTCCGCGCTCGCCCCTACCTCAGCCGGCAGGCGAGCGTCCGTCCGCAGCGGCCGCGGCGCCGACAACTCCCTCCCGGCCGCCGAAACCCCGCACCCAGCGCTAATCATAATACCGAGCGGGCTGCCGGCCGCGGGGAGGGGGTGCCGGGTAGCTGCGCCTGCGCGGGCTGCGCGTCACTGTGACGTCAGCGCTGGGGCGGGGCCGCGGGAAGGGCAGGGCGGGGCGGCGCGCACCTGCGGCCGGCGCGCGGGCTGCTGGAGGGCATCCTGGCGGCTTTCTGACCCCGGCGAGTCGGGGCTGAGGCGGCTGGCGGGACAAAGCGGGCAAGGCGCCCAAGGAGGATGGAGGACGGGGGAGGAGGAAGCACCAGGGACACGGAACAATGGCCGGGAAAAAGTAGCGCGAGCTGTCAGGGGAAATCGGAGGGAAGGGACCGCGTCTGTACAGGACTGCGTCTTGGCGGCAGGGGGCAGGGAGCCGCACGCGCTTTACTCTTTGGTTCCCGCCCAGGTTTAAACAAGGATAAAAAAATTGTAAAAATACATATACATACACACATGCACATATGTATATACATATATATACATAATATGATTTTTTTCTCTGTAGTTTCTTCTCCCTGGGACTCTAATTTGAAAAAATTCGGTTGATTTTGTTGTTATTTAAGCAAAATTGGAAAAGCCCAACATCTGAATGCAGTGCTGGCCTTAAAGGTCAGCGGGAGACACAGGCCCTGCTAGGCAGCCTCTGGCAACAGCATAGAAAAGTAAACGGTCGTGGGGACACATCAAAGCACGTGAAGTCAGAGATTCAAAACACGCCGGGCATTAACCATAGCCCTTGATGGTTCAGTGGTATGGTCGCCAGGCCAGGTTGCTCTGGAAGGGAGCTTAGGGATGGCCGCAGAGGGTGGGAGGGGACTCCCGACTCCCACCCCTGGAAGCATGGCATGCAATAGAGACCAGCTCTTCAGGGTTCCTGGAAGGGAACACCAACAAACCAGACGCCAGATTTCTTCAACCTGCTTTTCCCCTTCTGTTCCCACGTTGTGTCCACCCTTCCCCAAGAAAGGACCCCTAGCAAGGAAGGACACAAGCCAGAAGAGCTGCGGAGATGCTGCAGGCTTGGTTGAATTGACTGGACTGCGAAGAGAAATCTAGATGGTTTTAGCAAATCTCTGTTGACCTGCAAATGTCAAAAGCCTTTTAGCTTCTATGCATCAACTTTGCATGTCTGAAGATGATTGGGAAGCAGGAGTGGATTGTTGGGAGGTGCAAACAGTTTGATTCTTAGGGTAATAACATAGGGTTTTCTGATCAAGGGGACTCCCAGTTACCCTAATACCCTTGCATCAGGTGGTGGGAGAGCACCAGGGAAAGCCTCAGATTAGGCCTCTGCGCCTTAGGGTCCCACCTGGGATCACTCTGACCTGAAAAGACCATAAAAGAGTCATCTCATTTTGACATGGAAATCGTAACTGTAGCAGCATATTAAGCAAGAGCTCCTAACTTGGATTTGTAGAATTTGTCCTTTTGTTGCTAGAAATCAGGAAGACCATGCACTTTTCTCCTCAGGGAGATATCACTATTCAGGGAACTCTGTAGCCAACTAAAGGGAGAAAATACCACTGTAATGGTCTCCCAAGGGATTTCCAGTGGTCGAAGGCCTCCACCCCTGGGTCTGTAGTCCCTGAGTTATATCAGTAACTACAGAACAATGACGATAATATATAAGCTCTTGAAAAATAAAGTATTTATATTGCTGCTGTTTAACTAGGTTTTGAATAAATTTTCTAAGGAAAACAAGGCATAAAAGAGCAAAACAAATGAAAAAGGGCAAAATAATAAATTGATTTAAATGAAGTTGGCTGCAATACTCTTCTAGAGAAGGACGCAGTACTGGCCACATGGTAAATCATTTATTCATCCCCAGTATTTCTTGGGTAGCTGAAGTGCTGCTGGCAAGAATATGACCCAGTTTTGGTTCCACACCATAAATGTGGTGACATGATTTGATTATGCTTCGGCAATATTTTAAGATATTCAAGTACAAATTAATAGTATTACTTAAGTTGGAATTTAAGCAAATGTGCTTATAGTTAATGAAGAAACTCCTTTTCCACTCTGCCCTGGGGCTTTCTCCAACACACTGCTTTTTTAATGTTGGGTCTTTTTATGGACCTGTAAGAAGCTTTAATTAGATGTACAGCATTCTACAAAACGACAAGATGAAGCATGCTTGCTTGTATTACAGTCTCTGTGATTCAGATCTCAAAAATAACATAATGCCACCAGTTTAAGGAAGATGTTGTTTATTGGAAGGAAACCAGGGAGGTGCCACAAATTAGATCAAAATGTGAAAATTGAGCAGACTGATGAAAGAATTGTCATTTTCATCTTTGGAACCCCAAAAGCAGCATATGTAACAAGGTTATCTTCTCTGGATATTGTTAGTTTTTGTAATTTATTTCAAATTTTAAAATAAATGTATTTAAAACAACAGACATTGAATATTCATACACAGTTCAATTTTGAGTTGTGACATTTTATTTAACAACATTCCCTTTTACATATTTAACTAGTTATTTCATACATTTATACTTGTGCATTTCTAGATCCTGGCTTCACCCCAGTAGGATCAAAATAATACTTAATTGGAATGACCTAAAGAGTTCCTCAAAGACTCCTTCACCACCCTATGGGCATCAGTTAACATCTTCTACTCTTTTATCTCAGATGTCAGTTAAGGTCCTGTGTGTGTGTGTGTGTGTGTGTGTGTGTGTGTGTGTGTGTGAGAGAGAGATATTTCTGATAGTTGCAAACAAGAATTGGAAATGCCAGTCCTTAACTCTGCTTGTTTGCAACCAGTGAACTAGAAGATAGGACAGACATTGACATTTAACCCCATCTCTACTGCTAAGAGCAAGATGGCTTTGGGAAAGTTGCATAACCTTCTATATGTTTCTTCTGTAAAATGAGAAAGACAGTGATGATAATAATACCTTTCTTATAAGTTTGATGTAAAGCAGTGGTTCTCAAAGTGTGCTCCCTGGACTAGCAGCATCAGCTTCTCCTGGGAACTGGATTGAAATGCAGATTTTCCAGTTCCACCTCAGACCTACTGAATCAGAAACTCTGATTTCTCTGTTTTAAGACTTGCAGGTGATTCTGAGACAGATTAGAGTTTGAGAACCAGAGTTGATGAGATTGAGTTTATATAAAGTATTAGAACAAAGGCTGGCATATAGTAAGCAGTATATTAATGAATATTTTTTAATGTGTGCAATATGATCTTGCCAAAATATGCAAAGTCTAATTTAGGCCAAAAGAAGCATGTCCATGTTGTTCTTTCAGCAAATAAATCCTGATAAATCCCTTATCTAAAAACGTCAATACAGCCTACCAAGCCCTTCCTGATCTGGTCCCTGGCTTCCTCTCCTGCACTTTCTTTTCTGCATGTGTACCCTGTCTCCAGCCTTCCCAGTTCTCACAAAGAGAATTGACTTTTCACAATTCCCAGTCTTTGCCTATTCTGTTCCTTCTGTCTGGAAATGTCACCTACTCCTTTTCTCCACTTACTACACCCGCAGTTTCCTGAATTCCTACTTACCCATCAAAATCCAGCTCCCATGTCACATCCTCTGTGCTACTCCTAACTGTCCCACTCCAGTCAGAGCCAGGAGTTCTCTGGGACCCCCATACCCTCCCACTCATAGTATCATACAGTTTTGTAATTTTATTGTTCCATTTTCTCCCTTTGGATCTTAAACTCTGGGGGGACAAGGATTGTATTTTATTTAAATTTCTATTCCTGCCACCTAGCACTGAGGTTGCAAATAGGCAGTCCCAGGGCTTTTCACCCACAGACTTGTGGCATTGTTTTTCCCCACATAGGTTCTTTAAGAATTTGAATTAGTTGAGAACATTTTTAAATTGGGAGATTTAATACTTTTGTTTAACAGTTTCATTGAATATAATCTGCATACCATAAAATTCACCAATAATAGGTGGACGATTCAATGGTTTTTTAGTAAATTTATAAAGTTATGCAGCCATCGCCCCAATCCACTTTTGAAATATTTTCATCTGGCTTGGGAGAGGTGGCTCACGCCTGTAATCCCAAAACTATGGGAGGCAGAGGTGGGAGGATCACTTCAGGCCAGGAATTCAAGACCAACCTGAGCAACACAGAGAGACTCCGTCTTCACAAAAATAATGAAAAACATTAGCTGGGCATGGGGGCATGCACCTTGGTCCCAGCTACTTGGGAAGCTAAGGTGGGAGGATCACCTGAGCCCAGGAGGGCGAGGCTGCGGTGAGCTGGAATCTCACCCCTGCACTCCAGCTTGGGCAACAGAGTGAGACCCTATCTCAAAAAAAAATTTTTTTATCAACCCCAAAAGGTCTCTCCTGTGCACATGCAATCAATCCCACTCCAGCTTTCAGCCCTCAACACATACTATCTGTTATCTGTCTCTATAGATTTGTGTTTTTCTAGAAATGTCATATAAATGGAATCATACCATGTGTACTCTTTTGTGTCTGACTTCTTTCATGTAGCATAATGTTTTTCCATCTAGCATGTATCAGTAGTTCATTCCTTTTTGTTGCTGAACAGTATTCCTTTATATGGATATATTAGATTTTCTTTATCCATCCAAGTGATAAACATTTCATTTATTTCCAGATTTTTGCTATTATGGATACTGTTGCTATGACTGTTTAAACTCTTAGTGGGGACATATTTTCGTTTCTCTTGGGTACATTGCTGAGTGGAATTTTGGGGTCATGCAATAACTCTATGCTTAACATTTTAAGAAACTGACAAATTATTTCTGAAATGACTGTACCACTTTACATTACCACCAACAGTGTATGAGGGTTCTAGTTTTTCCACATCCCTGCCAACACTTGGCACTGTTAGACTTTTAGATTATTACCATTCTAATACATATATAGTGGTATCTCATGATTTTCATTTGCATTTCCCTAATGACTAATGATGTTCCTTAGCTTTCCATGTGATTTTTGGTCATTCATATATCTTCTTTGATAAAAGGGCTTTTCAAATCTTTTGCCCATTTTTAATTGTGTTGTTTGTCTTATTGTGTTGTAAGAATTTTTTATGCTTTTTGGATATAAGTCCTTAATTAGAAATGTGATTTGCAAATATTTTCTCCCAGGCTGTGGCCTGTCTTTTCATTTTTAAAATGATGTGTTTAGAAGTTATAAAGTTCTGAATTTTGGTGAATTCCAATTTGTCCAATTTTTCTTTCATGATCCTTGGTTTGGTGTCATATCTAAGAATTTTGCTTAAGCAAAGGTCACAAAGATTTTCTTCTCTGGTCTTTTCAAGTTTTATAGTTTTAAGTTTGGCCTTTAAGTCTATGATCCATTTTGAATTTATTTTTACTCATGATGAGAGGTTTAGAGGCTATGGGGCTTTTTTTTTCATTTGATTTTTGCTTATGGATATTTAATCATCCCAGAATCATTTGTTGAAAACGGTATCCTTTCCCAATTAAATTGCCTTGGCAATTTGTTGGCAATCAACTTAATGTAAGGATTTTCTATTCATTTTTGTTGATCTATATGGCTATTCTTACACCATTATGATCCAGTCTTGACTACTATTGTTATATAGTAAGTTTTGAAAACGAGTAGAGTAAGTCTTCCATCTATAGTGTTCTGTTTCAAGATTGTTTTACTATTCTAGGCACGTTGCATTTCCGTGTAAACTATAGGGTCAGCTTGTCAATTTCCACAAAAAAAATTGTTGACTTTTTGAAATTTTGATGAAGATTATGTTATATGAATAGATCAATCTGGGGAGAATTATCATCTTAACAATAATGAGTCTTTCAATTCATGAATATGATATGTATAGTCAGTTTCTTTTCTCTTTTTTTTTTTGAGACAGAATTTCACTCTTCTTGCCCAGGCTGCAGTGCAATGGCACAATCTCGGCTCACTGCAACTCTGTCTCCCAGGTTCCAGCGATTCTCCTGCCTAGGCCTCCTGAGTAGCTGGGATTACAGGCGCTTGCCACCACGCCCAGCTAATATTTTGTATTTTTAGTAGAGTCGGGATTTCACCACGTTAGCCAGGCTGGTCTTGACCTCAGGTGATCCACCTGCCTTGGCCTCCCAAAGTGTTTGGATTACAGGCATGAGCTACCGTGCCTGGCCAGTCAGTTTCTAATAGTTGCTTTTTCCCCCTCATCTTGAGTCCCATTTTCCTGTTTCTTTCCATGTCTCGTATTTTTTATTAAAAACTGGACATTTAAAATTATATGTTGTAGCAGCTCTGGATTCTGATTTTCTCCTTTGAAAGCTTTCCCCCCCTTTCATTAGTAGCTTGCCTGAACTTAATCCGCAGAATCTTCCCTCATGATGTGCAGCACATGATTCTGCTCAGTTGTTTTGTTCTTAGTTATATTTTTTAGTCTGGCTTCCCCATGGTTGCCTCTGTATCTGCATATCTTAATGGTCAGCCAATGATCGGGCAGACATTGTGTCCAAACCCATAAGGTTTCCACACTTTGCTGATGAATCTGTGCATGAATTGAAAAGCAAGGTAGTTTTCAAGCCTACTTCAGCTTTTACTTTCTGCTAAACCCTTTCAGGTCTCCCTGGCACATGTGCTTACCTTCCCAGTCAGCCAGGGATGTGAGGAAAGCTTATCTATCTAGTCCTTCAATGGATCTCTTCTTTACATGCTCTTCCCTTTACATTTTTTCTGGTTCATTCCTTACACCAAGGATTGCAGGCTCAGACTAGCCAAGCTATGTATTTTCCCCCTCTGTTTCCTACCATGTTTACTACTTTTACAGATAATACCACAGAGCGTGGGTTTGTGCCCTCCACTCCAAATCAAATGAGCTGTCTTTCAAAACAACACTACTGGTTTTCATAGCCAGTCATCCCCTGGTAAACACTACCTCACCAACTGAGCTGAGGGTTGGACTGGGGAATGGAATACATACTCCCACTATTAATATCTGAAGTTTTAGAATTTCTTCATGAACGAATATTTCTCTTTTTTCGTTTTTCGGTTTTGTTTTGTTCATTTGATTTTAGTCTATTTCTAGTGTTCTGAAATCATTGTTTTTGCCAGGCACTGTGGCTTACGCTGTAATCCATGCAACTTGGAAGGCTGAGGTGGGAGAATTACTTGAGGCCAGGAGGTTGAGATCAGCTTGGGCAACATAGTGAAATCCCATCTCTACAAAAATTAAAATGTTTAAAAATTTTCAAAAAAGAAATCATTGCTTTTGAAAACTGTGATAGGCAGAATTCTAAGAATGAACCTCAATGACCCTTGCCCTTGTATAATCCCTACCCCTCTGAGTCTGGGTGAAACCTGTATATATGATGAGATGTCACTCCTGTGATATGTAATACTGGCACACCTCACAGATATTGCAGGTTCAGTTCCAGACCACCTCATTAAAGTGAGTCACACAGCTTTTTTTGTTTCCCAGTGCATATGAAGTTATGTTTACACTCTACTGTAGTCTATTAAGTGTATATCTTTAAAAATGTACACACCTTAATTTAAAAACACTTTATGCTAAAAACTGCTAACAATCATCTGAGCCTTCAGTGAGTTATAATCTTTTTGCTGATGGAGGGTCTTGCCTCGATGTTGATGGCTGCTTACTGATCAGGTTGGTGGTTGCTGAAGGTTGGGGTGGCTGTGGCTATTTCTTAAAATAAGACAACAATGAAGTTTGTCTCTTCAGTTGACTCGTGCTTTCACGAAAGAATTCTCTGCAGCAGGTGATGACGTTTGAGTGTGTGATACCCACAGTCGGACTTCTTTCAAAATTGGAATCAATTCTCTCAGACTCTGCTGCTGCTTTATTAACTAAGTTTATGTTGTATTCTAATCCTTTGTTGTCATTTCAACAATATTAACAGCATCTTCATCAGGGTAGGTTCCATTTTAAGAAACCACTTCTTTGCTCATCCATAAGAAGCAACTCCTCATCCATTCAAGTTTTATCTTGATATTATAGCAATTCAGTCACTTCTTCAGGCTCTACTTCTGATTCTAATTCTCTGGCTGTGTCCACCATATTTGAAGAGACTTCCTCCACTGAAGTCTCTAACCCCTCAAAGTCATCCATGAGGGTTGGAATCGACTTCTCACAAACTCCTGTTAATGTCTATATTTTGACCTCCTCCCATGAATCGTGAATATTCTTCTTGTTTTGTTTTGTTTTGTTTTGTTTTGTTTTGGTACAGGGTCTTGCTCTGGTTACCCAGGCTGGAGTGCATTGGTGCAAACAAGGCTCACTGTAGCCTTGATCTCTTAGGCTCAAGTGATCCTCTTGCCTTAGCCTCTCGAGTAGTTGGGACCACAGGCTCGTGCCACCACATCTTGCAATTTTAAAAAAATTTTTGTAGAGATGGGGTCTTGCCCTGTTGCCCAGGCTGGTCTCAAACTCCTGGGCTCATGTGATCCTCCCTCCTTGGCCTCCAAAATGCTGGGATTACAGGCATGAGCCACTGTGCTTGACCATATGAATGTTCTTAATGATATCTAAAATAGTGAATCCTTTCTAGAAGGTTTTCAATTTCCACCAGAGAAATCACTATCTATGGCAGCTATAGCCTTACAAAATATTCTTTTTCTTTCTTTCTTTCTTTCTTTCTTTCTTTCTTTCTTTCTTTCTTTCTTTCCTTCCTTCCTTCCTTCCTTCCTTCCTTCCTTCCTTCTCCTCCTCCTCCTCCTCCTTCTTCTTCTTTTTTGAGGGGAGACAGAGTCTTGCTCTGTCAACCAGGCTGGAGTGCAGTGGCATGATCATGGCTCACTGCAGCCTTGGCCTCCCAGACTTAAGAGATCCTCCTGCCTCAGCCTCCTGAATAACTGGGACCACAGGCATGTGCCACCATGCCCCGCTAATTTTTATTTTTCATGCTGATGAGGTCTCCCTATATTGCCCAGGCTCCATAATATACTTCTTAAACAATAAGACTTGAAAGTAAAAATTACTCCTTGATCCATGGGTTGCACAATGGATGATGTCTATGGCAATTTCTTCCAATGAAAGGCTGTCTCTTCTATATTGCAAATCTGTTGTTAAAGTAACCAGCTTCATCAATAATCTTTGCCAAATCTTCTAACTTGCTGTAGCTTCTCCATCAGCACTTGTACTGTTATGGAGATGGCTTAAAAAAAAAAAACCTCATGAACCAACTTCTGGTAGCTTCAAACTTCCTTCTGCAGCTTCCTCACCTGTCTCGGCCTTCATAGAATTGAAGAGAGTTAGGACCTTGCTCTGAATTAGGCTTTGACTTAAGGGAATATTGTGGCTGGTTTGATCTTCTATCCAGACCACTAAAACTTTGACCATATCAGCAATAAAGCTGTTTCAGTTTCTTATCATGCATGCATTCACTGGAGTAGCACTTTTAATTTCCTTCAATAACTTTTCCTTTGCAGTCACAACTTGGCTAACTGTTAGGTGCAAGAAGCCTAGCTTTCAGCCTGTCTCAGCTTGATATGCCTTCCTCACTAAGCTTAATCATTTCTAGCTTTTGATTTAAAGTGAGAGATTGCCGCTCTTCCTTTCACTTGAACACTTAGGAGACCACTGTAGGGTTATTAATTGGCCTAATTTCAGTATCGTTCTTTCTCAGGGAATAGGGAAGCCTGAGGAAAGGGAGAGAGATGGGGGAATGGTTAGTTGGTAGAGCAGTCAGAAGACACACATTTATTAAGTTTGCTGTCTACTACAGGCACTGTGTGTGGTGCCCCCAAACAATTACAATAGTAACATCAAGATCACTGACCATAGATCACCATAAAAGATAAAGTAATAATGGCAAAGTTTGAAACATCATGAGAATTACGAAAATGTGACACAGAGACACAAGGTGAGCACGTGCTATTGGAAAAATGGTGCCAATAGAGTTGGTAGATGCAGGGTTGCCACAAACCTTCAACTTATGAAAAACCTATTATGGGTTGCCACAAACCTTCAATTTGTAAGAAACCTATTGTCTGTGAAGTGCAATCAAGTGAAACACAATAAAATGAGGTACGCCTGTATTTTATATGAAAAGGGAGATTATCTGATGGGCCTAATATAATCATGTGAGCTCCTTAGAATCAGAGAATTTCTCCTGCTAGTGGGAAGAAGGGGGAAGTCAGAGATTCAAAGCATGAGAAGAATTAAAAATGTTCCATGGCTGGCTTTGAAGATGGAGGGCCATATACAAAGGACCAGAGTGCAGCTTCTAGAAGCTAAGTGATTCCCAGCCAACAGCCAGGAAACAGGACATCAGTCCTATAGCTGCAAGAAATTGAATTCTTCCAACAACCTGAATGAAGCAATTTCTTTCTCAGAACATCCAGATAAGAGACCAGTCTGGCCAACACTTTGAATTCAGTCTTGTGAAGCACTAGGCAGAGGACCCAGTAGAGTCTACCTGGAATTTTGGCCTACAGAAAATGAGGTAATGAGTGTGTGTTATTGAAGCTGCTGTTTGTGGTAATTTGTTATGCAGCAATAGAAAACTAATATGACAACTTTGTCCAGTTTGACTCTGCCATAGCTAGAAGTCCTACCTCCTGGCAGAGTTAATTTTGAAAAATAAAATCAAGATTTCTGGCTTCTCTTGAAAAATTGGAAGATCTTGCAACTTGAGATTTGAATTTCTAACATCTGCTAGAGCTGAGCAGCACTCTCCCTGTGCTCCTTGTTTACCAGGGTCTAGGGCCTCCAGTTCACCGCTTTTGTCCTTCACTGCAGGCCTACATCTCCAATTATAGGCCTGGCTGATATGGTTTGGATTTGTGTCCCTACCCAAACCCAAATTTCATGTCGAATTGTAATCCCCAAAGTTGGAGGTGGGGCCTGGTAGGAGGTGATTGGATCACGGGGGCGGTTTCTAATGGTTCAGCACATCCCCATAGTCCTGTTCTCCTGACAGAGTTCACACGAGATCTGGCAGTTTAAAAGTGTGTAGCACCTCCCCCGTCTCTCTTCCTCCTGCTCCGGCCATGTAAGACATGCCTGCTTCCCCTGGGCCTTCCACCATGATTGAAAGTTTCCTGAGGCCTCCTCAGAAGCCATCATGCTTCCTGTACAGCCTGCAGAACCATGAGCCAATGAAACCTGTTTTCTTTATAAATTTCCCAGTCTCAAGTATTTCTTGTAGCAGTGTGAGAATGAACTAATGCACTGGCTTTGGAACATCTGAATCCGTAACACCTGATCAGCACAACCTAACTGGTAGTAAGTGCTCAGTATTAGTTGAATGAGTGAACAGGCAACACGTGGGAGATTTTTACACATGAGCACATAAATGGACATTTGGGATGACCAAGGCTGATGGCAATGTATTCTTTAGTGTACTTAGGGAAGGGTGAAGGACACTGGCCACAAAGCCTGTCCACCTGAAGATTTCCTGGAAGTCCCATCAAGAACTTTCACTTGCATCTCATCTCATTGGCCAAAAGAGTGTCAGATGACCAGCCCTACTTCCAAAGAAGATGGGGAAATATAGTTTTCAGCTCAATCACATGCCACCCCAGCTCCAACAAGGAAATCAGCGTTCTGATAGAAAGGAGAAAAGAGGAGGGTGATACTGGGTTAATGGACTATCAGTCTCTACACTCAGATCATGAAAAAAGAGCAAAACCAGCACCCAAGAAGCCTTCTGTGCTTCCTCCTCATGAGTATCCCAACCAGGGTAACCACTACCTGATTTCTTACAACACAGATTAGTGCTGCCTCTTCTTCAACTTCATATACATGGGATCATACAAGTGGGTTCTTCTGTGGCTGACTTTTTTTACTTGCAGTAGGAATATTAAAGGAAAAAAAAAACAGTATCAGAGCAGCTCAAATTTTCTAATAAGAAATTTATGAATTAGCTTTGAAGAAACCAAGACTATCAGTGATGAAATTATCCACCTCCATTCCTTGAGTTTGTTATCATTAATTACCCATTTGTCCTTGAGACAGGGAAGGTCAAGAGAAATGACAGGAAAGAATAGTGACAAGGTTTCTTTCTCATGGAAAGTATTCAAGACACTTTAAAAATTGGAGCCATATGACCCCTAAATGGATGGACACAAAGTAGATGGCCCTAGTGCTGGCTAGAGTAGAGTCCTAGGGTCCCCACCAGGCCAGGCCTTCACCCTTAGCTGTTGGATTGAGAGGAGGTCTTGTCTGGACTTCCAAGAGGAGCGGGGATAACCAAGGACTTGGGGGCTCCAGGCAGTGGCCATTTATCAGTTGGTGCAGAATAAGCTTAGTGTTTTATCATCAGTACTGAGTGCTGCTGAACATTTGCCTTGCTCTTTACCAAAACAGTGTGAAGGCTGGACAGCCTCTGGTGAAACTGTGGCCATGAGGTATTCCACCATCACGAGGAATCACTGTAGCTCAAATGAAGTGTGTGTTTTGATGAGGGTGAGATTGATCCATCCCTTTAGAGACAGGAGGAAACGGGACACTGGACAGTGCAGACCCAGCCATTGGACTTGGCATCCAATAACTGAACAGAGCTGAGCTGAAGCACTGGGGCCTGGAGGTCAAAACAGCTGATGCTTACTTCCTTAGGTGGTCTTGAAAATAAAGCTTTACTAATTTCCAGATCACAATTCTCTTTAACTTTTCTACTCTGCTTCAAAATTAGGAAGTGTTACACATGTAACATTGACAATAACAAAACCAGGGTAAGGCAAGTAGATTCTGGGACCAAGACCAGAATCTGGTCTTGGTCCCAGAATCTACTTGCCTTACCCTGGTTTTATTATTAGGGCTCCCAGAAACAGTAGCCCTATATTCACTCTCAAACCCCACTCCCTTGCCTGGACTGTAGAGACCAGCAAAACTAATTGCTCATTTTCCTATGCTTTTTTGTAAATAGAGGTGGCCATAGAATCTGGTTCTAGCCAATAGATCCAGATGGAATTCAACTGTGGGGCAAGGGAAAGGGTTTGTGGAAAGCTTTTGTTTTTCTCATACAAAGGGACAGCTGCAGCTGGTTCTGGCCTTCCCCTGTCCTCCTGCCCTGATGGTGGGCATGATGCCTGGAATAGGAGCTGCCATGTTGAAGCCATGAAGGAGTGGCTGGGAGAAGCACAGCCACACTGGCTCTGGACATCAAGAGCGGCTGAACTAATGCTAACAGCTGCCTGCTTCAGACGTTTTGTTCTGTGAATAAATAGAGAACTCTGTTCATTATGCTTCCTTATAGCTGAAAGCATTCCTAATGGATACAACTAATATAAACCATTACTTGTCATGGATAGGCAAAAGGGTGGGGGTAGGGAGTACAGCAAGGGTTTTCCAAGTCTAATTAATGCCTCAGAAAGAAACTGTGGATGCTTTTAGTTCCTGAAAGCACGGGAGGTATCAGAGACTATTGGGATCAGATCAAAACAGCACAGGAGCCAAGTTGAAGGGCCTTCCACTGGCCAAGGAGGGGATAATCTGAGCATTAAAAAAACCTACAATGAATTAAAATTTGTTGAAAATGGATACATAAAGGGAAAGGTCAAGCAATTCTCCTGCCTTTCCTGTATGAACTGTATTTCAGAGTAACCAAAGAGATGATAAGTTCTTTAAGGAAGCATCCCAGCTAATAAAGACAGAAGGAATGATAGAACTAGAAAATCACCACTTCACAGCATGTAATGAAATAATGAATCTAGTCAATGACCATCAATAACCATTAGGTAAAAGGATGACAGAGAACTGTTAATAATGGATGGATCAGGCTAAGAACACTTGAACACATTGCTCAATTTTTACATCTCTAAAAATGGAACAATCGGATATGTCCCTTAGGATGTGATACATCAGAAGGTACACACCATCTCCTATTAAGTTTTCTAGCCAAAAAACTGTTTTAAGAAGAATTGAATCCAGTTTACCAGAAATGGATGATCAAGCTAAATGACTTCAAGAAGAAACAATCAGATAAATTTAGCATGTGAGATATTCTACAGGAAAAATGACTCCTTTCTCTCCCTCCTCATGTGAATGGCATAAAAAGGGGGAAGGTGGAAGGGGAAAGACTTGTAAAGTAAAAGAGACTTAAGAGTCTTTTCAGTAAAATACATTGTTTATTGGGTACACATGGACACAAAGATAGGAACAATGAACACTGAGGATTCCTAAAGGGGGATGGAGGGAGGGGAGCCAGGATTGAAAAAAACTACCTATTGGGTACTATGTTCACTACTTGGGAGATGGGATCATTAGAAGCCCAAACCTCAGCATCATGCAATATACCCATGTAACAAACCTGCACATGTACCCCCTCAATCTTAAGTTAAAAAAGAAGACAGGTGCAGTGGCTCAAGCCTGTAATCCCAGCATTTTGGGAGTCCAAGCAGGCAAATTGCTTGTTCTCAGGAGTTCAAGATCAGCCTGTACAACATGGCAAAACCCTGACTCTACAAAAAAAATACATAAATTAGTCCTGATGTGGTGGCTCACACCTGTAATCTCAGCACTTTGGGAGGCCAAGGTGGGCGGATCATTTGAGGTCAGGAGTTTGAGACCAGCCTGGCCAATATGGTGAAACCTCGTCTCTACTAAAAATACAAAAAAAAATAACCCGACGTGGTGTTGTGCACCTTTAGTCCTAGCTACTCTGGGTGCTGAGGCAGGAGAATTGCTTGAACCCGGGAGACAGAGGTTGCAGTGAGCTGAGATCAGACTATCGCATTCTGGCCTGGGCGACAGAGCAAGACTATGTCAAAAAAAAAAAAAAAATTAGCCAGGCATGGTGATGTGTGCCTGTAGGCTCAGCTACTGGGAGGATCAATTGAGCACGGGAGGTTGAGGCTGCAGTGAGCCGTAATTGTGCCTCTGCACTCCAGCCTGGGTGACAGAGTGAGACCCTATCTCAAAAAATGAGAGAATAGGCTGGGTGCGGTGGCTCACCCCTGTAATCTCAGCACTTTAGGAGGCAGAGGCAGATCGCTTGAGCTCAGGAGTATGAGACCAGCCTGGGCAACATGGCAAGACCCCATCTCTACAAAGTATTAAAAAAATTAGCCAGGTGTGGGGGTGTGCACCTGTAGTCCCAGTTACTTGGGAGGCTGAGACAGGAGGATTGCTTGAACCTGGGAGGTCGAGGCTGCAGTGAGCCAAGATTATACCACTGCACTCCAACCTGGGTGACAACGTGAGGCCTGGTCTCAAAAAAAAAAATAAAGAAAAAAAGAGAGATAAAATAAAATAAAAAAAAAAACTAATACCATATTTAGCTTTTGTTTGGATACTGATTTAAATAAAAATATTATTTGAGCTAATTAGGACAATTTTAATAAGTTCTGAGTATTATGTCCCATAATAATGGTAGTGTAGTTATATTTTTACAAAGTTATTATCGGATAGAGATACTTATTTAAATATTTCCGGATGACATGAAATGATTTCTGGAATTTGCTTTAAAATATTTCAGCAAATATTGTGTGTGGTAGAGTAGGGAGGAAACAAAATTGGGTGACACAGAAAGGGGTTTATTATAATTTTTCTCCACTTTTATACATAGCTGAACATTTTGTATAAAAAGTTTTTTAACTGGTGATTATTTTTTCTTCCTGTATTCTAGATGGTAATAGCAGCGAAATGAAAAAGCAATAAAAAAATCCTGTCAAAGCCCCTGAATTATATTTCCTTTCTTCACAGTGTTATTTTCATAAAAGCTAAAACAAATGCTATATTCACAAAACTAGGATATAAAGCAATACTATGTACCTATAAAGCGTAGGATTTTACGAGTCCTTTTGCCCAGCATACATCCGTGTTCTTGTCCACCTGTGGGACTCCCCAGGATGGTTTTCTCCTCTGCTCCATGTATTCCCAAGAGCACTTTGCTCTTCCCATTGACATCTTTTCTTTTGTTTTGTTGCTGTTTTTTGTTTGTTTGTTTGAGATGGAGTCTCGCTCTGTCACCCAGGGTAGAGTGCTGTGGCTCAAGGTCAGCTGACTGCAACCTCTGCTTCCCAGATTCAAGTGATTCTCCTGCCTCAGCCTCCAGAGTAGCTGGGATTACAAGCATGCACCACTATGCCTGGCTAACTTGTATTTTTAGTAGAGACGAGCCATGTTGACCAGGCTGGTCTCAAACTCCTGGCCTCAAGTGATCTGCCTGCCTCGGCCTCCCAGAGTGCTGGGATTACAGGCGTGAGCCACTGGGCCTGGCCTTCCCATGGACTTTTAACAGCTTATTCATCCTCTTCCACCAGGCTGTGAGCTGTCCTCCCATCTCCTACCAAGGACCAAGAATCAATTCCTATAATTCTCTGCGTTCCCCACATCTAGGATGGTGTTAACACATAGTAGGTGCTCAATACATATTTGGGGAATATATAAACAGAACCCAATTCATTATGTTTTATATCTGTAGAGACTGAAACCCTAAAGGGTTAAGTTCCTGAGCTATGATGCAATTCATTAGAATAAGAACCATTCCCAAGAACTATAACTCCTGGTTCCTAATCCAGTGCTACTTTTGATTCCAGATGCTACTTATTGCTGATTCTAGAAGTCGTCTTCTTTATGGGAATATCCTTCCTCTACCAATGCAAATGTGTCATTTTCAATGCCTCCCACCCCAGCCCCAGTTCTCACAACAAACTCAGTGTTCTCTGCCATGATAGTTTTGGATCCTTCTAGAAGACATTACTGAAATTGTTTTAGGCAGGGGAGATTATAAGTAGTTACATAACACAGAAAACATAGTATTGTTTTTAATAATAATAATAAAAGCGAAATCCTTGGCACTCGTGTTTTCAGAACCATTCACTCTTCCTTTATTTCTGCTCTAGCTTTGAATTTGCTGAACCAAGGAAAAGAAACCAGGAAATTACTTGGTTTACTTGTTTCTTGACTTTTGGCCCCCAAGTCATGGCCATACACTGTGTGCCTGACAATCCACTCCTGACTGAAAACAACCTTGGTTTTCTCCAAGCCTTGCTGGTTACTCCGAGCCAGGCTATGGTCAGAGGTCATACTCGGCTACTCCATCCAGCCCACCTTCAGGAAAGACCTATCTTTTTTCTGATGCCCCCTAAAGTTACAAACCACAATTTTGTAGCCCTCTAAAGTTACACACCCACACGCCCATCTCCTACCTTCCTTGCTTACTTCCATGACCCTCAGGTCTTAGCTTCAGTGTCACATCCTCCACTCTTCCATCTGGATTGGGTGGCCTATTTTCTACCTTCCGTTCCCATAACACAACACAAGTCATCTGTCATGGATCTTCCAATGTGCTATTACAATAATCTCTTAATTTTACACCAATTTGTAAGCTCATCTCTAAGACAGGGACTGAAAGTCTTTTACCTTTGAATCCCCAGTGACTTACACAAGGTAGCTACTCAATAAACACTTTTCAGTGAATATACCAAGTAGTTGAATGAGTGACTTTCAAGATTCAAGAGTCTAGTAGTTAAGACCTTACATTTAGACTATCCTACTTGTTAAGGTGTTTAAAACAAACAAACAAACAACAACAACAACAAAACTTTTCTCCACAAGGTTTAAGTCAATAATGTTGAAAGGGAGGAACCATAGTCTTCAGAAAGTGGTGAAAAGATTTGGTATAAGAAGTGCAATGAGTTATACAGGCATCCATCATCCCTCCTTTTTTCTTTTTTCTTTAAGAAGCCACCTTCTCTGGAATGACTGGGGGAGGTCATTTGACTTGTCCTCCTCATCTAATCCACGTCTGCCTCTTTTAATGGAGGAAAATTGAGGGGTGTGGATAGTGGGGAAAGGAACAAAAGTTGCTGGCAAGAGCTGAACTCTTATTTTCTGACATTTACACACTCCTGATGCTACATGGGAGCCTGACTCATCCAGAAAATGACTAAAGTCAGATCCCTAATCTGTACTGGGGCCCCACCCAACAAGGGCCTATTGCCTGTACCTGATGCTAATTACTAGATATCAATCTGCAATAAAGAGGATGGGTGTGGATTATTCATGACAATCCCCATATTTCCCAAAAGTAAACTCTCAGTTATTCAAGGTGATGGAGTATTTATGGAAGCTCAGATCCAAGGGAAGGGCCTTAAAATACCCGAATCTTAACTGAGACTGCAAACAGGATAATTCCTTATAACCAGTGAGCTATATCTAACCCTACTCTAAATGAAATCAACCAAAGGGCCTAATTCAGCTCTCTGGAGTTGCTAATTCTGGTCATAAACTAGGGGAAAAAGTCACTAGACTAAACCAATTGAGGTCTAATGAACATAAAATGTACTGTCTGCAAATGTCTATAAACTCAAGACTGGATCATTCGAATCATTAATATTGTTTAAAGTATCCTCTCAACAGATTCACCCATTGTTAGTTCTGGTAGGAAAATATCAGTTCCATAATCATCATCATTATCATTTTATTCGATATTCACAATAACCTGCCCCAGCTGAAAGGCCCTGGAAAAGGAGAAAGCCTAGGGACTCTTGGCTATGTTCAGGGCTCAGAGCCAGCTACCCCATCAACCTAAACACTGGCGACATGAAAACTCTAAGCCATATCTTTCTGTCAAGGAGGTTGCTGCTCATTTTCTGCCAAGGTGTTGTAGAATAAGCACCAGTACACAGTGTAGACATGCAAGAGCTGTAGATTTAAGATATAGAGGAAAAAAGAAATCTCTGTAAGCAGATGCATGTGTTGCTTTTGACTGGTACAGAATTTTTGCCTCTGCAATGCTTCTATAGCTCTGCAATTTAAGTTCTATGAGGACAGGAATCTCATGTATTTTGTTTACCATTGCAGCTCCAGCCCCTTTCATTGATGCAAGGCGCAGAGTAAGGGTTCCATGAATATTTATTATATGGATGAACCAATGTCGTGTATACTGGCATGAATGAATGACACAAATCTGCGTCATGTATTTAGATATTTTGGGAAAGAAAACTGAGAAGCAAGGAAGTGAATTGATTAATTTGAGGTTAGGGTCACCAGCCCAGCATGTGGCTGATGGCACTCATTATACTTAGTTGTTCATAAAACACAGCCAAACTCTTGTTCCTCTGTCCGGGTGTTCCTCTAATATTTTCTAGAAGTTATGAAAATACAGAAACACTTGACTGAATGACACATACATGTCAAACTAAAGAGAAAATGAATCAATGTTCAAAAAGCAACTGTTACTATTCACAAAAAACAAAGAACATTTCATGGGAGGGGTAGAAGCAGGGCATAGGACATGGATTTCTACGTCTTCAACGGTGAGGTGACAATCTCCCAGCTCCTTCCTGTGATTCCATGCTGCTTCCTTGATCTGTAGCCACAGTGTATGTCAGTTACTTTTCTTATATTAGTAGACGACATAACAAGGAATTTATATAGGTCACAGAATATTTTAAAATTCCCAACAGAAGAGCTGTTAATGAATTTAGTTTGGGGTGTCTGGCCACCAGAAAAATGACAGACCTTTCCTAAACACCTTTGGCTGTTTGCTCATCAAAAAAGTCACACATTTTCTCTCTGTAAAAAGTGTCAAAGGAAAAAAAATAAAAAGACTGAGTGCAGTTGCATCCTGATGCACTGAGGGCTGGGACTGTTTTTAAATTCAATATATATTGAATTGAATGTAACTCCAGAGAACCATGAGAAAGCTCCATTCAGAGAAGGTAGATGAGGTCAGCTTCCTTTTGTTTCATGTCAGAGAAACTTCACAAGGTGAAAATTGAATGCTGAGGCCTGGGCACATTCTTACCTATGGATGGAAAATGTTTGCCTGCGTTTCGTTTTGTTTTCAATAGTGCTTATGATGACTTCTCAGAAATTTCTGTCTCTGCCTCTACAACCTCTATTAAACCTTCCATAAGCCTTGGATAAAGCTCTGATGTACATATTTTAAACATATGATAGGATTGACACAGTGCAAATCCTACTGGTAATTTCCTGAGATAAGTCCATTATAAATATGTGGGTTCAAACCAACATTTAAGATGCCTCAGTCCGATCAGGTCCCTGGCTTACCGAGAACTCTGAATAGCAAACAAGGGAGAGCAGCAGACACTGACTTTGAATCTTGGGTTGTTATTTCATTGCTGTCCAAACTTGGTCAAGGCCTCAGGCTGGCATCTGTATTCTGAGGGTAATGCAAATACCCTCAAATATTTCAAAGGACTGTTGAGGTGGAGGATTAAATGAGTGAAGTCATGAGCAGTGCTTAGAAAGGTTAGTAAATGTCAGCTGTTACCAGTAGTGCGAGGAAGTGAATTTGAACATATTTGGAGCAGAAGTTCTGATGCCAAAACATAACGTTTAATTCCAGACTTAGTGTGAATCAACCCCCAAACAAAGGGATTAAATCTGAAGGTGCAAAGGATCGCGGGCAAGAGCTGTTAACATTCAAAATGCTCAGCCCTCCGTTACCAGCAATTCCACCTTCCAGCGTGTCATGGTTTCTCCTCTAAAGAAACCCACACACCTTGGCATAAGGAGGTATGTTTGAGCATGTTCACTACATACTTGTGCAAGCAGAAAAACTGTCAATAACCTAGGTGTCCATTAATAGCTTAAACAATGTGTATCCATGCAATGAAACACCATGCAGCTAAAAATGAGGCAGCCCTCTGCTTTCTATCATAGGCCATTCTTCAAGCACATTGTTGAGTGAGAAAAATAAAATTGCAGAATGACACAAAAAGTAACAGTAATCTAAAAACCCAAATGCAAAATAAATTGTATTTCGTTCTCTGGAAATATATGTATGTGTGTGTGTAAATAACAGAAAGATGTTCTGGGAACGGGACAGCTACAGGTTAAAGTGGTCGAATGAGAAGTCAGCCATCTCAAAAACATTTTGCTGTTTTCCAATGTGTTTCAAGTACAAAGTAAAAATCATCACATGTAATAGCTAATAACATATTTTTACATACAATAACTATATAGCAATGTATAATAATTTATAATCAATGCAACACAATTATTATTGAAGTAATTTATTAAATAGGTTTATTATAGCAATTTATGGTTTTTATGTATGCAGTTTATAATTTGTATATGAAATTCAAAATAAACACTTTGGGGTATCTGGTAAACATGTAGATTCTTGGGTTTCACACCCAGATATTTTAATTCCTGCAGGTTTGGGGTGTGACCCAGGAGCCTGAATTTTCAGCAAACAGATTTCTGCTGCTGATGGCCCAAGGCCCACACTTTGAGAACATTTCATTTTAAAAGCTGCCTCTCCCACTGTAGGGTGCACATGAATCACCTAGGGGGCTAATTAAAGCACGATTCCACTGCTGCAGTTCTGGGGTGGGGCCCAGGATTCTGTATTTGTAGCAAGCTGATGCTGCTGGTCCCCTTCTGTGAAGCTTGACTTGAGTCAGGCTTTGAAATGGGTAGAAATTCATGGGTGCGGGAAGGACGTCAGAAGAGGAGGAGCAGACATGAGGAGGTAGAAGTGAGGGAGTTGTGCCAAGGGATGTTAAAGGAACTGGCCTGATGGAAGAAGCAGCAGAGAGCCTGGTGGGCACCTTGATGCCAGGCCAAGGACCTGGCACTTGGCCCATCAGCAACTGCTGGTGGTTTTAGGTGGGAGCCCAGTGTTCTAGTAGCATGGGGAATCGGGAGGAGCAAGGTCATGGTCTCAGGCACAGGTGTCCAAGGAGCAGCCAATGATCCTGGGTTGGGCCTGGATCCAAGGTCAGGGTTCCCTGGCAAGCCAGGCCTCCACCACCCCAAACAGAGAATGTGTCACTCTGGTCCCTCTCCTGGGACACAGGTGTAGTCATAAATTGCAGGGATGCTCCAGAGCTGCTTATATTCTGCAGTGGACAAAGGGCTGCTTTCCTCATTTATGGGACAGGGCTAGTTTCTTCGGACAGGCAAGGCAAGTGTCAGTTTTCTTTGTGGGAAATGGTATTTTGTTTCCCAAATTGGTAAAAGAAGAAAGCTTTCATTTAACAGGATTTGGACTAGCTCACACAACCATTGAGACATCTTCAAGAGAAAGTTATTCAGGTCAAGATAAGAATATGGGATGGGGGAGGGCTAGGTAGGGACAGACAGCATTGCAAAACCTCAGGATTTCTGGTTCCTGTTTGATGCTCAAGAAGGCTGTTTGACTCTGAATAATTAACTTAATTCTCTGCTTCACTTTGCAAGAGGAGATGGAGCCATCCATTTTTTTCTCCCAAAACTCGTATCTAGAATGACATCAGAACAACAGGCTCCCATTAGTGCCCATTTTGCATGTCCAGCTCTAGAGGTCTCTCAGGCAGTTTCTTCTACTCCCAGTAGGCAGCTGTGGCTCAGAGTGGTGTCACATGGGTGTTATCTGGGACAATGGCAAGGAAGGGATGACCCTCCCAGACCCCTATCTGACCATGCTCCCTCTACTCATGGCGAGGGCAGGAGGTCTTGAAGGGGCCGAGAGGGCTGAGCGCTCCATTTTCAGAACCTCTGCATACTTGTTCTGTATGAACGGCTGCACATTTCGAGCACTTATCATTTGTATATCACTGTACAGTCTGTTTTAATTGCATCTGAAGGAAATACAAGCAGGCACCAGCGTTAGAATGGCAGCCAGCAACGAGTGCAGCTTAGAATTATGTTTGCATGTGAACAGTTACATGCAAAATTGAGAATCCAGTTCTGTTGTGGTAGTAATATTATGGGTTATTATATCTTTTACAATTTGTTCTTAATGGTGCCATTGTCTTTTCAATTAAAAACACAACTTATCACACACACTTGAACATTTTCTAAACCAAGCTATTTAATTATTTTAATAAAAATACTTTCCTAATTTGAAAAGCAATATATGTTATTGTAAAAAGTAGAGAAAATATAATAAAGGCAGTAAAAATCACCCATCATTTCTTCACCCAGAAATTTATATCTTGCAGTGCTTTAAAGAAGAGATGAAGTGAACTCTTCCTTTTTTTCTTTTTTCTTTTTTTTTTTTTTTTTAGATACAGTCTTACTCTGTTGCCCAGGCTAGAGTACAGTGGTGCGATCTTGCCTCACTGCAAACTCCGCCTCCTGGGTTCAAGCGATTCTCCTGCCTCAGCCTCCCGAGTAGCTGGGATTACGGGCGCCTGCCACAGCACCTGGCTAATTTTTGTATTTTTAGTAGAGATGGGGTTTCACCATCTTGGCCAGGCTGGTCTCGAGCTCCTGACCTCATGATCCACCTGCCTTGGCCTCCCAAAGTGCTGGGATTACAGGTGTGAGCCACTGTGCCCAGCCTTTTTTCTTAAATTAACTTTTTATTTTGGAATAATTTTAGATTTACACAAAAGTTGCAAACATGATGCAGAGTTCCCATATACCCTTCACCTATTTCCCCCAAATGTCAATATCATACATAGCTATGGAACATTTGTCAAAACTCAGAAATTAACATTGGTACAATACTGTTAGTGAAACTACAAAGTCTCTTCAGATTTTGCCAATTTTTCTACTATGTCCTTTGTGTTGTCTAGGATCCTCTTCAGGGTATACATTGGGTGGACATAGTGCTCAGTTTTTATAAGTCTTCATTCTCCCCAGGTGTAATGTGCAAAATACTAATAAGGAAATATTGTCTTTATATTATCTGATGTTTGAGCTTCAGAATAAAACACTGGATACCTACCACCCTTGTATCAGTAGTTTGGGAAAGTGGGGAGTTTATTTTGAGTTGTCTTTGTCCAGGACCCTACAGAGGACCTGGTGTGAAGTTGAGGAGGATGGCTAAGACACAGCAGTGGTACCCTGCTTGGCAGGGGTGCAGGGTCCCAGGGCTTCGAGTGCTTGGCCTATAGAGGCCACTTGTTATTTCCTCTTTTAAGAGTAAGGAGCATAAGTGGGGACAAGTAACACACAGTAACATACTGTGGGCACACAGAGGGCCAAGAGGGAATGCAGCAATCTTCCCTTCTTTTCTCTCTCTCTCACCTTCCTTCCTTCTCTGAAATCTTCCCTTCTTTTCTCTCTCTCTCCTTCCTTCCTTCCTTCCTTCCTTCTTCTTTCCTTCCTTCCTCCCTCCCTCCCTCCCTCCCTTCCCTCCTTCCTTTCCTCTGTACCATTTCTCCTTTGTTCATCACTCAACAAATGTTTGAGTGTTAGGCACTGTGCTATGAGGTGCTGAGGATGTATCTGTTAACAGGACAGGCACCATCCCTGCCTTTGTGGAGCCTGCCATCTAGCAAGGAGGAGAGGCTTTCTTCAAATGACCCCACGAATAACTATACAACTACAGCTATGGTAAGTGCTATAAAGTGAGCTACCAGGAGACTTAATCTGGTCCAGCTGATCTAATCTGGGTGTCAAGGAAGGTTTCTGTGGGGAAATGACATTTAAGCTGAGTGTGACTAATGGGTAGGAGCTGCTAAGACAAGGCAAAAAGAGCAACCCAGGAAGACGACACAATTTGGGCAAAGGCTGGAGGTGGGAAAGAGTGCTGGCATGCATGGTCCCTCGTACAAAGAGGCTTTTCACAAACTTTGTTGAACAGATGAACGAAGCTCTCAGTTTACAATGTATTTGAAGGTATGTTTATTTAAGACACTAGAAATCCAACCAAAAATACTTGCCAATAGGACCCCAGATCCCCACCATGACCCCCGGTCTCCCAATTCCTATCAAAACAATCTTTCAGCATTATTTGGAACCTCCAAGGTAACCTACCTTCTTTCCCTCAGCCCAAACTATGGCCCAGCATGTAGTCACCCAGCTAACCCAGCCACCCTGGCTGGAGTGGATGGTGCTCTGCCCTGCTGGCATGGGCCAGGCCCCTGGCATCGTCAGTTTCACCTCCCTCCAGTTTCAGGTGTGTCCTCCCTAGCATGCTGGGGGTCTTTTGCTCTAGCTTCGACTGCAGCTGTGTGCATTGTAGTAGTTCACCCCATCATCCATCAAATCTCCTTACAGGATGACATACCCTCCTCTCTTGCAGGACCCCGTTGACCTGGAATCTTTATCTGCATAACTGCTGATGAAGGTCACTTGGTAGCCAACTACCAGGAGGTAGCTGACTATCTCAGGGAATCTTTGGAAGCCCATCAGGGCATGCTTGACAAGAGACTGGAGACCCAATCTTAGAGCTGCTGGCAAACTGGGCAACAGAAATGCTAAGGCCCAGAAATGCTATATTTGCCCTGGCATTACTGCATCTCTCATGGTTCCATCAGTCCCTGGAAGAATTGACTAGGGCAGTGAGAGGAGGATCTTCTTTTTGACTTCCCCTAAATCTCAAGGCCACACATAAAGAGATGTCCCAGGGTGTCCCAGAGGTAGAATAAGGCAGGAAGTTGGATGCAAGACAACCCATACTGTGACATATGTCTGCTATGATAATTTTATTTCTTCAGCCATCATCCAATGACTGCTTTATATGATTAAAATCAATCCTAGGCAGTGGAAACCCAAAGGGGAATAGACACAGGACTGTCTCTTCAGGAGCCTGCCTTTACCCTTGGAGGGAGCAGATGGGAGACACATCGGTGCTATAAGTGCTGGAAGGGCCTCTAAGCATGTCTGTGCTGGATGCGCAAAGGTGCGATTAATTCTGATTTGGGGAGATGGGCAGGGGTGGTTGGTAAACCTTGATAGTAGAGGTAACACTGGAGTTACTTATTACTTAATGAAAGTGGGTTGTTGAAACAGGCAGCTTGTGAGTTTAGGCAAGGTATGAGAACATTCCAGGCAGAGAGAACAGCAGATGCAAATGCATGGAGGTGTGAAGTAGGCACAATGTTTAAGGAGTTGTAAGCCATTTGTTAGGGCTGGAATTCCCAACTTGAATGAATTCTGGCAAAAAATTTAGGCTGCTCAGATAGGGAGAACTGGGTTGTGCCTGAGACTTCGGATTTTATTCTCTAGACCTGTGCAGTTCAATATGGTAGCCATATGTGACAATTTAAATTGGCTAAAATGAAATACAATTAAAAATCCCATTCTTCAGACAAGCACCCACATTTCAAGTGCTCAGTAGCCACTTGTGAGTAAGGGTTCTATATCTGCTCTGTCCAGTAGCCATACAGCCACCCAGCTGTCCAATATGGCTATTGGGCAGAGCAGATATAGGACATTTCTACCATCATAGGAAGTCCTATGGAACAGTGCTGGTCTAGACCACAGGAGGGGGACTGTGAGAGAATTTTATGCAAGGAAATGACATATCCATATTTGTATTTCACAGAGTTCTCCTTGTGGCCACTTGAGGATGGATCAGAAGGGGCATAACAGAAGGCTAGCGATCAGTTAGAAGATGATTGAAACTGCCAAGCAAAGAGTCTGTGGTCACAACAGAGGAATTGTCCCCCTTTGTTTTGTGGAAAGCTGAGTGGAGAATATTCCGGGTGACCAATGTTTCACCTCAGTCCCGATGTCCTCCCAGCTCAATTTGGGAGATAGGAGTCCCCTCAAAATCATAAACTAGCGAATCTGGGCATCCCACCTAGTAGGAAGAATCTCATTTCATCTCCGGTAGGTCCTGGAGCTTGTTATGTAAACATTGTGTGTTCACCAGACCCAGGATCTCCAGCTCCTAGGAGTCACATGTCCAAGAACCACCTCACTCACACCAGGTAAGGGGAGAAGATTCAAGTTTTGCCACCATGAACGTCAGGTCAGATGTTCAACTGAATCCCTAGTTGCCTATTGTCCTTAAATACCAAAGTAGTCAGCAGTTGGGAGGCTAAGAAGGCAGGAATAGCATATGAACATTGATAAAAATGCCATGGGTTTCTGTTCAGTTTCCCCAGCTGTTTGCAGCTGCAGAAGTGGGGTATGGGAACATTGACACATCCTTGCTCTGAGTATAATTAATGACAATGTGCCCAGTGTGCCACTGACTCAGAGGGAGCACCTGACAGGGATTCTGCTGGAGGCTTCTATGTTCTGAGGGTGTGGATGTGCCCACATGAACCACCCTGGGGCTTTTGAACATCACCCTTCTGTTCCCGGCTGAGTCAGAAGTGGATCCCGGAGTCAGAAGCCCTGATTCAAGGTCTAGACTTGCCAGTCAGCTAAAGACAGGTTTCTTTATAATACTTACTCCACAGACTCAGAGCCCTTACTACAGGCCAGGCCCTGTCCTAACTCCCTAGATATATTCATTTAATTCTCACAACAACTCATAAAGCCAACTCTATTATTAACTGTACTTTATAGAGAGGACACTAAAGCATGGAGGTCAAGCCACTTCTCCATGCTTACGCAGCTGCCAGTATTCAAACCCAGCCCCCTGGCTCCAACACCTGCACACTATGTGCCACTGAGAAATGCATAGTGCAGGCCAAAGCCCTGTGACACCCTCTATCGCCACTTCAGCAAGGGAAGCATCTATTGTCAGTGCTGTGATCACTATGATGATGGAGATCCTGTGAGGAGAACATGAGCTTCTTTGGGAAGGGGCTGGTAGAATTACCCTAAACACACACCAAGTTCCACACCTTTTATTATGACCCCAAACGGGGAGGTTGTGGGTAAAAGAAAGAGAGATCAGATTGTTACTGTGTCTGTGTAGAAAGAAGTAGACATAGGAGACTCCATTTTGTTCTGTACTAAGAAGAAGTCTTCTGCCTTGAGATGCTGTTAATCTATAACCCTACCCCCAATCCTGTGCTTCCTGAAACATGTGCTGTGTCAATTCAGGGTTAAATGGATTAAGGGCTGTGCAAGGTGTACTTTGTTAAACAAATGCTTGAAGGCAGCATGCTTGTTAAGAGTCATCACCACTCCCTAATCTCAAGTACCCAGGGACACAAAACACTGCGGAAGGCCGCAGGGACCACTGCATAGGAAAGCCAGGTATTGTCCAAGGTTTCTCCCCATATGATAGCCTGAGATATGGCCTCGTGGGAAGGGAAAGACCTGACCAAGCCCGACACCCGTAAAGGGTCTGTGCTGAGGAGGATTAGTAAAAGAGGAAGGAACGCCTCGTTGCAGTTGAGACAAGAGGAAGGCATCTGTCTCCTGCTCGTCCCTGGGCAATGGAATGTCTCGGTGTAAAACCCGATTGTATATTCCATCTACTGAGATAGGGGAAAACCACCTTAGGGGTGGAGGTGGGACATGCGGGCAGCAATACCGCTCTTTAAGACATTGAGATGTTTATGTGTATACATATCCAAAGCACAGCACTTAATTCTTTACCTTGTTTATGATGCAGAGATCTTTGTTCATGTGTTTACCTGCTGACCTTCTCTCCACTATTATCCTATGATCCTGCCACATCCCCCTCTCCGAGAAACACCCAATAATGATCAATAAATACTAAGGGAACTCAGAGGTCGGCGGGATCCTCCGTATGCTGAACACCGGTCCCCTGGGTCCCCCTTTTCTTTCTCTATACTTTGTCTCTGTGTCTCTTTCTTTTCCAAGTCTCTCGTTGCACCTGGCGAGAAACACCCACAGGTGTGGAGGGGCAACCCACCCCTTCAGAGGTCTTGCTGTCTCCATCACTGGATTCTGCTGCGATCAGACTCCTTTCCTGGGGCCTCCCATGTCCTTCCTGGCTGCATCACAAGTTTCATTGCACTTCCTTTGGAGGAACACTTCTTTGAGAAGTGGTTGTAGTGCACGGTGTGCTGGTACAGAGATGGCAAATCACACTTGCCAGTTTTCCCAGAGCTGAGCTAGGCACCACCTGCCTGTGCACCCTCCCACGCAGCTCCCACTTCAGTGAGCAGGGCCTGCCCCTGTGTCCTCACTGCCAACTGCAGCAGGCCAACATGCATATGTCTGAGTATGTCCTTAACAAATGAACACACTGCCCACAGGGGCAGTTGCTTCAGAAGACCTACTTCATCTGAAAAACATCACCAGCCAAACTGGCCTTGGTGTCAAGGTAATGATTTGAGAGCTTGGCACTGTAGAGCTTGTTTATTTCTATTGTTTTATTGGATAATCTCAGCAACTTGTACAGGAAGTCACAAGCACTGGAAAAGTCAGGAGTATTTTTCTGGCTTCAGGTCTAGATTGCTCCAGGGCTGAGAGTACCACCAGGACTCATTTTCTCTTGGTCTCTCAGCTCTGCCATTCTTGAACTCCATGTTGTGGCTCTCTCCATGTTGAAGGCTAGATGGCTGCAGAATGACTAACTTCAGGGTTGAGCTCAGTAGGAAAGAGTAAAAATCTCAGGGCGTCCACAGAAATTCCCAAGATTCATTCTTATTGGACTGGCTTAGGGTGTGTGGCCATCCCAGAACCAATCATTGTTGCCCATGGGATAAGCTCCACTCCTGGAGAATGAAGACAGGGCATATCCCCAAACAAAAATCAAAGGTCTTACTAGATGAAGAGGGAGCAGATACTGAGGAGTCAAACCACATGGGGAAACTATTCTCCATGACCCAGAGAGATGAAGTGTTGTCTCCAGGGCCACCCAGCAGGAAAGTGGCAGACATGAGTCTGAAACCCAGTCCTTCCACCTTTAAGATCCATTCTGAACCTGTGACCTGACCTAACCCTGGGTGTCCTAATTGTGGCTAGAATGTCAACAGGAAACCCAGAGGCTTTGCAACTTTGTGTACATGCAGAGACTGTCCTTGGGGACCCCTTTTATGCTATGACAAAGCCTGCCATTGCTTGCTGCTCACTGCCCTTGGTGTCCTGCACCTTCAGCTCTTGTCTCTGCTATAACAGATTACAGCAACAGCCTCTCACTCTCAGCCTGCCTCTAGCTCTGCAATCTTCTACCCACTGCAGGAAGGATTCTTTCCATTTCTCTCCTCCTGGAGCTGCTTAACGCTGAGCACCCTTCATGAGTGGCCTTGCTGACCTCTTCAGGCCCTTCTCCTGCCATACCCAACTCATGCTATGCATCCAGCCCAAGGAGATGCTGATGTCCCCCAATCCCAGGCCTCATTAGCTGAAGTTGCATCATTACCTGAGGTTGCACCATCAACTGAATCACTCCTATAAGAATAAGGAACCATGTAAAATGGGGAAATACAGTCTTTACCATCTCCAAAACTGCTCCAGGCTCTCCAGCATCCAGCCACTGGCAGTGTGCTCTGCCCAAATCATTCCTCGGCTGCCTGCTCCCCTCTGCTGGGTCAGCTCACACTGATCCTTCACATCACACCTTAGATCTCAGCTCCCCCAGAAAGTCTTTTCATTCACATTCTCAGCACCTCAATTTCCTTGTGGGGAATCCACCATGGTATGTGGTCTTTTTAGGACAGTAACTCCAATAGAGCCCCACCAGTCACAAATGTGGGAGGCTGACTCCTCCTTTGATCATCCCCACACAGCCAAGGACAGATGTGTAGCCTATGCTTAGCCACTGCGATGCTTTCTTCTGGAACATACCAGATGGAAGAAATGGCTGCCGGCCTTTCATGCTGTTAACACTGACTACAACTGCCCTCAGACCATTCCTGTGGTTCCTTCTTCTTAGCCCCTCCACCTTGAACTGCCTTCTTTCATGCCTGTTTCCAAGTTGGTTCTACAACTTTCTTGTACTTTTGTGGCTCATTATCCTTTCAATAAGCTCAGTTTTGCTGCTGTTAAACAAAATCTGTTTCTGCTGCCTGCAATCAAATGTCCTTGACTGTTACTCTCTACTTCTCCTCATTGCTCTCCAGTGTCCCCAGCCCCCTCACAGTGCCTGGCACAGAGGGGGCACCAGCAGCTGTTGCATGGATGCCTGTGGGCCATATCCTTCCCCCAGGCTTCTTGCAGCTGGCACTTCTGCCTCACACCTCAATGAGGCCAACTCAGTCACCTGGTCAAGCTCAGCTCCCTACCTCCATGTCCCCTCTCCACCACAGTGAGGACCGGCCCTCCTCCCCAAAGAGCCTTACCCCACACAAAGGCAGGAGCTGCTGTCCTTTTGGGTCAGTTCTGCTAGGGCCAATGCCTTTCAGAGTTTCTGCTTAGCTGTCTATCCTGTTCCTCAAATTCTCCTTCCTCTTCATTTAATCTAAAACCACATTAGGGTTTTAGATTCAACCCTGGGTATCAACACTGGGTAGTTTAAGATAATTGAAATGTCCTGTGGTTTAGTAACAAATAGTTGGGACTCCATTTTTTTTTTCACTCTATCGTGATTTGGGATTTGGTTACTTTCAGTTCCAGCAGAAAATAATATACATATATAGAGATAAAATTCTCCCAGAATATAGATTTTGTTGTAGGCCCAATGGAACTTATTGAATTTTCTGGATTTACTTTCCAAAATTAAAGCCGTTAAATGCAGGAGCATCACTTCATTTGGAAGAGACGTGGGTGTTTTTTATTTTTAAATTTCAAATATTTTAATCATAGTAATACAAACACCTGGTGAGGAATTAAAGTCAGAGGGGAGAGGAAGCTTATGGTGAAAAGCAACAGTCTCCTACCCCAGTTCCACCCTTTCAAGGCAATCTCTTTTATCAATGTCTGCTTAGTTTTTCTCTATTTCTATTACTCTGTAATAAACCTTTTTCACGAGTCTAATGTTTCCCTGTGTCTTAGATAAGGTTGTCCACACGTAGAGCCTGAGAAGGATTCAGGTGCATGTGATTTATTGAGGCAGGGGCAGAGGAGGACGGGAACGGGAAGCAGGCTGGGGCAGGGAAGGAGCTACAGAAGGATGGGGTCTCAGCTGGAGGTGGCTTTGGCCTGTCCACATGTGGAGCTCTGGACTTGAATTGCACCGAAGTTGATCCTACCTTGAGGCAGAAGAACTTTAGTCAGTCATCAGCTATGGGCTGCCCATTGTGGGTAGTTGGGAAGTGCACGTAACTTCCTCCAGAGAAGGGATCAGCTGAGCACTGTTTGCAGCTAACACTCTCAGCAGAGAGGGGCTAGTGGGGCATCAACAGAATCCACTACACAATCTTTTGATGATTTCTTTGGAATATATTTATTTCAAGAAATGGGATTATTAGATAAAATGGTGGAACATGTATGTAACTCTTAGAAAATGTTTCTTGGTGTGGGAAATTTAGGCATTAGTCTGGGCATTAATACTTCATTATGAGTTAATTGATCAAATATAAGCCAGCTGAGGCAGGCTACCAGCTGAAGGAATGGAATATGGTGTTGGCAATTGTTCAAGTCCTTTTGTGTTGCTGTAAAGGAATACCCAAGGCTGGGTAATTTATAAATAAAAGAAGTTTATTTGGCTCACGGTTCTGTAAGCTGTAAAAGCATGGCACCAGCATCTGCTCAGCTTCTGGTGATGCCTGGGAAACTTTTACTCATGGTGGATGGTAAAGGGGGAGCAGGTGTGCCACATGGTGAGCTTGGGAACACAAGAGAGAGGGAAGAGGAGCCATAA
Organism: Homo sapiens; assembly: GCF_000001405.40. Lineage (NCBI taxonomy): Eukaryota > Metazoa > Chordata > Mammalia > Primates > Hominidae > Homo > Homo sapiens. The sequence continues at coordinate 43,254,477 of NC_000003.12, read as the reverse complement.
TCTTTTCAAACAACCAGATGTCACATGAACTCAGAATGAGAACTCATTATCTCGAGGAGGGCACCAAGTCATTCATGAGGAATCCACCCCCATGACCCAAGCACCTCCTATCAGGTCCCATCCCCAACATTGGGTATCACATTTCAACATGAGATTTGGAGGGGACAAACATCCAAACCATATCAGCAAGTCTGGGGAGGATAAGAGCTTTATCTCCCAGGCCTGGCAAGCCAGGGGTTTCTTGCAGAGGACTGCAAAGAGGGGAGGAAAAGGGAGGAAGATAGCCAACCAGAGGGAAGCTGCCAGTGGGAGGAAGGCATTTGATACCTGTCTGGGATGGGGTATGGGAAACTGAAGGGGGGGTGGGGGAGTCTGGAGGTAAATGTCTTCACATTTGCAAAGAGACCAATATTATACTTTGTTCCTGTGTTTCATTTATAAAATATTTTGATTTTTCTAAAGAATTACAAACAATTCCAAAAGGAACAATACAGAAAGAAGAACACCTCCCTTTACTCCCCACCATAAGTTCATCTGCCAGTAGCAGCCACTGTTAATAGTTTGGTAATCACTGTTCTTTTGTTTTGTTTGCCTTTTTGAGGGAGAAGTGTTGTTCCTCCTGCTCCCAGCTTACACTTGTTTTCAACTTCCAGACTCCATAGAGTGCAAATAATAATAGAGATCAAGGACTCACATCCTATGCAGTGTTCCTACCAGACAACGGGCCCCTTAAGGTGCAGGCAAGAGCCTCAGTCCTCATGGTTATTGTCATGGGACCTGGTGCTTTGGGGTCCTGTTCAGCTGCTCTGCTTCCCACATTTCCCTCTACAACCTCAGGTCCCTTTCCAGAGCAAAGAGGCAGGTTTGCTAGGATTTCTCAACCATTTCTTTCCCTGCCATGGGTCACCCAAGATGCACTAAGATCGTCTCTACAGTTTCCATTTTTCGAAATGCAAATGTCAGAGACATTGCTCTGTTTTCATTCAAACTGAAATAATATACCAACTTGTTTAATCTGAGAGAGCCAAAAACGAAATGCCTGTTTGCCCAAAATCCAAATAAGGAAGCTCAAAAAGCCAGACGATGTTCTGCATGTCACTCCTCTGAGAAACAGGCAGATAAAATGGAAATAGTTTGAATTGAGGAATTAGTTCCCAAAGCAATTCCAAGATCAAGCTGCAGTCTTACTTCTAGTCCCTGACACTCCACCATCTACAGGACCACATGAGACATTCAAACATTAATAAGAAGAAAAACTTCCAGGGACTGCCAGGCTCTGGCCTACTGGAGTCCATGATACTTTTGTGTCATGCAGGCAGAGTTTGGTAAGTAGACACATTCGTTTATTGAATTCATTGAACATTGCTAAGCAATTCGTTGAACATTGTTAAACATTCATTTATTGAATTCATTGAACAGTGCTAAGCACTCTGCAGGATCCCACATAAATAAAATAGTCCAGATGTTTGGTTTGGAGGACACACTCTACATGTTAAAACACACCCAATTAACCATCGTGCAGAGCAAAAAAATGGCAAAGAGGTAGAGTACAAGAGACATTCCAAGTGGAGGAGCTACATGCAGGTATTGCAGCTTCCAAGGGGTTATATGGAGGCCTTGGAGGAAGAGGAGCATTTGCATTGAATCGAGGATGGGTGATAATTTGGTAGGTGGATATTGGGATTGCCTGGGATGGTGGGGACAGACATTTTAGGAGGGAGAAGTCAGAAGCAAAGATGAACGGGCTTAAATTATAGCTCTGTGCAACATGGTGGGACTTCACACACACAATGTTGAGTGAAAGATGCCAGTTGCTGAAGAGGATCTATTGATTGTAGGATTCCATTTTATAAAGTTTTAAAGAAGACAAACTGCACTGTAGTGATTAGAGACTCACATTTAGCAGTAAAAGGGTTAAAGAGAAGCAAGGCATCTTTACCATAAAGACGAGGCAGAAGGAGGAGGAATACTGGGAGGTGTCTCTTGACCTGGGTGGTGATTATACAGGTATTTGATCTCCAATAATTCATGAAGCTTTGTAGACCTGTTCTATGTACTTTTATATGTTTATGTCTTGTACTGGCCCACAGCTACCTCTTCCTTCCACAATCTGTCAAAGGGGAAACAATTCTTGTGTCTCATATCTCCTTGAAGGGGTTTGTCATCTTTGGAATTTAGTTCACTTGGGTTTCTTTGTGATCTTAGCTCTCTAATGGGTTCAAGAAAATTTATGATTTTGTAGATTATCTAGATTTTCACATGACTAGAGTAGGAATGTTGTTCTCTTGTGGCTTTCTACATCCTAAGAGGAATTTTGATATCTCATAACAAAAAAATATTTTTTTATAAAGAAGAGAAAAAAAGCAATATTGGCCAGAAAGAATAAGGCTAGACAAGAGGGTGTCTGAAGGATTGTCAGGGAAGTCAGGTTAAGGGCTGAGCTGGAAGGAGGAGGACTTAGAATGTCAGGCAGGGTTGTCAGAATGTGGTTTAGTTTGGAAGGCAATGGGGAACAGCTATAAGGTTGTCAGCAGGAGCAGAGAGAGACTGGGTCACAAGGCTATCCGCTCAGGGGCCAGGACAAGGGTCCAGCAGAGCCTACACAAAAGCCTGGTCAGTGGAAGGCAGGAGAAACGGGAGAGAAAGGGATGGATATGAGCAGCAAGGAGGGCTAAGGGCCTCAGTGGCGAGAATCCCTGTTGGTGGGTCCTGGGCAGGGAGAATGCTGAGATAGCGTCAGGGAAGAGGTGGTGGTTGGGGTTTTCCTACCACCACATTTGGTGCCAGAATAAGGACATCTGTAGACAGTTCTAACTGAAAGAAAATTAGAACTCCCTCCCAGAGCTTCAGGGGATTAATTAAGAAAGCATGGAAGGGCTCGGTAACATGTAACAGGTAATGTTCTGTCTGGAAGGTGAGAAGCCTATGCTGCATTCAGGACTTGGGTATAATCAGTTTGTTCCTGGCATTCGTATTTAATGTCCTGTCTCTGCTGCTTTGTAACGAATTAGCATTGCTAAGTTGACTCTCACACCTACTGTCTGTTGTTAGCTATCTTTCCCTTCATTTATTATCTTTTTATGTCCCTGGTGTAAACCATGAGTTAGGATCCCCAGGGATCTTTTGCTTGGTGTCAGTCGTCAATATATAATGTTTTATTTTGGTAGATTCTACTCACATTTCTCCACTCATGCTGGAGTACAAACTGAAGAGCTTGTCCTTTACATTTGACATTCAGCTTTGGAATTTGGAAGAACAGGCCTGTGTTATTGTAACAAATAGCATTGTTGACTCTGTGACTTTAGTGATGCTCAACCCTAATCCTAGGTGTCACTCTTTTTATATTTGATTTTTTTGAATATTTAATGCATTAAAATTTATGTCAGAATCTCAGCCAAAACAATGGGGGAAAGTTCCACTTTGTTTCTAGAACTACACATAATTAAATTCTTATATATACATATATAAATTTATAATTAATAAATTCTTAAATCATAATTACATTCTTAAATATATATATATTTAAAAAGTCAGTTTGTTGGTAGGGGAGTTCTTTATATTCTAATTGTCTGGGTTTAATATGCAAGCTGTGCTCTACTGCCCATTTGGAGAGCACTGAAGAACATTCCTTATTGTGCTCTGAGGTCTCCTGGGGAGCTGGTTTAGGGGATGAAAGATGGTTCTGCCATCCTTATGGTGGGTCTCAGGGAGGCATTGGCCAGCATAAGTTATATATTAAGATGAAATGGATTCCTACAGAGAGCTGCGTCACTAGGGTAGAGGTAGGGAGCAAAAAACATGCTGTGTGTATGGGTTTGTTGGTAAAGTTTGAATACTTAGGGTCAGCTATATCCTGGGCTGTCTCTCCCTTAACCCCCCCATGCAGATGCTAGGGAATGGAACAGTGCCCCAGAAACTCTGGACACACAATTTCTCTGGATGTTTTATTCTAATCTTCCTTTTCAACACAGTGAGTATAGTGTCTCCATAAAATGAAGGAGACATCCCTAAGTCTGCTTTTGACATTTCAAATGAACAGGCAATGAGAAGTTGTTAGTTCTGTCGCTGCCTATGGAAACTGGCAGTACTTACTTTATCTTACCATTGACTTTACTTTTCCTTTACTAGTCCTTATTATTAACTTCTTCATCAGACAGCTGAGCAAAATAAAGATTTTAATATTTTTTTTAGAGATGGGTCTTGCTATGTTGCCCAGGTTGGTCTCAAACTCTTGGGCTCAAGCAATCCTCTTGCCTCAGCCTCCCAAGTAGCTGGGATTACAGGTGCACATCACCTCACCAGGCAGGTTCCAAGATATTTCTGATGGATGAGATATATACAGTAATTAGTATAAAGAGCATTGATCTTAAATATTCAGCTCAGTGAGTTTTTTGCAAGGGTGAAAATAGACAAAGACCACCCAAATGAAAATAAGAGGTTATTTATTCAGAACTTGCTATAGCAAGGGAATCAGCGTCATCACTTCTCATTGGCAGGGACTCAAAGGCAAGCAGGAGTGGGAAAACTTTATGGCAGAAAAATGGGAAGACTTCAGGTGTGCCCTGATTGGAGGCTGATAGCATGGGGGAAGCTGGAGGTGGGCTAACAACAAGGGGGGGGGGGCATCCTATGTGATTGTTAGGGCATCATATTTGTTTTTTTCTGTTTGGTTCTGAGTTGGAAAAGTAGGGCCCAAATGTAGGGAAGCTGGCAGTCATTGACCAAGTCCTGACCTGTGCCAATTGCTTCAGAGACTGTGATTTGGCTTTCTGGGCTTCTTATGTGAGTCTGAATTCTATTGTCATATATGGTCTGGTCATTGTTCATTTGCATATTTAGTCTCATATGTACATATTTGCATATTTAGTCATCTACACATATATACATATATTTGCATATTGAGTCATACATACATATATATATGTATGTATCACCATTACCCAGGGCAAAGTGAATCTTGACTTGTGTGTTTGAAATTATATCTTTGATGTTTTTGAGCACACATAGTACAGAAAAATGCTAGAGCCACTTTCTATGAACAGAAGGCTCCCATTGCATTTAGGGAGGTGATGGTTTAAAGTGTCAAGATAATTAATACAAGGAGTTATAACCAGGCAAAAGTGTTCCTCAGATATTCATGCAAGTTGCAACATTTTCTTCCTTATTTTTAAGTTGCTTTGATCTGAGGGAAAAAGAGAATGTGAAAAGCGCAGGATAAGAAGTGAGTGCTAGCAGGATCATGGAATCTGGGTAGCAGAGTACTGGCAAAGAGCAGGCCTGGAGGCGCTGTGTGGAGCTCAGGAAAGGGAGTGTTGTGTACTAGAGGGAGGAAAGGGAGGAGTAACTGATGAAGGAGTGTGGGGTGGGAGACTTCCAACAGACAGCCAAAGACTTGGCTGCCATCACACTTTGCTCCTTCAGACTGCCTCTCTCCTGCTCTCATAGAAATATAATTCTTAGCTAAGCACTTGGCTACCCAGAAAAAAAAAAGAGATTACATTTCCCAGCCTCCTCTACAGTTGGGTGTGATCAGATGACTATTTCCGAACCAATGGGATGTGAGTAGAAGTGATGTGTACAACTTCCAGGTTGTTCTCATACCAGATACAGGAGTGCCCTCTCCTTCTCCTTTCCTATCGGAATGTGGCCATGATGGTCATGAGTTATCTTGGACCATTTAGATGAGGGCAATGCCCTAGGCACAGAGGAGAAACAAGATTGAAGGAGTCTGGGTCCCTTCACCATAAAGCCATTATACTTCCCCAAGACTATTTATGTCCAGGTTGTTACCTGAGAGAGAAGCAACTTCCATCTTGTCTGAGTCATTGAAATTGTGAGTCTTCTTACACTATGTCACCTGTGTCTATGAGGTTTCCGTTCTCCATTCATCTGTTTATCTGCTCTGTTGTATGTAATAGAACTTGGTGCTCTGCTTCCCAACATTTTCCTTGGAATATGCCTGGAGACAAGTCTGCTGGTCTTATCCCCGAGGCATCTACAGGGAGTGGCCAAAGGGGAAAAGCAAAGCAATAAACAGTGAGTGGCATGTGTGTCTTTTGGCTCTGGCTCCATAGCATCCACTAGCAAGCTGTTACCACACTTGAACCTCAGACTTCCGCATGCTGGGAGCCAGTCTCCTCAGAGGCTTATAGTCCAAGAATGCCATGAGGCTGCTTGGGGGGGTTCATTGTCATTCTTTCTTGCACACAGCTTGACAGCTTTGAGGCTCAGGACAACATTTTTTGGTCCTGAATGGATGCATCTGTGCTAAGCATCATGGTTCTGCTCCAAGTCCTGTTTCTGCTCATCAGCTGTGTTGTTAATAATGTTGGTTTCTTTTTTTCTTTCTTTCTTTCTTTTTTTGTTTTGATCTCTCAGCAATTCACCCCCAGGACAATTCACTCCAGGACACCTGGTGAGCCCTAAGGAGACCTAGCTCTTAGCATGCTTAGCACTTGTAAAACAAGGACTACTGACTTTCCTTGCCTATTGCACAATTAAATTAACATTCATAAAACTTCCTGAGATGTTCCGGACACAAGCCATTACCTACAACATTTTGCTGTATTCCAGAGGGCCCTTTCTATTGCTAGCTGCTGGAGTTCCATAATTCCTTGCCCTGGTTTGTGCAGAGGGTGGCCAAACAGTGGTCTCTGTACTGTTTCCTCTGGCCTGATTAATTGTTGCCAGACTTGCTGTTCTCAAGGCTAGAAATCATGCCAGCTGAATCGGCTTTGTGTTCAGGACATTTGCCTTAAATGACACCAAATCCATTCTTGACCCTAATTATATAAAATATGCTTCAATAATTTCCCACTTGGTGAATTAAAATAATGCCAGTACTGCTGCTTGAACCTCTCCTCCTCACTATAACTTGATTAAGAAGCATTCAACGATCTTGAAACATGTCATAAATTTCTTCCCATGCTATTATTCTTGGGGTCCCCCAAAGAGCTGCCAGGAGCCAAGCCCAGTGCCAGGACTCTACTGAAAGGGACTGAGATGGATTGTGGGCTGAATTTTAAACTTAGGATATTTCCAGCAACAGACTCTGGGCTTCTTTTTGACGCCCTCCCCACCTTTCATGCACAAACATACACTATTTGGTTACTAATAATTCTTGTTCCTAACTTCTCCCCATATAACTCATTTCCACACATGCATTCTTTAATATCTGACATCTGTCAAAGTTTTGCCAAAAAGCTGCATTGGTGCTCCAGCATCTGAGTGGCCAGGGTTTTTTGTTTTTGACTGCATTCCAGATGGATGCTTCCGGCCTCATTGTTTACCATGAGACACACACAGCTCTTGCTTCCTCTCATTCTTCTTTGGGCACCAGGTTGCTCTGTGCTTCAGTGGCTACGGAAATCTCTCCTCTAAACACATCCTGTCAAACACAAAGACCCAAACCATCCAAAACTAGCAGCCTGACTTGGGGTTGTTATGCTTGTTTCTTACTGCCCAAGTGAATCAGATTTTACACATTCTAGCAGCATGTGTCCTGTTAACCAAGAGGGGAGGACATAATATTCTGTCATTAGGATAAAAATGTCCTGATTGTACTTCACATCTCTGATGGGATGCCACACCATCATACATGTCGAGTTCTTTAAGGTTTTCAAATGAGTGTCTCTAATGCTAGTCCAGTTGCTGAGATGAAAACTGGCTTGACAATGATCCTCCTTGATCAACACATTTGTTCCAGCTCTATTGCCAAAGCCTCATATTCATTTATCTTCTCTGCATAAGGCCAAGAGGTTCAACCTTCCCCTTTATCTCACTCTGGGATGAGGCTTGGGCAGCCAGTGAAGGGTATCTCCCCAGGAAGGTTTTGTTTCTTTGCTTCTTAAAAAGCACCAGAGGGTCTCTTCATCCAGGGAAGACTCAGGAACCCCTAAACTCGTCATTACACTCCAAGTACAGAAAGGGGCAAGAAATTTCTCTCTTTCAACAGGGTTCTTTTTATAGACTTCTACAGTGATGTGTCCTCTCCAAGTGAATTGGATTGGTCCTGGGTTTCAGACTAAATATCCATCATAAAATTTGCCTAGCCGTCCACCAGTTTACCCATAGCACACTGCACGTGCTCTCTAGGTAACCACGGCCAGAACCTCAGCTGCTGCCGCCTGGGGGTCATTCTCCACTGGGTCTCTTCTGAATAAATAGTGTTATCCCCCTGAGACCCACATCTTCCTGTTGCTCCCTCACAATGAATCCTCAATTCAGCATACAAATGTTGAATGCATACTCTATGCCAGATGAAGCAGGCAGAAAGTTCTTAACAATGTTTTAGTCTTGCATCTCTGAAAATTCCAGGACAGCTCTGGACTCCCTTTGTAGAAAAATACATGTGCTATACATATATATTCTTTTAGGCAATCTCCTGAGGCCAGCCCAACAACTCTAGGTTAACCCTCTGAATGCAAAGAAACTGCATAAGACTTAGACACATGTAGGGCTGAGATGTAGCTCTGTTGTTTACCAACAGTAGGACCTTGGAGAAATCCCCTCCAACTCTCTGAATCTCAGTTGCTTCAACTATAAAAAGGGACTCTGGTAGTACTTGCCTTAGCCTCCTGGCATTTAGTGAGGTTTTAGTGAGAGAATGGATCTAAAGGCAGATGATTGTTATTACACCTGAGCACTTACCACACATGTGAATTGACCAGGATTTCAAAATCTCACCTCTTGGAAAGGAGGGAGGTGAAGATTTGTGATTGCCTATGTTCTGCAGATGAAAATTCCAAGGTGGACTAAATGACAGGCTTTGACAAATTGAATCTAAATCTTATTATAACGCAGGGACAAGAAGGTGACCAAATATTAGGAACTATGGAGGTTTGCAGATCTAGTTCAGCCTCTGATTCCACCTTAGAGAGCTCCTCATCTGCCAACGTGCTGAAGACCTATTAATAGCTTGGCCCCATCCTGGAATCGTTTCTGTTGGTTGATGTCTCTCTGAGGATTGAGAGGCTCGCATGAGGAAATTGATTCAGGTGAAAGTTCAATACAGCTATGATTTATTTGGCCCAGAACTAATCAAGAGCGAAGTTTCTTGGGGGTATTAAAAGGGATCCCTTTCACCCGCAGTGCTTTAATAGCAGTTCTCCAGGGTTTTGGCCCCAACTTCCACTCTCCCAAGATGATTTTAGGTTGGGAGTTTTGGTGGCACCACAAGAAATATAACTGGTGCCCAATATCTGATCCTGCATTCTGTTGACAGACATTTTTGGTGAAGGATCCAAGCCTCAGCTTCCATTTGCCTTTGATGGTTTTGTTGACACTTGAACCTGGAGTGGGTGTTCCACCAGTAGGCGGGGAAGTAGGAAGACCTGAACTGTTTCTGTTCAAAATATGAACAGAACTGGACAAAATCTGTTCTCAAAAGGTTCCTAGAAGCTTTAAAAAACAACATTTGATTGTGTCTTCTTATAAAAGTAAAGCATGACAGCTTGTTGTACAAAAGGTACATCAGCAGTCCTTTGTGCCAAAAGTTTGAACATCACAAAAGTTTAGGAAGCCAGGGAGGGAGGAAGAAAGAAAGGAAGTAATGAAGGCCAAGAAAAAATCAAAACCAATGAAAAGTCAATGTCAGCAGTTCCCAAATGAGCAAAAGCCAGATCTGTAGCTAATGACCAGAGCAGGAACATGGTCTAGGAGCCACATATCCATTTATATGGGCCTGAGAATCCTCTTTACAGGACCATTTCATGGATATATTTGAGGACACTGATTGCTACCCCTCCTCTTAGTTAAGATTTTTCTGGGTGGAAACATATTGCATTAATCCTCATTTTTTATGAGAAAGGAAATAACATTGGGCTGTTTGAAGAGTCACTAAGGATACTGTCTAACATTAAACATTCAATTGTATAAAAATAGATAATACCAAGGAACACTTATAATGGGCTTTATAGCAAACCTCAGACTTGGGTAGACTTTCATTTTTTTGATCCTCACAACAGCTCTGTAAAGCAGATAAAACAGACAGCTTTTATTAATCTCATTACGGAATGAAACAAGGCTCTGCAGGGTGTCCAAGACTACAGTCTGTCCTGTGTCAGCTTTGTGGTTCTCTTCAAGCCATCAGACCACAGCAAGAGAGAAGGAAGAAGTTCTGTGCCAGTAGCTAAGGGGAAGAGGATGGGAGTTGGAGACATTCGCCCCTAGAAGGTCCTGAATCAAGGGTCAGAAACACCCTTCATACAATTCAGGGCTGCATTGGTCTTATGATCTGAGGGGCAAGTACAAAATGAGGCTGAGAAGGGATGGTTGAGATGGCAAGGAGGTCACTGGAGTGATCTTCAGAGATAACCAAGGAATGTGTGAAGCCCACATCCTGTTGTGGTAGGACTTTAGTGAAGGGCCCAAGACTCTGCTTCCATTTGCCTTTGATGGTTTGTCGATACTCAAATTGGGGCTGGTAATCTACTAATGGGTAGGGAGAACCTCAAATCCAGGTTTTTCTGGATTCTTTAGTCTAGTGCTTTCTCCACTTCAGTAAATGGTTTGCGTAGGAAACCAAAAATGTGTGTGCATCGTAACAACTCATTTCTGGCAGCAAAGTGAAAACCGTGAATCAGCTAGAATAAAGTCTTGTATGAAGAATATGATTGTAATCACACAGATGTGCCCAAAATGATGGAAAGGGGCCAGAAATGCTGGAAAGTGTCTGCATCATGTGCCTGAGCCACCTAGGGATGGAGAATCTCTGGTTGGGGGAATGCTTCATTTCTTCTGTGAGGAGGTAAGTGGGGGTAACTCCCCTGCCTGCTAGATCCATGACTCAGCTTTCATAGCTTTCTTTTCAATTAGCCAAGGTTTCCAAGTGTATTCCCCAGAGCATGAGTTCTTTAGAACTTTAACAGGAGTTATGTGAAGGAAGGCTACAGGGCCAAGCATGGTGGTAGGTTAAACACAAATTCAGCAAGCTTTTCACCATGGATCATTCAGACCCTTTAATATGCCAGGGTGTGCTGTGCAGTTCCAGGAGGGGCATTCAGGATGCAGCTGTTCCCAGATTTATTTGGCCATGGGACCCTTGCCACATGAGCATCTTGGGAGAAGGGTGTTCTGTAGAACAATTTGTCTATAGATGATTCAGATCTTCTCATATTACATTCATATGAGCAAAGAAAATGTAGCTCCTTCATTTTTCCCAAATTGGTCTAATCTTCCTCATCAGAGCCCACCCTGTAATGGGGGAGGGGCTTGGCGGGGGTAGGAGTAACTCTATTTGGTTAGGTCCAATGTGCTTGATTAGATCCAGTCATTTAAACGGTCTTTCTAGATCTTTTCAGGACAATGCTCCACTTGACCTCTGCTTCTCTAAGGTGACATGTAAGTATAAGGGAGATGGCTATTTTTGCCATGACCCTATGATGTTAGAGGGAAGTTGGGGTTCTTAGGTAGATGTGAGGTCTATCAGTTCCTTGCTAGTCTCTGCTGTGGAACAGCTGGCTGGGATTGCTGCATGGGTGGTGACCACGGGTCTAGGTGCCCTCCTGGTGTTCCTGCTGTCTTCTGCTGCTGGTGTAACTCACAGACTGGCCTCTCTCAGGCTGACTTGGTCCACCATGGCTTCTGCTGGCACTACAGACCCTTCTGAGTTTCTGCCCCCATATCCTCTGCTCTGGGGCCACACTACCTCTCACCAAGGTCCCTTGGCAGATCCAATGTCTCTCAATTCAGTTTCCTTGTCCCCTAAGAGGGCACATGGGGACAGTGAGGGGTATCTTTCACATAACATAGGAGCCAAATGCCCTCCACTAGATTATGCTGTGCCCCTGAGTTTTCTCTGATGTGGCTGCACATGGAGGGTTCTTATGAGAGCTTACAGGGTAATCCCCTCCCAGGAATTATTAGTTCCAGAAGTTTTTTGGCCAATTCATAGACAATCGTGCCATCTGCAAACAAAGACCATTTTATTTCTTCCTAATCTGTATACCTTTATTTCCTTTTCTTATCTTATTGCATTAGCTAAGACTTCCAGTACAATGTTGAAAAGAAGTGGTAAGAGGGAACATTCTTGCCATGTTCCTGGTCTTGGTGACAAAGTTTCAGGTTTCCCCATTAAGTATGATATTAGATGTTTTTTCCTAAAAATTTCCAAGTGTATTTTTATATTTAATTTGCTTAAAGCAGAATCTAATCAAAGTTGCCCTGCAATTGGTATTAAAATATGTATTTTTATTTAAGGAGTATTAAGTAAAGTACTCAATTAATTGGTGTCAAATTAATGTTTCAAAAAGACACTGATGAAATAAATGTCTTTTTACAGCTCATTTACTCTAACCATAATCCTATCAAAATTAACCTGAAATTCTTAGTTTTTATTTTTTTAATGTGGTAAAGTTATTTATATTGAATATGATAAAAGGATATTATCTAACACATATTTAGTGTACATCTATTTTTTTTTAAAATAGCTTTATTGATATAATTCACCCTTTTAAAGTGTGTAATTCAGTGGTTTTTACTATGTTCACAGAATTGTGCAGCCATCACTGCTATTCAATTTAAGAATATTTTCAACACACCCACAAAAAGAATCCTATACCCATTAGCAGTCACTCCACATTTCCTCCTTACATCAACCTCTGTCAACTACTTATCTACTTTTTGTCTCTATGGATTTACCTATTTTGGACATTTCATATAAATGGAATTATACAATATATAATCTTTTGTGCCTGGTTTCTTTCACTTTGTGTAATGTTTTCAGGATTTGTCTATGTTGTATGTACTGGTATTTCACTCCTCTATGGCTAAATAATATTCCATTGTCTGGATAAATCACATTTTGTGTATTCATTTACTAGCTGATGGACATTTGACTAGGGTTGTTTCCACTTTCTGGCTATTATGAATAATGTGGCTATGAACATTCATATACTTTTTTTAGTGTATATTTTCAGTTCTCTTGAGTGTATACTTAGGAATAGAATTTCTAAGTCATATGGTAATTGTACATTTAACATTTTGAGGAAATGTCAAGCTGTTTTCCAAAGTGGCATTATTGTATAATAATAATTATTATTATGATGATTTTTGAGACACTCTGTTACCAGGCTGGAGTGCAGTGGTGTGGTCACAACTCACTGTAGCCTCCACCTCCCTGGGCTCAGGTGATCCTCCCACTTCAGCCTCCTGAGTAGCTGGGACTATAGGCATGCACCACTGTGCTCAGCTAATTTTTTTTTTTTTTAGGGGTGCAGTTTTGCCATGTTGCCCAGGCTGGTCTCAAACTCCTAGGCCTAAGTGATTTACCCACCTTGGTCTTCCAAAATGTTGGGATTACAGGCGTGAGCCACCACACCTGGCCTTTATCATTCTTTATTGAAGTAAGTATGTAGGGTCTATTTAAGAGACAGCAATTGGTTTTACTGCTGTCCAAATATTTGCTAGCTTTGCCAATATGACTGAAATTTCCCCAATCTTACTGCTTAAAGCTAAGACATTGAATGCCTTATGTTAAAAATATACTCCTTTAATAGAAATAAAATATGGAGCCAATTCCAGTTAGAAGATGTTTATCCACCTGGCCTGGGTGAATGGAACATCGATCAGGTAAATTTTTTTATTTTTTATTTTTATTTATTTATTTATTTTTGAGATGGGGTGTTGCTATGTTGCCCAGGCTGGTCTTGAATTCCTGGGCTCAAGCAATCCTCCCACCTCAGCCTCTCAAAGTGGTGGGATTACAGGAGTGAGCCACCGTGCCTGGCCTGGTCAGGTAAATTTTGAAAGGAAGGATTGGTCAGGAAAGGTCCAGGAAGCCCAGTCTTGCTGGAGAAGGGCTGGCGTGGGGATAGATGAGAGTGAAGGAGGGGAGGAGGAACAATCTGGAGGAAAGAGTTCTGAAGAAAACTATGCAGGAGTGCATAGGGCATATGTTACAGTTTTGCTCAGAATTGGTATTCCTTTTTTGTTATTCTAAGGCTGAAATTAGAGTTAAACACTTATCAACATAAAGTCAGTCCTAATTAGATTTACCTTTTGAAAAGAAGTAAATCCAGTGGCCTGGTGGCAAATGTTTAAAAACTGGCTCTCTAGAGGGAAAAAGCCCTATTTGCAGGATTTGCTCATTTCTGTGGTGTAACTACACTCACCCTGCCCAATTTCATGCTACCAAAGTGATGCTATTGAACGTGTTGTTGGGAAGAGATATGCATAATTGACTATCTTGAGCTGGTAAGAGCTGGCTCTAACACACCACTGATTGAAGTGAGGGATTAAACCAACAGATAGAATCAGGGTGTGGCAGCTTATGAGAAATTGGAACTAGCTAGATTAGCGGGTATGAGAAGAGGAGGCAGTATGAAAGTAGGCCAGTCCCAGATGAGAAGAGTAACTTGGCATAGAAAGGCCACGTTCTGCAGGTTGAATCTTGGTGCAGCTCTGAGTTTCTCTTGTACAACGCAAATATCCTTCAGAAACACAGAGACCTACTCAAAAGGCTGCTGCCACCGTTCTGTTGCACTTTGATAATGGTGCAGTCATTCAGGCCAAAGTGTTTTCTGCTGCTATGAATCACCTGATGAGGCTTGTGTGGACTGACTTGGCCTCCCAGAGGCTGAAATGAAATCAAAGAGACAGGATAAATGGAAGCTTTTCCTTCCCTTTGGTGTAAGGCTATGTGGTGTGAGCATATTTTCTGTTGGGAATTAGTAGCTTAGAGAAGAAGGCTCAAGCAAATCTGGACCAGGTGTTCACTCCATTTAGTCTTAGAGCCAAGAAAAACCATTTTCTAGGCACTGGAAAGAAGTAAACGGAGAATGCCAATTAATGATCATCTTTCAAATTCTTTCTTCTCATCCAATGGACTGGGTTTTGTCTGGCCTTCCAGGCTCCACTAGGCAATTGAACCTCATTTCTGCAGAGAATTTTCTGATGATGATGAGTCAAGACACCCAGTGGGGAGTTTTAAAGATAGATGACTTCCTCTATGAAATCAAAGCTTTACCTGCAGCAGGATCTATAGAAAGCTAACACAGGCAGTAGAAAAGGAGAAATTCAGTTACTCAATTGGGAGGTGCAAGCAGAAGGCCATGGATGTCAAATCACCAGGCTGATGAATTTTTCACAGAATCTAGTGTTTTGGCAGAATTGTCCTGAGTGACTGGTTGCTTAGGCGATGTGCAGACAGCTTTTTTCTAACTCAATGGAATGCCAAGTATCTTTTTTCTTTACCTGCTAGACCCTCAGGGAAAGAAATCTGTATATTTTAAGAAGGCGCATGTATTTCCTTTGTGAGCAAAATGAAACCGAGGAGATAATCTTAATAAATTATGATTGTTCTCTTATCCTGATGAGGAGAAAAGAAAGGTTGATTCTCCTTCTAGAGCAGTCTCTTGATCTATCCAATCTATTAAAGAATAATTGAACCAACAACAATCATTTCCATGAAGTATCTACTAATTACGCAGCTCTATAAACAGTCTCTGCGTTCAGACATGCCAATTGCTAAAAATGGATCATTACATCACTAAGGGTGTCGTTAGAGCTATAACTACTCCCAGATTCAGAAGATCTAAGCCTGAAAAATGAGTGCTGATGTTTTATTTTCTCTTTCTTGATTGTGCCCCAAATTTCACCGCATGTATTCTGAAACCTATGCTTTACTCCAAATTCTAGTCTTTGTATTAAGATATCTCAAAATACACCATTTTCTTTAAACGATTCACACATTTTTTAACCTATTCAGCAAACTCCAAGAGAGCTGATAGAAAAGGTACCATGAACCAAGCCTGATATAGTCAATTCCAGCCTCCATTTTTATCTTTCAAATGAGGGAGTTGGATTATGTATGAATTAGGATTAGGCTCAATCGTAACAGAACCAAAATAACAGTGACTTAAATTAAGCCTAGGGTTATTTCCCTCTCACATAAGTGAAGCCTGGTGGTAAACCATGCAGGGCTGGTACAGTTACTCCATGATCATCAAGGACCCAAGCTCCCTCTATCTTGTTGCTCTGCCATCCTCCAAACATGGCTTCCACTTCCTGGTCTAAGATGGTCACTCTAGCTCAAGCCATGAAGCCAACATTTCTGCTTTTAGTGAAAAAGGGCATGTCTCCTCTCTGAAAAGATACCATCAGAGTCACACTCAACACCTTCACTTATAATCCACTGGATAGCTGCCAGAGAATCTGGAAATTGAGATATATACTCTGAGATGCTATTGATCAGCTAAAAATTGAGGATTCAGTTACCATGGAGGAAAGGGAGTATAGACATTGGGAGGAGCTAGCTGTTACTACCACAGATTAAAGCAGTGATTTTTAAATTGTGTTCTCAAAATCCTAGGGTTTCAGTATGTTGTACAGGGGCTACTGTAGGTTTGGGATGGGGGACATGTGGACAAATTTACATTGGATTCCAGAACACTTCTCAAAATCTGGACACCTGGATCCCCCTTTTTGAAGTGCAATTGTGTTAGGACATTTCTGATGGGTGCAAGTGGTGTGGACTGAGAGCCACTGACAGCTGACTGGTGAGAACTCCCAGGGTATCAGAAGAAGGGATGCTTTAGTGGTACCTTGGGCTGGTCAATGGGAGATTGGATTCTGGAACAGAGTGCCAATTCTGAACAAGAACACATTAAGCTGGTGCTATGCCAGTGTTCAACATTGACATCATATGACACTGAGGGAAGAAATAAGTGACAACTGAGCCCTGAAATTAGACTAAGATTCTCTATTTTTTAAAGAGGATTGTGAGCCAACTAATAGTTAGAGCAGAGTTTCTCAACCTTGGTACTGTTGACATTCAGGGACGGATAATTCTTTCTGTGTATAACTGTAATGTGCATTGCAGGATCTGCCCGCCAGATGCCAACAGTATACCTCTAGCTGCAAAACTGAAAATGCCTCCAAACATTGCCAAATATTCCCTGAGGGCAAAATTGCTGATTTAAAATCCATATAATGCTGTCCACTTTTATACATTGCTAATGGGTACAACTGGACACCAATCCTTTCATAAATTAGATGGGCTACATATCAAAGACCTTAATATGTTCATGACCTTGACTTAATAATTCCACTTCTTAGACTCTGCCCCAAGAAAACAATTTGTAAAAGGCTTTCTGCCTGAACATGTGCATTCCAGTACTATTTTCAGTACAGAAAATTTGGAAACAATGGAAAAATGTTAAACATTAGGGAAACAGTTAAGTAAATTATGGCAGATCCATGTACCCACTGAAATGTGCTTGTGAGTCTATAATAACATGGGGAGAAACTTATGATATAGTAAGTCAGCAAACAAAAAACTATGCAGAGAAAAAGACAAGAAGGAAATTCACTAAAATGGCAGAGTCTGGGAGTGGGTTTGGAATGATTTTATTTTTCATCATTTCCAAATTAAGCTCCATATGAATGACTTTATACCAATACCAAACTATAAAACAAAACTTTAAAAAATATCTTATTTAAAGAAAATACCCTGGTGCACACTCCTTGTGAATGGTGTCTGTCCTGGAGAATCCACAGAGGTTTATAAGCATTCCCATAAGCTCAGGCTGTGGGGATATAGGCAGACACAGATCTTCCATCTTGCACAGAGTTGTCATGCTTTGTGCCAAGTGACCCTGACACCCTTGCCATAATCCGTTGAACCAGGAAATCCTGTTAGAGGTAAAAGCTCCAGTAGGCTGGGTAGAAGGAAGCCCAATCACCTATGACAAGTCTTGACCCAAGGCATTGTCAGATAGAAGCCTTTGATACTGGAGAGTGACAAACAGGATCGATCAGGAATTGTGCATGTAAAAAACTCCCTGAGGAAGCATCTCTGTCCACCCCTGAGAGATTAACAAGGACAACCAGCCCTTAAGCAACTGTGAATCTCCAAAGGTGAGAGGTATTATTGTGGTTCTCCACAAAGCCACAGAGAAGGCTTTCCTTGCTCCTTCACGCTCTTACAAAAAAATTCTACAATGCATAGCGATCTTGACAGAGTGTGACCCAGTGTCTACACAAAGCTTGTCTCTGTGTCAGTGTGTATAGGAGACATACAGGGCAGCTAGAACCCTTCTTCTTCTCCTCAATGGGCCCAAAGGACACGCCACAGATGAGTGGCATGGAAAACTTGTTAAAGTTCCAAATGCCAAGCTCCTCCACAGATAATCTCACTGGATAGTGGGGAGTGGGGCATTCAAGGATTTGTATTTAAGAGTTCCCAAGTAATTCTGTTGCATAATTTGGTTTTGGAACCATTGTTTTACTCACTACTGGAATAAGTGTACCCTCACTCTGACTCTGAAGTGACTCTGACTCTGACTCACTCGCTCTAACTCTGAAGTAATCCTTAACAATATGAGGTATCATCAAAAAATTAAATGTAGAGTTGTCATGTGATTCAGCAATTCCATTTCTAGGTACATACCTAAAAGAATTTAAAGCAGGGTCTCAAAGAGATACTTGTACACCCATAACAGCATTATTCACAATAGCCAAAATGTAGAAAGCAACTCAAGTGACTGTCAATGGATGAAGAGATAAATAAAATGTGGTATATACATACAATGGAATACTATTCAGCCTTAAAAAGATAGGAAATTTTGACACATGCTACAACATGGGTGAGCCCTGAGGACATTATGCTAAGTGAAATAAGCCAATCCAAAAGGGACAAATACCATATTATTACACTTTTATGAGGTACCTAGAATACACAAATTCACAGAGACAAAAAGTAGAATGATGGTTGCTGGGAACTGGAGGAGTGAAGAATGAAGAGTTATTTTTTAATGGGTATGGAGTATCAGTTGGGGAAGATAGAAAAGTTCTGGAGGTGGATGGTGGTAATGGTTATACAACAATATGAGTGTAAATACCACTGAACTCTACACTTGAAAATGATAAATTTTGTTTTATATGTATATTTTATGTTTTATATATATATCATGACAACTGTCACTTGGCACATAAAATATATATATAATGCTTTATATATCTCTCCCTCTATATATAAAAATACATATACGTCTTTTGACACACACACTTACACATTCAGCCACATACCATCAGCAACCACCAAAACAAATCATGAGATATTTTTTCTAGCAAGGAAATAAACTGCCCCAAAGAAATCATAGCCAATAAAATAACTTTTTTTGGGGTGCAAAACACTGTCAGAGATAAAAATCTTTAGGAAATAAAATTAGTACAAAACAAACATCATATCAGGGTCACTCATCATAAAATAAACAGAAAGAAACAGGAAATGGGAGACTAAAATTAATCTTCTATTTAAAGGAAAAAAATCATTCCCAAAAGTTTACAAACAAATCTTTCTGGATCTTTAAAAACATCTCTGAAATGTTGCAGTTTAAAGACCTTAGAATACCATCTCCATTCCCCACTCCCTGAAGTGTGCATTTACTTCCTCTCTTATAAACTTAATCTTTTTTGAATGTTCAAATAGATTTGGTGACTCTGGTGAGTGCCCAGCAGAAGATCCCTGTTTCAGCAGGGAAATACTTTAGGGTGGGCAGGACTTGCTATAAACAAGATGGAGACAGACAAGATGGGGAGCAGGGGAGACTGTGTAATATATGATGCTGCAAGTGGGAGGAGGCATTTGGCAGGAGATTTCACAAATATGAAAGTGGGCTATCAGGATGGTAAGCTGCTAGTCATTGTTTTCACAGACAGTGAGACCAAAAAAAGTCAGCTTTAAATACAGCATGAGTGATGTTTAAATGAGGTGAAAATTCAAAACAACAGTGGCTTTAAAAACACAGAAGTTTATGTTTTCTTCATGTAACAGAATCCAGAGGTAGGGAATGATGTGGCAACGGTGAAGTTGTCAGGAACTCGGCCTCCTTCTGTCCTTCTGTCTTGTTGTTCTGTCATTCTCACTTCGTGGGTCAATGTGACTATTTGACTATTTAAGCTTTGGCCATCAAGTTATATTCTGGCCCTGGGGAAAGAGGAGGAGTGAGGAGGCCCACTCTTTCCAGTAACAGAAGCTGTATATTGGCACTCCCATTTATATCCCAGTGGCCAGAACATAGTCTCATGGCCATACCTAACTACAAGAGAGGCTAGAAAACGTGGTCTTTATTCCAGGGAGCTGTTTACCCAGTTTAGATAGGGAAAACTAATATTGGGATAGAGGATTTGCAATCTTCGGCACTGGAAAGTTAGGTCAGAAGATAGGACTCCGAAAGTCTTTTTCAGTCCAAGTACTGTAAACCTTTTACATGAGACACTTCTAGATGCTCTGGCTGAATCGCTTCAGTTAATCCCTACAACTTCCCTGGGTTTATGGTCTCATTTCCACTTTACAAACAAAGCACTAAGATTCCAAGAATTTATGTAACTGAATCCAAAGCAGCTCCATAAAGTGTGCTATTGGCCTCTAAGTTCTTTAGGATCAGCCCTGTGTGTTCCCAAAGCCCCTTTCCCTGTGGCACCAAGAGGTGGTAAGCAGAGTCTGGCCAGGGGACAGCTGCATTGGTCTATTGTAGGTCTCTCAGCTGTAGGCATGGTCACCTCTAAACACATATGTCTTCTTGACTCCACACTCTGCCATGGAGGAGGCCAGGAGCCTGTTGCATGGAAACTATGTACATCATCTCAGCTCTCCTTTTACCTGGGTGTCTTGAAAACCAAGGCTGGGCTGCTGGCTTACTTGGGTTTTGAGCTGATGTTAGCATTCTGGAGTGGACTTACTCATTCTCGGTTTGACTGCTGCACTCTCTTTTGAGAACATGCTTGTGCTAAAAGGTGTGTGTGTGTGTGTGTGTGTGTGTGTGTGTGTGAGAGAGAGAGAGAGAGAGAGAGAGAGAGAGAGAGAGAGAGATGTTTATTGCAGGCCTCAGAGGACCAAAGAGGAAAAGGGGCATCAGCCACAGAGCTGGGTCCTGTCCAACCCCACACACCTGCTCCCCTGCCATGCCTGGCCCCCCAGTCTGAGACATCTGTTGTCAGGAGATAATACCTGAAACCAACAAAGCTGAGAAGAAGTCTCCTTTTACTGGCTCTATTCTCTCTTGACAGATTATATGGGTTCTTTTCATATTTTCAAAGAACCTTCTTGGGGGATTAGAAAATTTAATGTTTAAATCACTGAGGATGAGAAATAAGCCAAGAAGAGCATTTTTAAAAAGGGACAGGTGGCCTGATTTTGTTCCTGCCTGGGAGCTGCTCACTCCACCCCAACACTCAGAGGGGAAGGTTTCTCCTTAGGGAGCCGGCTGAGAGCAGCCTGGAAGTTCTGAAAACACAGATGTCTCTGTGTTGCTGTGGAAAGACCATAGAGGCTTCTTAATTCCACAGCAAAGTCATTCCATGGGAGTTTGGGGCTGACTTCCTTAGAAGCACAGTTCCCGTGAGAGAGGACAGAATCTTGGTCACCTCTTCCTTTCACAGACCTCCTTTCTTCCCTGAACTACACCTCCACCGTCTTGCCTTTTGGCTGCTAAGTCAAATCCTTCTGAAAAACTCTTAATTTCTGTTTTTAAATATCATTTCAACAAAAAACATACAAGTAAACACTTGTTTGCTATAAAAAGTTTAGAAAATAGATAATTTTTAAAAGGAAACAAAAATTGCCTGTTTTTCTATTTCCCAGGGTTAATCGTGGCTAACTTTTAATTTATTTTTTAAGCACTATATATATGTATTATATATATACATATGTGTGTATATAAAGCTTTTTTTAAAAGGAGAAGTCAGCCGGGCGCGGTGGCTCATGCCTATAATCCTAGCACTTTAAGACGCTGAGGCGGCAGGATTGCCTGAGCTCAGGAGTTCGAGACAAGCCTGGGCAACAAGGTGAAACCCCATCTCTATTAAAATACAAAAGAAATTAGCCAGGCGTGGCAGCCTGTGCCTGTAGTCCCAGCTACTCAGGAGGCTGAGACAGGAGAATTGCTTGAACCCGGGAGGTGGAGGTTGCAGTGAGCCGAGATTGCGCCACTGCACTCCAGCCTGGGCGACAGAGCGAGACTGTCTCTACAGAAAAAAAAAAAGAAAAAAAGGAAAAGTCGAGTCTGGCTATTTTATAACCAATTTTGGCACTTTCTACGTTAATAAATATACATTTGAAATATTGTTCTTAATGGCTGAAGATATCCCATTGCATCACCATTTTTAAAAAAATCCCCTCTTATTGAGCGATAAGATTAATATGCTGCTCTAGTTTTTAAATGATTGTTAAAAACAAGATCTTATGGCACATTCTTGATTATTGCCTTAGAATAAACTCCTAGAAGTAGAATACTAGGCAAATGCTTTGCAAGTTTTTAGAAGTTTTTGATATATATGGTCAAATAACCTATAGAAAAGTTGTAATAACTTACACTCTTGTCTACTGTATCTGAGGGGATTCCCTACATTCTAGTTCATGGTGGACACTATGTTTTTCTTCAAATTTCTGGAAAGTCAATGATATGCTATAATCTTTTGGAACAGAACCACAATTATAGACCTGTCCTGTACAGAAAGCTTTTCTTCCACTACAACTCCATCTGAGAACTCAGAACCGAAGGCTGCCAAAAAAGGAGCCAAATTAGAACCAAATTCAGATATGTCCGTGTTCCAGGACATCCTTTCATTTCCATCAGCCTCTGAACACGCATCTGGCCAAACAACTGTCTGTTATTTGTGACCTAGGCTGGATTCAGTGCTGACCTAGATAGAGAAGACATTGTATTTCATTATCAGCTCTCTCAACCATCTGGTCCTAGCTAAACAGGTTACCCACACGGTTGGAAACTTCATCAGTCAACTAGCTTTCCTCTTGCCAGTTTTTTAATAAAAAATATTTCCTATCTTGCTCTTTACCTCAAAAAAGAAGGCATAATGACTTTTTTTTTTGCCTGATAGCTAAGTAGCTTATTTTTTTTAAATCTTGATAATCCTACAGATTCTATCACAGCACCCGAAAGCTCTGAGAGGGTAGAAAGAGATAAAGGAGAAAGATCGAATTCCCATGGTCACAAGGACTTGGGCCTGAGGAGTTGTCTCTGCATGCTATCAAGCTTATTTAAATATTTGAAATATTTGTGGTTGAGGGGGAAATGCCAATTATCTTCAAAAATGAGATTCTGCTCTTGGCTACAAGTGTTTTTCCAAAATCCAAGGATTAAAGCAGATTGTTTTTCCAAGCTTGTGAGCTATTTTTATCTGCAACAATATGGAGCACATACACCTGTCTGCATGCACATCAATGTGCCAGGACACTTGTGTTCCATCATGTTGAAGGCAGAGCTATAAGACAGTAAGATTTGTATCTTAACACTTATGTGGAAGTTTATTGCTATGGGATGAAGGACTATCTTCTTTTATAGTTACATATTTTCTCATATGCTTTTTTGGGATCTCAAAATCAGTCACAGGAAACAAATTAGACATATTTTTATTTATTTATTTTTTTAAATGTCAGTAGCTCTTAGGGTACAAGTGGGTTTTGGTTACATGGATGGATTCTATGGTGGTGAATTCTGAGATTTTAATGCACCGTCACTAGAACAATGTACATTGTACCCAGTGTGTAGTCTTTTATCCCTTCCCCTGCAACCTCTCCCAACCCTGAATCTCCAAAGTTCATTGTATCACTCTATATGTCTTTGTGTCCTCTTAGCTTAGCTCCCATTTATAAGTGAGAACATATGGTATTTGGTTTTTCATTCCTGAGTTACTTCACTTAGAATAATGGCCTCCAGCTCCATCCAAGTTGTTGCAAAAGACATTATTTCACTCATTTTTTAGCTCAGTAGTATTCCATGGTATATATATATACCACATTTTCTTTATCTGCTCATTGGTTGATGTGCACTTACGTTAGTTCCATATCTTTGCAATGTGAATTGTGCTGCTATACACATGCGTGTGCGTGTGTCTTTTTTACATAATGACTTCTTTTATAACTTTAATTTTAATTTTATTTTAAGTTGCAGGATACATGTGTAGGAAGTGCAGGTTTGTTACATAGGTAAATGTGTGCCATGGTGATTTGCTGTACCTATCCACCCATCACCTAAGTATTAAGTCCAGCATGCATTAGCTATTTTTCCTGATGCTCTCCCTTTCCCCACTCCCCCGCCAACAGGCCCGAGTGTGTGTTGTTCCCCTCCCTGTGTCCATGTGTTCTCATTGTTTAACTCCCACCTATGAGTTTGGTTTTCTGTTCCTGCATTAGTTTGCTGAGGATAATGGCTTCTAGTTCCATCCATGTCCCTGCAAAAGACATGATCTCATTTTTTTCATGGCTGCCTAGTATTCCATGGTGTATATGTACCACATTTTCTTTATCCCGTCTATCACGTTGGTGGGCATTTGGGTTGATTCCATATCTCTGCTATTGCGAATAGTGCTGTAATGAACATGCACATGCATGTATCTTTATAATAGATTGATTTATATTCCTTTGGGTATATGCCCAGTAATGAGATTGCTGGGTCAAATGGTATTTCTGGTTCTAGGTCTTTGATGAATCATCACCCCATCTTCCACAATGGTTGAACTAATTTACATTCCCACCAACAATGTGAAAGCATTCCTATCTCTCTGTAGCCTCGCCAGTATCTGTTGTTTCATAACTTTTTAATAATCACCTTTCTGACTGGTGTGAGGTGGTATCTCATTATGGTTTTGATTTGCATTTCTCTAATGATCAGTGATGTTGAGCTTTTTTTCAAATGTTTGTTGGTCACATAAATGTCTTTTGAGATGTGTCTGTTCATGTCCTTTGCCCTCTTTTTAATGGGGTTTTTTTTTCTTGTAAATTTGTTTCCGTATTATACTTTACTACAATTCTAATCCTCATACCAACCGCCTCCTTAATCGAAAATAAGATACTCAAATGAACCTGCCCTTGTAGTATAAACCAATACACCGGCCTTATAAGCCAGAAATGAAGACCTCCTTCCAAGGGCAACTCAGAGAAAAAGTACTTGACTTTACCATCAGCGCCCAAAGCTAAGATTCTAATTTAAACTACTCTCTGTATTTTCATGAGGAGGCAATTTTGGGTACTACCCAAGTATCGACCCACCCCCCTACGACAATTCCATGTATATCGTGCATTACTGCTAGCCACCATGAATATTACATAGTACTATAATTGCTTGAGTGTCCATAGTACATATCAGACCAAATTCCACATTAATCCTTTCCCCCATGCTTACAAGCAAGAACTAGAATAGAAGTTCCTTGTAGACTCTGGATATTAGACCTTTCTCAGATAGATAGGTTACAAAAATTTTCTCTGGTTCTGTAGGTTGTCTATTCACTCTGATGATAGTTTATTTTGCTGTGCAGAAGCTCTTTCTTTAGTTTAATTAGATCCCATTTGTCAATTTTTGCTTTTGTTGCAATTGCTTTTGATGTTTTCATCATGAAATCTTTGCCTGTGTCTATATCTTGAATGGTATCGCCTAGGTTTTCTTTGAGGGTTTTTATAGTTTTGGGTTATACATTTAAGTCTTTAATCCATCTTGAGTTAATTTTTGTATAAAATGTAAGGAAGGGGTTCAGTTTCAATTTTCTGCATATGGCTAGCCAGTTCTCCCAGCATCATTTATTAATAAGGAATCCTTTCCCCATTGCTTGTTTTTGTCAGATTTGTCAAAGATCAGATGGTTGTAGATGTGTGGTCTTATTTCTGAGTTCTTTATTCTGCTCCATTGGTCTAGGTGTCTGTTTTTGTAGCAGTACCTTGCTGTTTTGGTTACTGTAGCCTTGTAGTATAGTTTGAAGTCAGGTAGCATGATGTCTCCAGCTTTGTTCTTTTTGCTTAGGATTTTCTCGGCTATATGGGCTCTTTTTTGGTTCCATATGAATTATAAAATATTTTTTTCTAATTTTGTGATGGATGTCAATAGTAGTTTGAAGAAAATAGCATTGAATCTATAAATTACTTTGGTCAGTGTGGCCATTTTCATGATATTAGTTCTTTCTATCCATGAACATGAAATGTTTCTCCATTGTTTGTGTCCTCTCTGATTTTCTTGAGCAATGGTTTCTATTTCTCCTTGAAGAGGTCCTTCACTTCCCTTGTTAGCTGTATTCCTAGGTATTTTATTCTCTTTGTAGCAATTGTGAATGGGAGTTCATTCATGATTTGGCTGCTTGTCTATTGTTGGTGTATAGGAATGCTTGTTATTTTTGCACATTGATTTTGCATCCTGAGACTTTGCTGAAGTTGCTTATCAGCTTAAGAAGCTTTGGGGCTGAGGTAATGAGGTTTTCTAGATATAGGATCATGTCATCTGCAAACAAAGACAATTTGACTTCCTCTGTTCCTATTTGAGTACGCTTTATTTCTTTCTCTTGCCTGATTGCCCTGGCCTGAACTTCCAATACTATGTTCAATAGGAGTGGTGAGAGAGGGCATCCTTGTCTTCTGCTGGTGTTCAAGGGGAATGCTTCCAGGTTTTTGCCCATTCAGTATGATATTGGCTGTGGGTTTGTCATAAATGGCTCTCATTATTTTGAGGTATGTTCCTTCAATACTAGTTTATTGAGAGTTTTTAACATGAAGGGGTGTTGAATTTTACTGAAGGCCTTTTCTGTGTCTATTGAGATAATCATTTGGTTTTTGTCTTTAGTTCTGTTTATGTGATGAATTACATTCATTGGTTTGTGTATGTTGAACCAGCCTTGCATTCCAGGGATGAAGCCTACTTGATCATGGTGGATAGGCTTTCTGATGTGCTGCTGGATTTCGTTTGCCAGTATTTTACTGAGGATTTTTACATTGATGTTCATCAGTGATATTGGCCTGAAGTTTTCTTTTTTTGTTATAGCTCTGCCAGGTTTTGGTATCAGGATGATGCTGGTTTCATCAAATGAGTTAGGGAGGAGTCCCTCCTTTTCAATTGTTTGGAATAGCTCATATAATGACTTCTTTTCCTTTGGGTAGATACCTAGCAGTGGGATTGCTGGATCAAATGGAAGATCTACTTTCAGTTCTTTAAGGAATCCCCATACTATTTTCCATATAAGTTGTACTAATTTACATTTCTACCAGCAGTGTAAAAGTATTCCCTTTTTACCACATTAATGCCAATATCTATTGTTTTTTGACTTTCTAATTATAGCCATTCCTGTAGGAGTGAGGTAGTATCGATTTGTGGTTTCAATTTACATTTCCTTGATGATTAGTGATGTTAAGCATTTTTTTCCATGTGTGTTGGCTATTCATATATCTTCTTTTGAGAAATGTCTATTCATTAGACCTATTTTTAGAACTCTCCATTGTTAATTGTGTTGTGTTTTTATGGTCTCTCTGCTTTTGCTCAGGCATTTACTTAATCATGCAAAACATCCTCATTGGGGGCCCACTTTGAGCAAAGCCCTCTGCTGAGTTCTGCAGAAGGCATCAAGGCAGAAGCCCTAGTCCAGCTCTTTCATCAACCAGTTGATGAAGGAGTCTTAGTTTATACACCTTTAAAACAAGACACTTGTGCTTACTATCCCATTGGGCATTAACTTCCCTACACTGTGAGCTCCTCATGGCAGTGCACCTTTTCATATACCTGCTGACCATTTGTATGTCCTTTTTGGAAAAATGTCTGTTCAGGTCTTTTGCACATTTTAAAATCAGATTATTTGTGTTTTGTTGTTATTGAGTTGCATGAGTTCCTTATATATTTTGGGTATTAACCCCTTATCAAACATACAGTATATATGGTTTGCAAATATTTTCTCTGAATCCATAGCTTGCCTTTTCATTGTGTCGATTGTGTCCTTTGCTGTGTAGAAGCATATGTGGTGGTGGCAAGGTCCTGGGCAGTCCCTAGTTAGCATCCAATGCCACAAATCAGCGACATGTGACTCACTCTGGAATGAGGATGATCAAAACCTTCATGGAACTATCCACCCCAGCTATGGATGCAAGCATAGGTAAGCCTGACAGATGCTGAAGTCACACAACAGAGGTGTCTGATTCAGCACCTCACACAATTTATAGTCATATATTTGTTGATATTTTGAAATTTTTTATGAAAACTTTCAGATGTACATGATATAGACAGAAGAGTATAATGAAACCTCAGACACTCATCACCCCACTCAACAGTGATAATACTGCCTCCCATTACTCCTTGCCTTTGAATCCCAAACATCCTGCCATTCCATCCCTTATGCGTATCTGAGATTTATAAGGACTTTTTAGAAATGTAACCACCATGCCATTATCCACCCTAACAAAGTTAACAATTATTCCTTAATATTAGATTAGTTCTCTCAAAGATATCTCTTTAGGATTTTTTTTAAAGTCAGAATCCAAACAAGGCTCATTCATTTCATTCAATTGTCGTATGTTTAAGTCTCTTTTCTCTAATAGTTCCCAATTCTGACTACATCAAACTGAAAAGCTTCTGCACAGCAAAGGAAACAATCAACAAAATGAAAAGACAACCTGTGGGATTCAGAGAAAATATTTGTGAAACATATATCTCATCAGGGATTAATATCCAAAATATATAAGGGACTCATACAACTCTATAGCAAACAAAAACAACCTGATTAAAAAATGGGCAAAGGACCTGAATAGACATTTTCCCAAAAAGGACACACAAGGCCGGGCGCGGTGGCTCACGCCTGTAATCCCAGCACTTTGGGAGGCTGAGGCGGGCGGATCACGAGGTCAGGAGATCGAGACCATCCTGGCTAACACGGTGAAACCCCGTCTCTACTAAAAATACAAAAAATTAGCCGGGCGAGGTGGCGGGCGCCTGTAGTCCCAGCTACTCGGGAGGCTGAGGCAGGAGAATGGCGTGAACCCCAGGGGGCGGAGCCTGCAGTGAGCCGAGATTGCGCCACTGCACTCCAGCCTGGGCGACAGCGAGACTCCGTCTCAAAAAAAAAAAAAAAAAGGACACACAAGTGGTTAGCAGGTACATGAAATGTGCCCAACATCACACATCATCAGGGAAATGCAAATTAAAACCACAGTGAGAGATCGTCTCACACCTGTTAGGATGATTATTATCAAAAAGACAAAAGATAAGTGCTGGTGAGGATGTAGAGAAAAGGGGACCTTGGACACTGTTAGTGGGAATAAAAATTGATACACTCATTATGAAGAAACAGTGGGAGTTTTCTCAAAAAATTAAAAATGGAACTACCATATGATTTAGCAATCTCACTTCAGTGTACATATCCAAAGGAAATAAATTTAGCATGTTGAAGACATATCTGGACTTCCATGTTCATGAAAGTATTATTCATAATAACCAAGATATGGGATCAACTTAAGTGTTTGTTAACAGATGAATGCATTAAGAAAATGTGGTAAATATACACAATGGAATACTATTCAGCCATAAAAGAAGAAAATCCTGCCATTTGTCCCAACATGGATAAACCCAGAGGATGTTATCTTAAGTGAAATAAGCCAGACACACACAAAAATATTGCATGATCTCACTTTATTGTGGAATTTAAAAAGTCAAATTCATAGAACCAAAGAAGAATGGTGGTTACCAGTGTTAAAATAGTTAAAATAGTTAGTTGGGAGGTCATTAGGCTAAGGAGGTAAGGCCTTGGGTCTTACCTAATCTTAACCAAACAGAAACTGCCAACAAATCTCTAATTAGGGATTTTCCACTGAAATAAGGCTACTGCTCCACTTTAACCAATCAAGTATTTTCTTTGCCTTACTTTCGTGCTCATCCTATAAACGTCTTCCTTTTGTGCCCCTGCAGGGGAGTCCCCAAACCACCTGTGGTCTGGAGCTGCCTGATTAATGAATTTCTGTCTGCTCAAATAAACTCTTTAAAATTTTAATGCACCTAAGTTTACCTTTTAACACCACGGATAGGGAGTGCAGCAAAGGAAATGGGGAGATGAAAGTAGGATGTACAGCAGGGTAGCTGTAGTTAATAATACTGTATTGTATATTGCTAAGAGAGTAGAACATTGAGTGTTCTACACACACACACACAACTATGTAGAGTGATGGATATGTTAATTAGCTTGACTGTAGTAATCATTTTATTATATATATATATCAAAACATCACATTGCACACTTTAAATGTACACAATTTTTATTAAAAACCAAAACAGTTCTCATTCCTTTTTGTTTCTTTTTCATGTTATTGATTTGTTGATGAAACTTGGTCATTTATCTTGTAGAATGTCCCACAATCTAGATTGGGCTGATTGCTTTTTTGCAGTGTTGCTTAATTTGTTCTTCGGTACCCTATATTTCCTGTACACTGGTAAGAGATCTAGAGGTTTTTTAAAATTCAGGATTAATTTTTCAAAGGCAAGAATGTGTCATCGTTAGTGTTATATATTTCATGTTGCCTCACCTGGGTAGACACATAAAGCATGGTTATCTCACTAATAGTGATAGATCAGTGGGTTTAGATGGTGTCAGCCTCACTGCTCTGTTATGAAATTCCCCATCAACATTTCCCCTAAGGTTTTCAGCATCCACTAATGATTGTTTCCTAAATTAATTATTCCACTAAAGTCACAGATGGAATTATATAATTCCTCCTGCATTTAATAGTGGAAATTTTTCTACAAAGAAATTTCTCCAGAAACAATTCAATTATCCAGAAATACAGTTATACAGACTAGAAAGTTAAAATAAATGTTTTTTTCTATTTACCAATTTTTGAAGTAATGAGCTGAAGCCCTAGCAACCTCTAGTGGAGAACCATGATCTTCTCCTTTCTTTTCTTTTTTTAAAGTATTATTTCGAGCTCATGGATTTTTATATTGCTGTTTTAATCTACTGTTCTATTTTTTTTTGTTGTTGTTGCTAAGAATTTCCAGTCTTCTGGAATGGAAACCTTTCAGGTTGACCTCTGGGTATCTTTTACATAGTCTTCATAGTTTTTTATAGTTTTTTTTTTTTTTTTCTGGCACAAGATGTACCAGGCTCATCTTGTACATTTCCTACTCACCCTTGGAGTCAGTCATCTCTCCAAGGAGCTCTGCCTCTTATATTGAGAAATGGTATTTAGAGACCACAATCTGGGCACTAGGGGTGCTTGTCATCATCAGACTTTTTCAGTGGATAGCACTACAAATAAATATGTTTTAGAGGGAAATATTGTAATTTCATACTCTATTTCCAATTCAAATTTCAAATCACAGAGTTTCTATTTAACCTTACTTCAATATGTAGACCTACTACAATTTATTCAACTAGTCCCCTATTGCATGATTATTTGGTTAATGCCTGTCTCCTGACAGACTCTATGTTCTCTATGATGTCTGCTTTTACTTCCTTCGGTGTCGCTTGTTCTTAACACAATACCTAGAACATAGTGGATGCCCAAACATGTGGGATAAATGGATGCTTGAATGTGTGAAGGTCACTTCTAGCCCTGGAATTCTAGCCTCCCTAGACCCAGCTACAACTCACTAAGTAAACGCACCTTCAAAATCACTGGAATTCCTAAACCTGAGAGTGTACCTCCACCCTCTAAGTAAGAAGAGACCCCCATGAGAGATTCCTGGCCATGTCCCACGCACAGGGAACTCAGGGAGCTGAGGCATGGAAAAGGCAGAAAAAAAGGAGAACTCTAGAGACGGAAGCCATCAAATGGGAAATAGAGAAATTGATCACACCTGCCTCTGGCCCTCCATGTGTGTTTTGCTCAGTTTAACCCAAGACTGTTTTCTTTTGCTTCAAGGAGTGGCGGTGCTACAGGCTTTCCAGGTGCTACGGGCTGCAACAGAGGAGGCCTGTTGCGGTGTTTTTCAGTGCCTTTTGTGGTGGTTTTGATCTTTTGTGCACTCCCTTCTGACACTCACAAGGAAGACTTGTAGAGTGTCTAATTGTTTACAGGACCATGGACCCTCACAGTGATTTCAAGAGTCTGCAAGTGATGTGCTTGAGGTTTCACCTTGATGAAGTGGCTGAGCTGGGACTTGAACAGATGCCCCTGGAATGCTGAGTGTCTTTCCCTCTGATTACCTCCTTCCCCACAAGATTCACTTCAGAGAAACAAGAGGGGCTTGGGCACCACTTTCCTTATGCCCCAATGATTCTTCTTCCCAAGAACTTAGTTGAGATTGCCAGTTGCATTTGCCTTTGTTGTTGTCAGTGTCCTGTGGAAAAAGGTTGGCTGGTTATTCAGAGTGGAACAAAATTTTTTGAGGCCTCCTTTTCCCACTCTTGTTAATGAAGGCTTTTGTACTGCCCTGGGGTACCTCCTTGATGCATATTCTTTGTTGATGTTATTGTTGTTGTTTGTTTGTTTTCCTTTTTAATTTATAAACAATATTTTCTCCAATTCTAGGAGTTATATGTGTGAGAAGATTAGAAGATTGAGAAGATTAGAAAAATGAAGAAAAGCATAAAGAAGAAAAGAAAGCTTGTCTGGTCTCCCACCACCCTGAGTTACAGTGAGGACTTGGTGGGCTGCCTTCTGTATTTTTGCCTCCCGTGCCCTCCAGATCCATGCCCTGTGCTGCTCTGTGCCTGCAGCCTCATCAGCAGGCCCTGTGCCCTCTTGTATGACTGGGTTTGGCTACTTGGAAGGCCTGGCAGAAGGAATGAGAGTAAAGTCAGTGAAATTGTTCCTCTGCCTCCCTCCCTGCAAGGTCACCTTGTTGCAGATCACTGCTCCTCTCGAGACTCAGGAGCCTAATGAGACGCTGTCTCCTGTCGCGCTCTGCTTACTGTCCCTTACCTCCCTCCTTTAGATGTAAGGACGGTAAGTGCCTAGCAACTGCACTATTTGTTGTGCCCCTACCCACCTGCACTTTT
Source organism: Homo sapiens (assembly GCF_000001405.40). Classification (NCBI taxonomy): domain Eukaryota; kingdom Metazoa; phylum Chordata; class Mammalia; order Primates; family Hominidae; genus Homo; species Homo sapiens. Next base: position 43,221,783 of record NC_000003.12, on the reverse strand, counting down.
GTAACTATTCCCTCCCCAGGTCATCCTATGTTGAGCGTGCCATCTGTTTTCTATTGGGAATCTGATTGATTTACTTCCTGACTCACTAACATTTCAAGGCCTTCCCCCTGAAGTTCCCATTGCCATGAGCTTTCCCGAGGTTTCCAAGCCATGCATGGTATCTAGAATAAATGTGGGGGGCTGAGGAGAGAAGGCCTCTAATTTTCTGAGTCTTGCCTGGTAGCACCCCCAACCTGACCATACACAGAGCGAGGCCCACATCCATGTGTTGTGATATGAGGGATTCCACACCTCCACCCACTCCCAAGAAGCTCCAACTCCTGCTGCTGTTATCCCTTTATTAAAGTCACTCTGTTGATTACCTGAATTATCTCCAGAAGGTCCTCTGCCAGTCGAAGAGAAAGTTGTAAGAGAAAAGGAATGAGCCACAGCTTGCTCAACCCAAGGTCTTTGTGCATAATCTGCCTCAGAGCCCCACTCACGGACTGGCTGAATCCTGCTGACCTCTCTGGCCTCAGCTTTAATGAGGCATCCCCTGCAAAGCCTTCTCCAAGCTCTCCACCCCGGTTAGGGGCCCTTCTTCTGTGCTTCCTCATGACTCTTATTACAACGTGTTGTAACTCTCCGCATGAGGCTGTGAGGTCTGCGAGTGTGGGATCTGTGTCCCATTCACCCTTCCACCTGGCACTTGGCCATAGCACCTGGCACATAAGCACTCCATACATATGTTGAACATTGCATGTTTGGGATATCCTCCAGTATGAAGTTTCCCCATGAGATCCATTTTGAAGGACTATTTACAGTGGGAAGACACCTTGATTTGAATGAGCCAGCCACCTCCTCCTTGAATACCATATACATTAGAATCCATTTGCCCATCCCCACAGGCACTGATGTGATGGGACCCTTAACAGGTGTGTTTATTGGAGGTAGGGGTGGATTGTAGAACAGAAAGCGAAACTTTGTCAGAGATCTTTATGGGGTGTTGACATGGGAGGGGGCAGAAGAGTATAAAAGCAGAGCTAGGGAGATGGAAAAAGACTCTTTTTATTCCATCATTTTCCCAAGAATCAGGTGTAGAAAAAAAAATACCTGTGCTGCTGAGGATCATAGGGAGATAGACTTCAGATGCAATTTCAGTCTTCTGAGGTCACTTATGCTTTTATCTACCTTTTTCAGCTTTACCTGCTAATGTGGGGGCAGGGGAGCTCTATGCATTAGTGAAATACATCTCTATTTGCATAAAGAAACACTGGAAGGATATACGGGAAACTAATAAAGTGGTGACCTCCAGGGGATGGAGGCGAGGATCCTGATAGACTAGGGTAGCAGTGGAGAAAAACTTCTCAATGATTCCTTTTGATATTATTTTGACTTTTGAATCGTAAGAATATGTAAGCTATTCAAAAAATAAAAAATTACATCTAAAAATTTTTCCTTGAGAAGAAAAATAATCCTCAAATATTTTTTACTTTCACCCACTTAAGTGGAGCAAAAGACTCAATGTTCATCTAGTCTACCCTTTTACACATTCTTATGGAAAAACCATGAGACTTGTGTATAATAACAAAATGTTGCTGTGTGAGCAGGGCTCTTTTGGGAGGGAGTGGTATTGTGTAACATTTGCTTTTGCATGAAGAGTATTGGTGATTCCTATTTGAACCACAATGGATGCATATCTTTCAATCTAATTAGAAAATTAGAAGACCCTAATACTGATGTGGTAAATGTAGAAACCTAAACATTGCAAGGGAGAGCAGATTATCTGCAATCAGCTATGTGGATAGCACAGCAGTAGCCACTGATGAGTGAGAGAACAAACTTTGCTTCCTTCTAAGTGTGGGACTTCCAGACATCTACAGGTATGGATGCACAGCAGAAATTTTGTTGGTTGCCGCTTGCTGCACGGATGACAGAATTTGGAGTAGAAGCCTGAATTAAAGTATTCAGGTCACACAGTGCTTTTGGTTCACAAATTCCAAATTCACCCATCCTTACTGATTCTCTTAATAGGTTACTAGTAAGAAGCAATGAACTCTCCATAAAAGCGACAGTTGGAGGACTGTGTGGCATTCACTCAGAGGAGCAGAGGGAATTTACCTCTTTGGAAAGCAGTTTGCACTCATCAGGAGAATTCTTGTATCCCACCAGTGCTTTGAAGCCTGCTTTGAAAATGACTGTTAAAATTACTGCATTGGCAAAAATTTATAAGCTACTCTGCCGTGAGATAGCCAAAGTCCTAGAGAATTGGGACTCCGTGATTGAAAAGGCCACTCACCCAAATCATGCTTGTTCCCAGTAAGGAGCAGCCCTTCAAATGATGAAGGTCCTTCTGAAGCATCAGTGTTGGCATCTGGGACACTTTTTCTAGAAAGAACTTGCTGTGTGAACTGCAAACACTTGGGGAAATCTTTTCACAAGGAGGTTCTAAGAGCTGAATAGGCATTGAGGAGCTCCAGCCCTACTCTACTCCAGCCCTATAACTTTCAATCATAACCAAACTTCCCATGGCAATGCTATGGTAGGGCTTTTGAAGCAGTGGCTTTAGACCCACTTGTTTCACTGTGCTCTGGTCTTCTCAACTCTCTTGTCTTAGGATCTTGCCAGCAACTGCCCTGTTTTTTTTGCCCTATCTCTTAGGTCTGATTCCTCACTCATTCTTTGGGCTTGTAGACCCTCTTGGGCTTCCCCAGCTTGGACCATTTCAGGCTGTCATTTGTGACTTGCACCTACTCTCTTGTTCTTCCTACATCTGTTCATTTCAATTATCCACTCACCTGACCCACCTGTAGTTTCATTTCCAGTTCCAGCGGCCCAGAAGGGAGGTGAGATGTAGCAAAACGACATCTTCAAGTCTCCTGAATCCAAACACACCTGCCACAGTTAACCATCATGTACACCTAGGGACAAGTCTGTGTTCAGCCATGTGCTGTGGATCTGTACTTTGTAGGAATTGAGAATATGTATGAATTTGAGGTTGATAGCTAGGTAGATACTGAATTATTTCCATATCACTTGGTATAGCCATCTTCCCACCACCATGACCACCTAGACCCTTCCTCAGAACTCTCTGGACCTTCCCTTAATCCTGCAACTTAAGGGGCAATGCCTGGCCAACTGGGGGTGGGAGGATGCCAGTGGGGCTTTGATTGGGTACCCTGACCAACATTCTTTTAATTGGTTGATACCTGAGCCATACTAGTTGATATAAATCTTAAATATCAACCTGTGAAAATGTGCTGTAGTCTCAGACATTTCCATATCAAAAATGAAAAAGAAAAAAAAGCCAGACATGTGACTGCCATGTCAAACATTCTCAGCCTGCAGTTTCTTCTCTTCAAAGGCCACCCCAGAGGCATGAATGTTGGTTTGCAACAAGGAGATTATTTCATAAATATTGCTCTTTGCCAAATCCCCAGAGGCCCTTGAAGGTTGGGTGCTAATAAAGCTTGAATTATTATTAAGCATGTGGTCTATGTAGGTCATTGCCAAGTACTGGCCTGATGAAAAGTAAAGAAAAACAAAGCAAACACAATAACCCCAGATAGAGCATGGATGAGGAAGTGCAACCCCATTCTCCAAATAAGAAACACACCTGAAATCTCTTTTCTTTTTTGTCTTGAAACCAAGAAGGACTTGGTTTCCCCACCTGTAAAATGAGGGTCATAAGAATGACCTCCTTCACTAGTGTTTTAGAATTTTTGACAATATGCTTCTTTAGAAGAAGGGGGGCGGCCAGCGAGGAATAGTGTTGGTAGACTCAGCTTTATCCTGTAGCTTTAGGTTTTCAGTTGCTGACACATGTTGCAGTGTTTGGCTTTTATTTTACCCAGCAACCCCAGAAAGGGGGTGCGGTAGGAGTAGCAAAAGGAAATGCTCCAGGAATTCAAGGTCTTGCCTGAAGGAAACCGCAGATGCCTTAGTCAGATTCTGCATGGAGGCTCTTTTCCAGATGTTCACAGGGAGATGACCCATGTCAAGCTTTCGGCCACTTGGGCAAGTTTCAGGATTGTTCTTTAGGGAGAACCTCTTCCTGAGCAATGAGGAACATGTGCATTTCCCAAGCATCCTGTTGGGTGGTAACGTTCCCTTCCTTACCAAGGTGCTTCCAGCTGAAAGGGTGTCAGTGCAGGCAGGAGAGGCAGATGAATGGTCTGAGGCCTGGGGTTAGGCATCTGGAGGAAGATGGTGGGATTGGAGGTATCTGGGGGTTATTGCTGGATCCTAGATTTGGAAAGATGCTCTCGGGGAGAAGGCAGTAGATCTACTTGTGCTAATATGGTCTCTGGCAAGAGGATTCCAGGCTGCGTCATCTCCTCTGACCCTAGCAGAGAATGAGAATCCTTAAGAAGAAAGCGTAGAAAGCACAGGAAGAGAGGAACTCAAGCTAAGCTGAAGGGAGGAGGGCAGAGCTGGGGGAGTTGTAGCACAGTGGAGACCACACCAAGCCCTAAGCATTCTCCTTTTTTTTAAAGAAGAGAGAGAGAGAAAGAAAAAAAAAAAACCTCAGCTAATGTTTACTTCCTCCTGTTTTACAGAATATTTGAAGTGAACCTGTACCTTTAGTTTCATTTACATATGAAATAAACACATGTATTTATTTGGCGCCAGGCACTCTTCCAGAGTTTCATAAGTTTTAACTCATTTAGTCCCTATGACAGTCGGAAGTAGTTAGTATGGTTATTCCCATTGCACTGTGAGGAAACGGAGGCACAGAACGGTTGAGTGACTGGTCCCCACAGTTATACAACTGATGAGGAGGAGCTGAGATTGGACTCTAGGCAACCTGGCTTCCAAATCTATGCTCTTGACCCTTGACTTAGATTTTTTAAAATAGACTTTATTTTTTAGAACAGATTTATAGAAAATTAAGAAGACACTATTGAGAGTTCCAATATATTCCTTACCTAGTTTATGCTATTATAAACATCTTATGTTAGTATGGCACATTTGTTACAATTAATGAAGCACTATTGATGAACTATTATTAACCAAAGTCCATAGTTCATTTGGATTTCCTTAATTTTTACCTAATTCTTTTTTTCTGTTCCAGGATCCGATCCAGGATTCAACATTACATTTAATCATAATTTGTCCTTGGGCTTCTCTTGGCCGTGACAGTTTCTCCAACTTTCCTTGTTTTTGATGACCTTGATGATTTTGAGGAGTGATGGTCAGGTGTCTGGGAATGTGTCTGATGACTTTTTCTCATGATTAGACTGGGGTTCAATCCTTGATTCTTGATGGGTATAATGCAAAATTCCACACTAGTTTTGTTTTTTTGTTGTTGTTTTACATACTTGTTTCTTTTTGGAGGAAGAAAGAGATTCCTGTTCTGTAGTTGTTCTGGGTCATCCGGTTCCATTTAAAAAGAATAATCTTAACACAGACTCTCCAGCTGTTGTGAGGCAAAAGGGCCCTTGGTCTATGTTAGCCTCCATATTTCAGGATTGCAGGTTGCATTCAGCTCCTTCGCGGCCCTAGGCTGGCCCTGTTCATTCATCCCTGTTAAAACTGGGCCCTGGCACAGAAAAATGTAAAAGGAACACTGTTGGGGGCTCGGCACTGTAGGGCTCTGCCCTACCCACTTATCTGTCATCTGGTTCTACTTGCTTCCTGGTAAGCAACTCTTCCTCATGCCTTTGTCTTACCCCACTTAACCCAGAGCGACAGCCTGCAGCATGCACATGGCTAGCTGCCTCCCAGCTCTGGACCCTTGATGCTGTCTCTGTAACCTTTCTTGTTTTTTTCTGCTGTCTTTGCAGAGGCATCTCCTCAGTTACTCCTGCATGTGCACATCTGTAGGATTGCTACCCGCCACCTTCCTTAGGGGCTGTCCTGGTAAGTGGACCCAGGCACTCAGCAAACCCACCATCCCAGTCTACAGCACTGTCAGATGCCTCCTTGTGGTCCAGACTGGGGACACATCCTTTTTTTCTTCTCAGAGAGAACTCAGATCATAAAGATATTTACATATGGAAGAAGTGCTTGAGATATGGTCTTGAGATTATAAAAATACACTCAACCTTTTAAAACCATAGCAACACAAGAGACAAGAAGGCTGAAAACTAAAGTGCATTTAAATATAGCTGTAGGCTACAGGTTTGGAAATATAGTTTTTTAGGAAAACAATTAGAGGGAATAGAGTCCTGCCTTCATTCTCACCTGTATCACTTAGAGCCCCACCAAGCTCTAAGCCCAAACCCCAATACATGTCTGTTGGCTGCATGAGTGAATGAACCTACAGAAGAAATTTCCCAGCTGCCTCCAACAGGTCATAGCCCATCCCTTCTCCATCTCTTTTCCTCCTTTCCTTTGGTCTGGATAGTCAGATAACAGGTTTGTGGCTCATGTTACCTTCTCCACCCTCCTTGTGATACATTGAGTTCTTGGCCGCAATTCTTCATATTTTGCTGCATCCACACCCTTTGCCATGGAACTTTGCTGATCCTTTCACAACTTTGGAAGAATACTTCCCCACCCTTTGACTTTGGGCTTGACCATGGAATATTAGCAGAAGTGACGCACAGAGGGGTTGAAATGTGCTTGTGGGACTGTGTGTGTCCTCTTCTACCTCTGCCATTGCCATGAGAAGAGCATGCCCCAGCTAGCTTGCTGGTCCTCGGAGGATGACAAGCATGTGGAACAGATCTGGACCAAACTGCAGCCTGGGGCACAACCCTGCTGATCCAAGCCAAGATCAGCCAAATACCCACTGATCTGTGATGTGTGAGCAAGTAACAAATGCTCAGGGGTATGCTACTGAGGTTTTGGGTTGTTTGGTGCTCAGTAATAGCTGATGGAGACACCACTCTACCTTCCAGTCTCTCTTGGATATCTATACAGGCAGAAGTCTTCTGGCAAGAGGAGTCTTCATGTCAAATCCTGTCCCCGGAGACCATTCCTTCCTTATGAGAGCCTAGTGTGACTCACCACTCCCAGAAAGCATTAGTGTGTTAGTAGCAACGGTAATTAGTGTTTACCTGGAGTTTTATTAGCAGAAGGTCACTGTGACATACAACTGTCTTAGGCGGTAGAGAGGCCAGGATTATTGTGCCCATTTCGCAAAGAGAAAATGAAACACTCAGACAAAGTGAGGGATTCACCAGGGCTGGATGAGGAGGCAGCTGTCTGAAGGGAGAATGAGATAAAGGAGTTCCTTACACCCAGGGGGAAGTCACATTTGTGTGTGCGTGTTTTCATTTTTATAACTTTTTCATCATGAAAGGGGATGTATGTCAATCGTAGAAAAATAGGAAAATGTAGAAAGCATTGAAAAAGTCCTATACTACCTACTAGTGTTTTTATTTATTTCTCTTTATTTTAATGCATGTATATTTGTTATATATCTTTCATAAGTTAGAATTATGTTGTATATAAAAGCACTTTCCCCATGGCATTTAACATTCTTTAAAGACCTAGTTTCTAATGTGTAGTATTATGTTCTATGGACTAATTCTAAGTTGTGTTAGCATTCTCTATTTTTGTAAATGTAGCTTGTTTATGATTTTTTACTATTAAAAACAATGCTTTTGTGGACATCTTTGTTGGTGTGGGAGATAATTTATGTATTAAGTGCTTGGCACATGGTGTACTCCCTTCAGCGTAATAAATGGTAGCAGTATAAATATTTGCCTAAATCCCTGACTATTTCCTTTAAACTTTTAGATGAATTTGCAGAGTTAATAAGTTTTAATATTTAAGCAGTTTTTGATACATATTGTTGAATTGCTTTCCAGAAAGGATGTCCCATTTATTTTACTAATGGTAGTGTTGAAGGAACCCATCTCACAGCCTCCTGGCTGGCATTGAGTATTCTCCGGAAAAAAAAGCACTGCTAATTTGACAGGTGAAAAAGAGTAGCTCTTTGTTGCATTGTTGATTACTAGTGAGGCTAAAAATTCCAGCATAATTATTAACCATCAGTAACAGGATGACTCAGATGGACATTTGGGTCAGGCCCTGGCTAATAAATAGCTTTGAATGATTGAATTATCAAAGGTGGCCATGCTGCAGGTTTGAATAGAATTGCTAAGTCTAGATGCTAAGGACTGGAATGGTTCAAGTGTTGACTTTATGGGCAGGAGTTTATTCCCAGTCCTGCCTTGCTCAATGGAAAGTACTTTCAGATGGACAAAATTCTGATGTAGAAGTGAGACAGGACTGAGAAGGGGATGCTGGGCTTTGGAGTTGGCCAATCAGTCAGTAAGAGCCCCCGTCAAAAGAGGAGCTGGGAAAAAAGCCCCTGGTCAGCTCTTTGGGGACCGGGGCTGCCAGTGGTAGCACCTCCAGAGTTCGTGGAGGTCCATGGGGAACCATCAGGTGTATTTGGACCTACAGGCAAGTCTGTTCTCAGGGAGGATGTGGGAATGTGAACTCAAGTTTTCCCACCTGGTGATGTTGTGAAATGACTCAGCCACCAAGCTGGTTGAACTAGACTAGCCCCTGCCACACTCCTGTGTTTCTGTTCCTCTAGGCATGGCTGACACCCCCTCTCTCCTTCCCCATGACTCCTCAACTCCAAACCAGAGTTCGCTTGCAATCGCTTATTCCCCTGCGTTGTCACTTTTTTCATTCACAAGTTACACTCCTCCTCTTGATACAAGCTACTTGAGAGTGGAGATAGGATTTTATTATCTCTGTGTCTTCAACAGATATGAGTGTGAGAATGAATGAATGACACAGTAGCATCTAGAGTACACCAAGAGTAAACGAGGGCCTCAGCATCTAGTTGGGAGAAACAGCCAAAGTTTATTCTTTATCAATCTGTTTCACCACAGAGTTTTGCTGGATGGAAAAGTTACACCTCAGATATCAGGTTCTGTGGTTGGTCAGGTATTTGGCAGACAGTGCATCACGCATCCTGGTGCCCTGAAGAGTTTTTCTGTTTTTGCCCTGCTTTGACTTTGCACTGAGAGCCAAGTCTCATCAAAAGGAGGATTTTGTTTTAACCACCTGCCCAGCTTTCTTCTAACGCAGTGGTCCTCAAACTTTCTTGAGAATCAGAATCACCTGGAGGGCTTGTTAAGATACAGAGAGCTGAGTTCAAACCCCTAAGTTTCTAATTTTATCATTTCTAACAAGTTCCCACTTGGTGCTGTGGCTGCTGGCCTGGGACCACAGTTTGAAAACCACTGGTCCAAATGTTTTCATCTGGCCCTGAACAAGGTGCCAGACTGACCTTCCAAATCCAAGAAAATAGGTATATAGAATATTCGGCCACTGTGCCAGGGCCCAGCTCTGCTCATCCCCATGTCAGGACTGGGCTATCTTTTCTTGGCAGGAAGGCATAAGTAGACTGGGCCATCCAAGCCTGAGTTAGACGGCCTTCAGGGCCTGCAAATCACTGTTGCAGGGTCTGAAACCTTATCAGGGTATTCAGTAGCTTCCCATAGAAGCACATAAAGTTGAAGGAAGATAGAATTTTATATCCTGAGAAAAATCCAAGCTCTAGGACCCCAACTTTGTATATAAGGCAGTGGCCAGGTGTCTCACCTGACCCCTTCCAGAGCTCATTCAAGAGATGGCCCAGCTCATGGTAGTCCATGAGGGCCTCTGTGTCCTCTCCATTCTGCCCAGTCTGTGACCTCGATCTTCATAGAAGAAGCTGAGAACCTAGGCTAAGACTTGCTTTCCACCAGCATCATCATCACACGTTAAATAAAATCTGAACTCCTTACCATGCCCTGAGGGTGCCTGGTGCTCTGACCATCCCTGCTCTCCAACTGGTCAACTTCACTGCTGTCCCTCAAAAACCAGGCTTGTCCCATCTTGGAGCACCGCAGCTGCTCCGCCTAAAAGCTGGAACCCCACATGGGACACTAGGCTGGCTGTTCAGGCATCTCCTCTCCAGAAAGAGCTTCAGTTCACCCTCCATAAAGCAGCCCCGCCTTCCACCTGTACCTTCTGTCCCTAGCTTCCCAGTACTTGTCACCATCTGCTACATGCTTACTAATCTGTTTACTTGTTTATGATCTGCCTGCCTGTCCCCTCCAGAATGTGAGCCCCACGAAGGCAGGAACCTTGTCTGCCTTCCTCAGCTGTGGCCCCAGCATCTCGAACATGCCTGGCACATTGCACATGTTCCATTAAGATTTATAGAATACACTTGTAGGCTCTGCCAGATATACCATGGAAGGCAGGGTCTGAAATGCTTAAATAACATACCCCAGATCTTGACTCGGAAATCCAGGATCAGGCTCCAGGTTCACTTCCTAACAACTTGTTCAGATGGGAAGAGCCAGGGTCATAGGTGAGGCTTCTGTCCCCACACCTGTTGCTCTGGACGGGCCCCTCAACTTGTGTTGGCCTGACCTGCCTCACCTGCCAACGGGTTGGATAACATTTGTGTTGCCCATCCCCAAGGCTATGTCAAGGCCCAAAGGCAGTAGCTGCTGGGAAAGTGCTCTGCTAGGAAAAAGCTGTGGGGCAAATTTGAGTTTTGGGCTGCTTGTACATCTCCATGGCTTTAAAATCTGCACATGGCATTTAATTTTAGACGAATTCTCCATTCTTGTTGTGGTTTAAAAAGCAAAGTGTTGTTTAACTTCTTCATAAGCTTAAGGCAAGTTCATGACAGACTAAAAATCTAAGGAGTTACATTGGAAAAAGGAATTCTAGAATTTGAGGCTCTGCCAAGGGATTCTTTCCTTGGTCATTTTTTTGCCTTCATTTCCTGCCCCATGAACACACTTCCCAGGGACAGTTAGGGGAAGACCTTAAAAAGCAATTTTATTTGACATCAGATCAATAGCTTGCTTAGGGAGATCCGAACTCCCTATCCAGCCTGATATGAAGTCCTCTTTAGCTATCTGGCCTCCCACTTCTGACCTGAGCAGGGAATTAAAGGAGAAAAGTCCTTGTGGTGAAGTCCTTGGGGTAGGCTTGCCAGAGCTAGCAAATAAAAATACACGGTGCCCAGTTACATTTGAATTTCAGATAAGCAACAAAAAAAGTTTCACTGTAAGTATGTCCCATGAGATGTTTGGGACATACTCATACTAAAAAAAGAGTATGTGTTATTTATCTGCAGTCCAGATTTAACTGTGTGGCCCCTATTTAATCCAGCAGCCGTAGTCTTGGGCACACCCTCCTATCTGCCAGTCTGTGGCCCTAGGAGGAACAGGAAGACTACCTGCACTTTTCCTAACCTGTTTTACCCTACAAATGAGAATGTTTTGCTATTAGTCTCCACTCACTCCAGCCCCTTCTCACTCTCTCCTGGTCCTGGCATGTGGGTCATGGGCAATAGATGGACGTGACCTTAAGTAACCCGCCTGCCAGGGCTGCTGCTGAAATGCTGCCCTTGGAATCAGCAGGGTACTTACCAAAGTGTGATGCCAGCAAAATGCTCAGTTCATAAGACAAACCAGGGCAGGAATGTGTTATAGCTGTGGGAGCATTTGATTCTTAGATAAAGGGCCTAGGATACCCAGAACGCTCCCTTGAATGCGGAGCAAAACTTCTGGGTCAACTTATTTATTTTGGTATTACTAAATACCACTTTGATTACTAATAATACCTTGCACTCATGTTGTGCTTTTCATCCAGGGATCTCTAGGTGCTTTATTAACATTTGGCAGCATAGCCTTAGAACCTTTGGATTACATAATTGTACAGAGAGTTTTGGTTTTTTTTCTGAGATCGAAGGCTTGGCCCTTCATGGAAGAGACCTAGACAGAAGTTAGAAATATTTAAGTCCAAACCTGACCTGGGTGATAGACATTTGGGTACATATTCCCCACCCCACCTTTTTGGAGTGCTAGCCTCTCAAGTATAAGATTAGTACTGGCTTCCCCACACTTGACCATGTTTTTTTTTTTAGAAACCCTCAGTATTTAGCACAATAACTGGAACATGACCAGTGCTGAGTATATGTTTGCTTAAATCAATGGATGAGTGATGAACAAATAGATGGACCTGGAAGAAAACTCTGGGTTCCTTCTTTCCTTTATATTCTTGTGGGTGGAGTGTGAGGCAGGATGCTGTCAGCCCCATGTCCCTATATCCTCAGATCCTTTCGCCCCTTCTGGGCACATCAGCTCCCCTGTGCCTCCTCCCCAGCTGCACCTGCCTTTCTTTGTTGGAGGATGGCCAGCAGCTACCAGAACCCCTTTGCCTGCATGCACCATGGGATGCAGACCTGAACCAATGGCTGGGGGATGCAGGGACAGAAATTCTCCCTCATCCCTGATGGGGACACTTGGGTGTGCCCTCTGAGAGATTGTGCCAACATCATCCTTCAGGGGACTCAGCTTGGCATCATAACCTTTGTTTGTTTTCCTACCCTTCTCAGTCCCCTTTCCCCACTCTACTTAGGATTTCCTTGAGAATACGTCCTAGTGAGTCACCTGCACCAGAATCTTCTCTCAGGGTCTGCTTCTCGGAACCTAGCTTGATTGAAATGGGGGCATTTGGATGTGTGTGTGCGTGTGTGTGTGTGTGCGTGTGTGTGTGTTTGAGATGAAGTTTCATTTTGTTGCCCAGGCCGGAGTGCGGTGGTGCAATCTTAGCTCACTGCCGCCTCCATTTCCCGCTCCCGGGTTCAAGCGATTCTCCTGCTTCAGCCTCCCGAGTTGCTGGGATTACAGGTGCCCACCACCACGCCCAGCTAATTTTTGTATTTTTAGTAGAGATGGGGGTTCACCATGTTGGCCAGGCTGGTCTTGAACTCCTGGCCTCAAGTGATCTCCACCTGCCTTGGACTTTCCAAGTGCTGGGATTACAGGTGTGAGCTACCGCACCTGGCCAAAATGGGTGCATTTGGATTTCTTGACCATGGCTCATATTTCCAATCATGCTGACTCTTTTTCCTGCAAGAGGAAGGACCTTCCAATGGAAAACAACAACAACCAATCTTACTATTGGGTGAGAAGCAATAGAAGACAAGGAACAATCAGGACTTTATATATCTACCAGGACAATTCTATAGAGTTTCAAAATGGAATTTTCTTCAGCAAAGACAGCACAGCCATGGATGGCTGTCAAGTAAGCTTCAAATTCTTATGCACACAAGCCAGCAGCCCTTCTTACAGGCTCCCCTCGAAGGGGTGGGAGAGCCTTAAGAAACCTCCCTGCAAGGACCAGAAGTCAATGGGGATGATTGAGAGATGGAGGGAGGGCTCTTTGATGGGAGGCCAGGCAGGACCTGGATCAGAGTGTTTTTTTTGCTTCCTCTTATTCAGATCAGGGAGCTTGGTAGCAAAATGGTGGGGGCGGGACACTGAGTCAATGGCAATGGCCCGTCACTATGTTTCCTGGGAAGACTTTAAACATTTGTTTAAATTCAATTCAACTTTTTTCATTTTATTTTTAGTTGACACCCAATAATTTTACACATTTATGGGATACAGAATGGTATTTCAATGCAGGTACACACCATATAATGATCACATCACAGTAATTAGCATATCCACCACCTCAAACATTTTAAAGAGTAATTTCTGCATTCCCTGGGTCTTTCTGGTCCCAAGACTTCCGATTTGTAGAGACCGAGTTCAGTTGTTTGGAGGGGCTGTTTCCCTGTCTCCATCCAGGGGTTTTAGGAAGACAAGATGGAATGGCATTTAATAACTTTTCTGACAGTACTAAAAGGGTGATGGCAGGGTTAGGTGTCCCTGAGCTCCCTGAGATTTTATTGGTTTGTAATATTTTAAGGGGCCCCAGTGATCCTTCTATAACCTACTTCAGAGGAAAACATGTATTATTAACACTGGTTTAACACTTAACTTTCTAGGGTATTTGTGGATGACACAGTCATACATCTGCCTTTTTATAGTGCTTTGCGGCAGAGCACAAGACCTTCTGGCTGACACCTCATAGATCATCAAAATTAAGGCCTCTAGGCAAGCAGAAGAAAGTAGGGTGGGGGTGGGGAGGGGACAGCAACTGGGGATGACTCAAAAGGTTTCCAAGTTAACTTTCCTTTAGAGATAGACCATTTTCATTACAGAGTAAATTATTCTTAACATTAAGATGTCCTTGTTTCCGTGGCAACCCACAACAATTTGAAAGTAATGGTTCTCGGTGGCCATACAGTAAAGTGATATTTCCTACCTGATTGGTGGCAGGCAATGATTAACTCAGAGTTGGGATCAGCCAGCCAGGGGTCAACCTCCAACTGTTTTGCATTCAACACCTCAGCCCTTCTGTGTTAAAGCCAGAAGAAATCTGGAACTCTGAGATCCAGGACTAAAGTAGGTTCTCTATCTCCAACATAAATTGTATCATTATAGTATACGAATTTTTACTGGAGACTTAAAATATTTTATTATCAGGAAACTATGACCCAAGGAAGAAAAATGTCTAAGTTTTGACTGAACTTCCCCTCTTGGTTCAGGGTTGGCTGGCAGTTTGGGATCTCCTTTGTCTGTCAATAAAAAGACAGGTAAGAGACCATATTATGTGGTTTTGGATACTCTTACGCCCGTGAGCCTCCTTCCCTCAAAGTGGCCAAATGTGACATTTGGGGAACGCCTTATTTTCCACTGCTCTTTAGCCAATCATGTCTCCAGAGCTTTATCTGGGCCACAAAACCCACTTTGTAGCAAAGGACCCAAGGGAGTAGCCATGTTTTTGTCCCCATGCACTGGGACCAGCAATATTTTTGAGAGAAAAAAAGAACCATCATAAAGAAAATTCTCTGAGAAGAGGATTAAGGGCCCCAAAACAGCCATTGGGGCAATTCTTGCTGGAGATGACATAAAACTTTGCATCTTTTCACAACGATGCGGCTGCTGTTTGCTCTGGGCTGTCAGGAATCAACAGTGTGTTATATGAAATGTAAAACCCATCCATCTGCTGGGATCCTTTTCCTTTTCTTCTTTTGTCAACGGTGTGACATTAGCAACACCATATGACATTTGCGTCATGCATCAAGTACACGCCTGTTGGTTTCCAAATGATTTGTCCAGAGAGAAGTAGAGCATTACGACCCAAAAAAGGCGGGCGAGGAGAAGGAGCTCTGCCCCCTGCTGTTGCTGATCAATAAAGCTCCCCTAAAGGCACTGTACCACGGAAGCTGGAGAAAAGCAGAAAAAGCCTTCTGTGCTCTGGGAAAAGGAAAAACAACCATGGGGAGAAGCTGCAATTGCTGCTATCGGAATGATAAAAACAACGGCCTGAAGCCATTGCCTGCCTTCATGGCCGTCCTTTCCTCGTGTCCAGGCATCCAATCTGGAGTAGTCACTACCGACTCATGTCATATTTTTTGTTCTTAAATCCTAAATGATGAGATATTTCAGTCTTCTGTCTCAGTTGTATGTGTGTAGGGGGGGATATTTATGAGGAACAACAAAACCCCTTTAAACTGTTGTTTTGATCCACCATGGCACAGAAGTCTTTCTGGTAGGTGAGACGGGGGTGTCTGCCCATAACCTTCATGCTGAGGAAGACACAGCTCCTATTTAACATTACCCATGTTTGCATGGCTAATCAGAGGGCGTGCACTGCCAGTGAGTCCATCATAAACGTGACTGAATAGGACTGGATTGTTTGGTGATGGATAATAAACTGTTCAGGGTCGATGTAAAATGCGTGGATCCATTCCTTTCCTGGGAGCCTTGCATCAAGTGCTTATCTGCTGTCGTAGTCTCCTCCTCTGTGCCCTCTCCAAGCCCTCCAATCCCTTCCGTGGCCCTCCTTCCTCCCTGCCTCCCTTTCTGTCTCCTGCCTGCACAAGTGCCAATACAGAACCTTCACTTCCCTCCGCCCCCATCATCCTTTCTCCCTGCTGACGTAGGCAGGCCAGTGTCCAGGATGAAGAAGTCTTTTCTTTTGACCCCGTGAAGGTGATGGGCAATGCCTCTGCAGGCCAGTGGGTGGGGAATGCTTTTGAGTTGTGCTGACAGAGAAACATGGGAGGAAGAGGCTTCATTGGACCCCTGCCTTCCCTCCCTCATCTAATTTGGACCCAACCAACTCCAAGGCCTCCTAGTATGAGATTCATCCCTCATCATTGTCTTTATTATTATTATTTTTTTGAGACAGGCTGTCACTCTGTTGCCCAGGCTGGAGTGCAGTGGCACAATCTTGGCTCACTGCAACCTCTGCCTCCTGGGCTCAAGCAATTCTCCCACCTCAGCCTCCTGAGTAGCTGGAACTACAGGCACCCACCACCATGCCTGGCTAAATTCTTTTTATTTTTATTTTTATTTTTTGTAGAAACGGAGAAACGGGGTTTCACCATGTTGCTCAGGCTGGTCTTGAACTCCTCAGCCTCCCAAAGTGCTGGGATTACTGGTGTGAGCCACCACTCCCGGCCCTTCATCATTGACGTTTAAGGTGTCTCTAAGCCCCTTGACCTAGGCTTGAGCAAAGTCACCACTTTAAAGAAGTAAAGTTATTGATCCCCATGATGAGGAAAAGGCATCCCAGGCTCTGATGTGTAGACCTAACCACAGGCACAAGGGGAAAGAGAAATGTGTGACACCCTCTCCCCGCCAAGTCTTTCTTCGATTTCCCCTGAGAAGCAGTTTAGCATAGTGGTTAGGGCCATGGCCTTTGGGGCCAGACTACTTGGGTCTGTGTCTTGGCCCTGCCAGTGGCGTGTTCTGTGACCCCGGGCAAGACATTTAATCTCCCAGTACCTCAAGTTTCATATCTGAAAAATGGGGTAGTAACTTACCTGCTGTATTGGGTTGTCAGGAAGATTCAATGAATAATACATACAAAGTACTTAAACTAGTGCTTGGTTATTGTAGACGCTACTTAAGTATTAGCTCTCATATTCTACCACCCAGACGGGGCCTAATTCATGAACACAGGGCCCTGGCTCAGAAGGGCTCCATATTTGGCTTACTGCTTTGCTGTCATCATCTTGAAATTCTTAATAATTTTATCTTTGAACTTATGTTTTACAAGTGAAGTCAATAAGACAATAAAGCATGCACATGAACAGAGATGTGCAAGCTTTATTTGTGTATAGCATTTTTGATGATGCCACATGAGCACAGAATTCCAGGGGATCCACAATGCAAGGGAGTTCAGTGAAACTCAAAATGAGTACAAGGGAACCATGTTACCCTATAACTGACAGCTGCGGGTAACCCAGAGAGGCCATGCTTTCCATCCAACCAGAACTTGCCTTGAATGCAGAAAGAGGACAGTGGGGTTCTAAGAACAGCCATGGAGCCCTATCATGTTCTTATTTATGTTACTTCCCTGTATTAACCAGCCACTTACACTGAAAATGATGGCAGAAGAAAAGGGAAAAAATAGGGCAAACACAGTTCCTTTTCCTTTCAGTCTTTCCTTACTCACCGGTAAGATAAAGGTGGAGAGAGTTGGTAGAATGTACATGTATCAGGAAAGGAAATAAGAACAGTTAGTTTTATGCAGCATTTCCATTGTCCTTGTAGGAAGGAGACATGTAAGCAAATATGAGCTGTAAGATACAAATTGTGGGCCTAGAGTGGTGGCTTACATCTGTAATCCCAGCACTTTGGGAGGCCGAGGTGGGGAGATCATGAAGTCAAGAGATCAAGACCATCCTGGCCAACATGGTGAAACCCCGTCTCTACTAAAAATACAAAAATTAGCTGGGCGTGGTGGCGCGCACCTGTAATCCCAGCTACTCAGGAGGCTGAGGCAGGAGAATTGCTTGAACCCAGGAGGTGGAGGTTGCAGTGAGCCAATTGCACCACTGCACTCCAGCCTGGGCAACAGAGTGAGACTCCGTCTCAAAAAAAAAAAAAAAAAAAACAGATTGTGCCATTTTGGTGTATCTGAGTTACATACTCTTATACATGCATTTAAAACTGGCATTGCATAATATAAACTAATGGTAGAATTCATGCAAATAATTTATTTATACTAAGAACAACATTACATAACAGATTTTTAAAAATGTCATGACATCAGAGAGAGATCACAGAAGAAAGACAAAAGCTTTACATTTTAGTGCTTTTAACAACACTTTCCCCCCCTTTTTTGAGCAAGGGTCCTACTTTTTTATTTTGTACTGGGCCTTGCCAATTATGTAGCAAGCCCTGCTCGCAGGCTAACTCCCTTCATGCCACTTCTCTTGAGCCTCTTGTTCAGCCTTGTTTCTCTTACAGCTTGGGCAGGGTCTGGGAGGCAGAAAGAGAATTGTTGAGGTATTTTTCAGCTGGGGTTTGACTTCCAAGGGGAAGTCAGGACTCTTTCCCCAAATAGTTTTTTGAGGCCTCATGGTGACCTGTGAACCGTACCACCCCTAGCTGAGAAAATGACAGTAGTACTCACTCTTCAGCAACCAAAATCTCTAGTTCAGTGTTTGCCGGATGTCAGGCCTGAAAGGAAATTTCAGCCAGAGGAGGAAAGGAGGAATGATAGCGAAGACCCACATTTTGCGAGGGGTCACTGCCAGCCAGAACTCAGACCTGAGGACCAGCTTGGTGCCTTGTTTAGAATGGCAAGAGTGGAGCAGGGTTGTCATTTCTCTTCCTGGGATCAAAATCAGACAAATCTCCTATTTGGCTTACCAGGCAATAAGTGGATAACGCCAGTGAATGTCAGTGCAAATTACAGCTCTGGCCTCCTGTCGTCAGCTTTGTGCTGCTTCTTGTCACTTTAATGCAAAGAGACAGCATGGAGCTGATAACAAACCAGAAGGGTGGGGGATCGGAGGGGGTAGCTGTGTCAGGGACAAGAAATACATGTCAGAGAGAATGATTCAAGACAGTAAAAACCCACACTGATGCTTTTTCTTGTTTGCCTGTTTAAGGGGTTGGGTGCAGACAATACCTCTTGAATATCCAAAACTAAGCAGCTACCTCATCTATTCATCCACCCAAGCATCCACCCACCCACCCATCCTCCTCTGTAAATGAGGGCTGGACTGAGCCTCTTGGTACACTGGAATTCTTTTTTTTTTTTTTTTTTTTTTTTTCCAGACAGAATCTTGCTCTGTCGCCCAGGCTGGAGTGCAGTGGCATGATCTTGGCTCACTACAACCTCCACCTCCTGAGTTCAAGCAATTCTTGCACCTCAGCTTCCCAAGTAGCTGGGATTACAGGCATGTGCCACCACACCTGGCCAATTTTTGTATTTTTTAGTAGAGATAGGGTTTCACCGTGTTGCCCAGGCAGGTCTCAAACTCCTGCCTCAAGTGATCCAACCACCTCAGCCTCCCAAAGTGCTGGGATTACAGGCATGACCCACCATGCCCGGCTTGTACACTGGAATTCTGAGGGACTCCTGCATCCACCATCTGTTGAGCACAGCCACTTTGCCACTGTTGAATTTAAGTAGAGGTTTGAAAAACTCTTAGGAGGAAACATTTCTCTTCCTAGCAAAAAACAAGAGCTTTGGGGAATTTTCGTCAAAATCAGCCCAATGACTGCTCAAAAGCTTTGGTTTTACTCTATTAAATTACATTTTTCTTAAACTGCTGGGCGAATGTTACTGTCTCAGAGACCCCCTCAACTGACAGATAAGATCTCCCTTCTAGCCACCTGAAGAAAGAGCGAGTCTTGCATTTTACATGCCAAGATTTGAGTGTGTCCATCTGTCTTGGAGCCTGCAAGGGTCAGCTTACAAAAATATGCAGCCTCACTCTATCTTCCACCCACGTTACAAGTTTGAGGAACGGGTACAGTCAAGGCAACAAGAATCCAGGTCTTTCTATAGTTGTGCTTGCTAGCAAATTAGTGTCTGAGAATTTGGAAACAGTACCAAGAGGATAACTATAAGGAGACATACCTTATATATCTTCTTAGGTTCCCTCTATGGCTTCGTACCCTCTTCTGGATAGTGCCCATTCACTCCCGGATGCCCTCCACTTTTGGACTGGGTGAAACACCTCACCATGGGGCATGGGATCTGGTTTCTTGGGCAGTCATCAGGGACTGGATAATGCAAGGTTAGTAACTATTCAGGAAGTGGACATTGACCTAGGAGATAGAAGACAGATGGGCGCAGGGCAGATAACTTCCCCCATCCTACTCTGTCTTGTGGGTGCCTCTGCATCATTAATCCTTCCTGCAGCCTTTTCAGAGAACTCTTTATACTAAGTAAACATGCAACCTGGTGTCCCATCCAAGCTTATGGTGGGTGAAATAGGTCATCACAGTAGTGCATTGCATTACTTCTCATGACTTCTCTTCCCTCATTTTCTGCCCCCTCATCTCCATTGCTCTGGGCTTGCAACTTCTAAGCAAATTAGAACCTCAATCCTTGCTCAGTTTCTGCTTTCTGAAGGACCTAGACCAAGGCAGGAAATAATATTTGTTCAGCACCTGCCAAGTGCCCACAGGTGCTTGTGATATATTCAAACTGATTATGGAACTTGGAAAGCTCATTCAGAAGAGCAAGAAACATGTCCCCAGGGCACCTAGGAAATCAGCAGCAGAATGGGAGTAGAATTGTTAAAACAGGACTGAAACATGGCTGATGAGAAAAAGAAGGAAAAGAGGGAGGAGCAGAATGGAGATTGGGTGTCATCAGGTCTTTGGGTGCCAAATGAACAAAGAGGGCTTTTGTATTGAGACTTTCAGGTTAAATCCCAGGCATCCAAGTTGGTGACCAAGTTAGGAAAGATTTCTGTTTTGGGGATTCAGCTTATACAACACTTTTGTGTTTTCTTTGTGGCAGAAGTTTTTAAAGAATGAGGAAGGGTAAGCTTTCAGTACCGGTATATTAGTTATCTATTATTGCCTGACAAATTATTCCACAACTCAGTGGTTTAAAATAACAATAATCAGCTGGGCGTGGTGGCTCATGCCTATAATCTCAGCACTTTGGGAGGCCAAGGCGAGCAGATCACTTGAGGCCAGGAGTTCAAAAGCAGCCTGGCCAACATGGTGAAACCCCATCTCTACCAAAAATACAAAAATTAGCCAGGTGTTGTGGTGCGTGCCTGTAATCCCAGCTACTTGGGAGGTTGAGGCACAAGAATCGTTTGAACCCAGGAGGCGGAGGTTGCAGCGAGCCGAGATTGCACCACTGCACTCCAGCCTGGGTGACAACGTGAGACTGTCTCTAAAAAATAAAAATAAATAAATAAATAAAAGAACAGTAATCAATTATTGTCTCTCAAAGTGTCTGTGGGTCAGGAATTCAGGGGTGGTGTGGCTGGGAGGTTGTGGCTATGGTCTCTCATGCGGTTAAAGTCAAATGTTTGCTGAGATTACAGCCAATTGAAGGCTGACTGAAGCAAGAGGATCCATTTCCAAGATAGTTCACTATTAGCACGAGACCTTAATTACTTTCTTCAAGAGCCTCTCCCTGTGGTGGCTTGAGTGTTCTCATGACGTAGTGGCTGGCATCCCCTAGAGCAAACAATCCAAAAGACCAAAGCAGAAGCTGCCGTGCCCTTTATGGCTTACCTTCAGAAGCCACTCACCGTTCTCTTCACCATACTCTATCGGTCACACAGAAAGCCCAAGTTCAATTCAGGAAGAGTATGGCCACCAGGAGGTAAGTGAGGATCCTGCCCGGAGGAGCAGCATTTTTGGAGACTGGACCACAACCAGCATCCTGGAACATGAGAGCTGGGAGAGTTCTTAGAGGTAATCTGTTTCAATATTCTTATTTAGTAGCTGAAAAACCCAAAGATCAGAGAGGTTAAACAACTTGCTCCAGGTCGCTTAGTGAATCATCTGTTCACACTTAATTCAGGATTCAACAGTGCCTGCAGGAAGCCCATTTTATGAGGCCATATGAGAGCTGGACCTCATGGTCAAACAGCATCACTATGCTGATGAAGAAGGAAGGAAGAAGTCAGGCGTGATGCATTAAACAAGAGTTGCCAAATGAATACACTGCAAAGCTGATTATAGAAGTCCATTCATATATTCAAGATATATTTATGGAGTGCTTACTTCATATTTGGCATTGGCTGGGCACTGGTACAGAGGTAGGCAAAAACATGCTCTTGCTCTCTTAGACCTTGTGGTGTAGTGGGGAAAACAGACATGAGTTGCATAGTTCCACAGATAATGGAAGTACTATGACTATGACAAGTGCTTTGAAGAGGAGGCTGAAGACTGTGACAGCCCAGAATATTAGGTTTGTTCCAGCCAGCGAGGCTTCTCCAAGGAAGTGATGATTCAATTATCACTTGACAGCCTGAAAATGAGTTCTAGTATCAATGAGATAATGATTTTTGTTCAAGTTTTGTTTTTTTTAAGATATTATATTCTCCACCTCCAAAAGTTCCATTTGAGTTTTCTTTTATATCTTCTACTTCTCTCAGAATTGAGTTTGTGTTTTCCTTGAGTATCCTTTCATATATTTATGAGATTTATAATAGCTATTTTAATGTCCACTTTTGCTAGTTCCATCATCTCTGCTGTTGCTGGGACTTCTTCTATTTTTCCTCCTGGTTATGAGTCATATACTCCTGCGCTTTTGTATGCCTGGTCATTTTCTACTGGATGCTAGATAATGGGAATTTTACCGTGTTGGGTGTTGGATTTTGTTTTATTCCTCAGAAGAGTGTTGGGCTTTGTTCTGGCACACAGTTACTTGGAAACAGTTTGATCCTTTCAGGACTTGCTTTTAAATTTTGTTATGGTAGTGTTATCAAGCAAAAGAGCTCACTACCTGATGTATGAGAAGCCAACACCATGTCATCAGGTTTTTTCAGAAAAGAAAAGCCTTTCCTGTGAGTCAACCAACAAGGTGACAGAAGTTAAGCTCAAATCTGTCTCCCTGTGCTGGCTTTAAGGCAAAGTTTTTTTATTAGAAAAGGTTTAGGGGGTAGATTTTGGGATTAGTAGGTGATTGGTAGGAGGGAAGGGGAGGTCTGGAAAGTCTTTGGACGTGTGTAGTTTCAAAAAATGTTATTTTATGGATTGTATGTGTAAATATGGGGGAAGTGAGTATGAATCATGTGGTGGAAATTTATACTGTGACATCAGTAACCTTGTTTTGCCCAGGCTCCAGTTGACCACAGTGGTCCCAGCCAATTTCAGCCAGTTTTTTTATCTTACAAAAGCAGAGAGAGTTTCAGCATTTTAACAAGTTGTTTCTTTTCTCATCCATCATCCTACAAACTCAAGAATTTCTGTCAGTCATTAGTTTCTTTAACTCTTTGGGGCACAGTGTCATAGGTCCAGGAAACCTCCAATCTAGGGCTAAGCTAGCCCTATTCTTAAGCCAATACCCTTCTCAAAATGTTATCCATGTATTACATGGCTGGTGTATAAATATATTTTGGTTGGTGAGAATAGCAATTATTCCTGGCCCTGTAAAGACTCCAGGAATTATTCTATCTGCACCTTTTAGGTGGTTCTTTTCCCTGCCTTGAAGAATTTTCTCACACGCACGCACTGATCAGAGATCAAAGACTTGAGGTTTTTACCTGACAATCTCTGGAGTTTTCTCTCTGCATGTAGAACTCCCTCCTCTCTGGTTCCCTGCCCTGCAAATTTGAGCTGCCTTGGCTCTGCAGAACTCTGAACCGTGTCTCCTCAATTCTGTAAGACCACTGGGCTTCATTGTGGTTCTCTCTAGGCAATGAGCTGGTGTCATTGTAGGGCTCACCTTACTTATTTCCCTTCTTTCAGGGATCACAATCTTGCCTTGACTCTTAAACAAGGTTGAAAATTGTTGCTTCCATATGCCTTGTCTAGTTTTCTAGTTGTTTAAGGCTGGGGTAGAAATCTAATCCCTGTTGCTGCATCATGGCATTTTTTTTCTTTAATTTTTTAAAACAGCTTTATTGAGGTTAATTGATATATTTGCATCTATTTAAAGTGTACAACTGACAACTTTTGACATATGTATATACACATGAAGTCATCACCAAATTCAAGAGAATGAACATATCCATCACCTCCGAAGGTTTCCTCATGCCCCTTTGCAGTCTCTCCTCCTGGCTCCCTTGCCCCACCTCCCAAGGCAACCACTGATCTGCTTTTAGCCATAACAGGTCAGTTTGCATTTTCTTAAGTTTTGTATTAATGGAATCATGCAATATTACTCTTTTTTGTCTGGCTTTTTTCACTCAGCATAATTATTCTAATTTATTCATGTTTTTTATATCAGTAGTTTCTCCCTTTTTCATTGCCTAGTAGTATTTCATTGTATGAATGTACCTCACTTTGTTTATTCATTCGGTTTATACCATATTTATTTATTCATTACTGATGGACATTTGAATTTTTCCAGTTTTTGGCTATTATGAATAAAGCTGCTGTATATATTCATGTAAAAGTTTTAGTATGGGCATATGCTTTCTTTTTCTTGGGTAAATACCTAGGAATGGAATGGCTGAACCATATGGTTGGTATATATGTGTAACTTTTAAAGAACCTGCCAAACTTTTCCAATGACATTTGTTTTAAAGCCAGTTTTTATAATATTTATTTGTTTTTAGATCCATGTGGTAGTGTGGCAAATCTTTGAGATATTTGGTCGTCAATGTTCAACTTCTTTTATTCTGAAGCACTAACCATGCTGTGGCAACTGTCACATTGATAAATGCAGTGCCAGCCTCCACCAGCTTGGCAAGCAGACTTTTACCCCAAAACAGAGGAATGACAGGGGGAGAATATGAGGGGCTCTCAGTCTGCCTGACAGCAGTGAGAAAAGAGTCAGAACCCTTGGACCTTTTGCTTTGAGGCATTTAAATGGAAATAAAAGTAGATTTATTCTTTTTGGATAATTCATCCTTTTTTGTGAATTTTTGAAAATACGAAATGTTTGAGAACTTAGATCAGAGGTGTTTTTGAAGTTTTGATCTGTTTCCTTGATGTTGTGACTTTGAATCTCCTGTCTGTGAATAAATTCAGCCTTTGTTTCACCTTTCCCTGCTGAACAATGCCAGTAAGTGTGAAGGAAATATCCAGTAGAGATAAGTAGCTTTGCTTTGATCCATACACAAATCAAGCATGGAGTTCCTTTTAACCAATAGAGGACTGGGATTCACAAATGCCCGCCTGGCTCTGAATCATGCACATATTTTATAGAATGGGCAGCGGCAGCACAATCTATTTCTAACAACCTCCTTCCCTCTCCAAGATGCCCCAGCGCAGATGGACGCTCTTAAAGGAGTTGCTTACGACAGCCACACACACCGGGCAATATTTTCATACTTCCACTAATATCTCACACAGTTTGAGATTTCTGGCACTTGGCAATATTATTATTGAAGTGCAGAGACCCTTGAAGGCTGCATAATGCCAGGGGAAGGGGGAGTAGGGGTGGAATATAGTATGGAGGAGAGTGCTGATTCAC
Source organism: Homo sapiens (assembly GCF_000001405.40). NCBI lineage: Eukaryota > Metazoa > Chordata > Mammalia > Primates > Hominidae > Homo > Homo sapiens. The sequence continues at coordinate 43,196,622 of NC_000003.12, read as the reverse complement.
TCTTCAGCCTCGCCGTCATTCTAACTCTGCAGAAGAAATGGAAGATCAGGCAGTCTATCAGATGCCTCCATCACCTGATTTTTGTGCTGTGTAGCCCACCCCTGCTGATGGCCTTGGAGGAGATGGCAGCTTCCCTGGAGATGGCAGTCACCTCCTTCAGAAACAGCATAGTCCTGAGACTCTGAGGCCGGCTGGCTTAGCTCACATGGCAGCTTGAGGAAAGCCATAATAGAATGTTAGTGTTCATATTCATAAAGTACCGACGACAGAAATGCAAATGACCCCCTCACCACCTTTGCTTAGCTTGGCCTCCTGGTAAATCTTCAGCTACAGGGTCCCTGATAGTTATTCTGTTTCCCATTGTTGGTTTTAGGCTTTCTTCTTAACATTGAGGTTGCTTCCTGTTTTGTTAAGTAGATTTCAACCTCCCATCTTCTCATCCTCAGAAATAATTTGTTTGCATGGAGCCTTCATGGGACCTGAAGCCATCCTAATGCTGGCCGTGGCTCTGCCTCTGCCTTGAGGCAGAGGCCACTCAACCTAGCCTGTGGCCCAGCCTCCTCACCTGGGAGAAATCCCAGTGGACTCCCAATGCCCTTAGCCAAACTGGTTGATACAGATGAAGAGTTAGACACAGGCAAAGTTGAAAGTGATGTCATAGTTAATGGCAGATTGGAAAAAGAAGAGCCAATCCTTGCCAGGCACTCCAGTTGTCCAGCAGGTGACAGGTGGAGTCCCCAAGATGTCTCCTTTTTGGCTTCCACCTCCTTTGGGATGCTTCTTGTGCTGGGGAAATAAACATTCAATTGATATTGTTGCCTCCAAAGCCTTGGTACTGTGGCTGAATGATTGCGGTTGTCACGGCAGCAAGCAACATTTTCATTATCATCTGTGGCCTTTCCCCCTCCCCTGGGAATTGTTTGACATGATTCTGGTTTCATTCTAGTTCGGTGCCTTGTCTTTTGGGATGGCTGTCTCCTTCTTGCCTCCAACAGGGGAGAATTCCTGTTGGTTTGAAGGGATGGGATAACATAGGGAAAGGTGGGTGGGAGCAGGGTGAGAGGAGAGAGAAGAGACAAAATGTTGTGTGTGTACTGGGGGAGATTGGGATGTGGGGACAGGCTGTCAAGGGAAACAGAGGTGGGGAGGGTCATGCGGAGGGGCGGGCAGGCTCCTCAGGAAACTCCATGTTCATATGTGCAGACAGGTAACTACAAGGATCATGGCCCCTCTCAGCATCTCCCTGCACCAGGCTTGTTTGAGAGGCCTGTGTGGTGCCCTATGCCCTCCCCTAGAACGTCAGCTTCTGGTGAGCTTGGGCTGTTTTTGCTCCTCAGTCTCTGCCTCCCAGGCTACACCATGTGCCTCATAATCATAAGCAATTCAATGCAGAATGAATGCATGCACGGACAGACATTCAAACACTTCTTAAGAAGTTATTATTATTGGATAAGGCTTTGAGGGACTGATTGATGGGAATCAAAATCACTAGAGACAGATGGTCAAATTCACATGCCAGTTTGTGGATTTGTTCTGGGAAATGCAGCTTTGCAAACAGTGGGGGATATGAACTGGCTGGTCGGTGGGTTCTCTTCTTTGAGGGAATTTCCCCCCATTCTGGGGCATTCTGTGAGGCTGTCCCTCAGATGCACTGATTACTGTGGAAGTGAAGCTGGTGTCCTTGGCCAGGGTGGTTGGCCAGCCTCCCTGGTGCCTTCAGCTTCTGGGCACCCCCAGTCTGAGATGCTTCAGGCTCCTGGCCTGCAGGAGGAGGAATGAGACTTTGAGAAAGTGACTTCTTATCTGCTCAGGGCCACCCTTTTGCTCCTCTGCTTAGGATGTGTCTGCGTGTTTGAGAGCATGCATGCCTGTGTGTAAACACACCCAGAGACTTCCGGCTTCCTGCAAAGGACAGGGTACAAGTGACTGAATCAGTGGCTCTTCTACTCAGCAGAGCAAGTGTTCAGACCTCTTGGAGAGAGGAACAGGATGGCAGAACACTTGCTCCTGGGGTGCTGACCGGCACATGGGGACCACCGACCAGCCCCTACGCCTGCCTATGCCTGGGGAGCAAATACCACAGGGCAGCTGCAGGGCAAGTCACTTCCAAAAAGACAAAGTCCACTTCTTGAAACCTCTCTTCCTTCCTCACAACTTGGCTCCTCCTAGGTCTTGCTCAGGTTGCAAAACTGTGAGGGTGAGAGGAAAATTAGACCCTGGAAGAGCAGTCGTCTCCAGGAATGTGTGAGATGTACCCCTAAAGTTCTGGGAAGCTGGTGGTGTCAACACCTTCAGAATAGACAGGAAGGAGGGGAGGGAGGGACACAGGTCTCAAGCCCTTCGGGCCCCACTGAAGGGCAGCACCTCTGAGCTGGCAGACACCCTGACAGTGGCACAGTGGTTCTACTGCCCGGCAGGCAGGCCGGTGGCTGCAAACTGCTTCTGGAACTCAGATTTCTCAGCAGTTCCAGGGGCCACGAGAGGAGGCAGAGGATCCCAGGGCAGCCGCATTTTTGCCCATGTGTCATGCTGGGTTTATCAGCCAAGGGCCCCACAGAAGCAGAGGGTACATTCAAAGTGATGGAGTGAAGAATAATTTTGGAAAGTGACTTATCCAGGGGGTGGGTAGGGTGAAGGAAACCAACCTTGAGAACAGAGTTGGCCAGGGACTAGCAATGGCAGGAAGCAGTAACCACCCTGAAGAGACAAAGGAAGGGCCAGTGCTAAGGAGTCTAAGGAGGCCAGGCACGGTGGCTCACTCTTATAATTTCAGCACTTTGGGAGGCCGAGGCGGGCAGATCACCTGAGGTCAGGAGTTGGAGACCAGCCTGGCCATCATGGTGACACCCCATCTCTATTAAAAATACAAAAATTAGCATGACGTGGTGGCAGGCGCCTATATTCCCAGCTACCCAGGAGGCTGAGGTGGGAGAATCGCTTGAACCGGGGAGGCAGAGATTGCAGTGAGCTGAGATCATGCCACTGCACTCCAGCCTGGGTAACACAGTGAGTTCCTATCTCCCCCACCTCACCCCCTACAAAAAAAGGAGTCTAAGGAGCGTGGCTGCACATCTCACACTGTCAGAACCCCAGCCCTGCAGAGGCCATCAGCCCCAAGACCACCAGGGAACCAGCCAGCTGGGCGCTCAGCAGGTCAAAGAAGCAAACAGCAGAGCTCAGGAGCCAGGGACAAAGAGAGAGTAACCAGCACTTAGAGCATCCAGAGAGCAAAGGTGATGCTAAAAAAAGAAAAAAAAAAGCCAAATCTTGGACCCCCTCTATTCTACCCACAAAACCTGGGTTCAACTCATGACTCTGCCTCTTACTTGTCGGTCTTGACCAAGTTTCTGAACCTCCATGATCCTGCAATCTTCACTTCCATATGGGCATGATGATAACTTCCTTGGCTAATAAAGGAGCCATATAATGACCGTGATGGTGTTAGGTAGGCTGTAAAGGCTATGTTGTAGTTTCCCCCAGTATGGTCCCAGGGCTCCTTTTGGAGTAGGGCTGCTTACAGACCCTTCTTGCAGGCTCCTTTCGGTGGGTGGCGACAAGGAGAGAGTGAAATGAGAATGGTGAGGGGAGGATGCCTCTGGTCTTGCTTCCTGGGGATGCCCCATATGAAAAGCTGGACCTTGTGTTCCTTCTTTTATGGTCAGAGCTCTGTGTCACCTCATGCCCAAGCCCAGCCCTAGGAAGAGGAAAACCCTTACAGTGGAAAATCTTAGCTTATGTCTAGTGTTGGCAGATACCAGTCTAAGAGAACGAACAGGGAGCACACAAGGAAGCTGACCCATGCTGACCAAACTCACAGGAGACTGACAGATAAACCCCAATGCTACCTTAAACAAGTGTACTGAATTCTTCAAGTTCTTTGATGTCTGAAAATCTGCCCCGAGTGCAAAAAACATCAGAGGCTCTCTGTGACTAATCATGTGGCACTGTCTATAAAAGAAAAGAAAAAGGGTCCATTAAGTCTTTTCCCCAAGAAAGGCAGGAAATCAGGGAGGGAACAAGTTTGTTGTTCTTTGCCCTTAGTAACTCTGCTTTTAACTCAAGCAAAAACACTGGATTAGAGGAAAAGGATTTATATCCACAAAATATCCCCTGCTAGTGTCTCCACACCATTCTTCCAGCCTCTCTCCACCTTTGCCTCTCCCTGCTCCTTTCTCTTCTCGCCTTTCTTCTCTCTCTAGACTCTCTTAGAAGCTCGAAAATAGTACCCCACTCTTTATGGCAGAGTAGCTTCAACTTCAAGGCCCCATTTTCTTTCCCAAGCATTTATTAATACTAAGGTCTTTTTTTTTTCTTTTTTCCAAAAAAAGATAGTTCCCTTCCTAAGAGGAACTCCCATACCCCTAAGATAATAGAGTCATTGCATCATCTTTTCTAGACAAACCCTTACAGCAATTTTCCACCTCAGTTTCCCCTAAGCACCCCAAGGGTTTAGCTATTTGACCCACCCCAAATGCTACTCCTTTTAGGAAAGGTTGCTGACCCAACTCCTTGTTTCTTCCTGGCTGTCTTTGGAAACGTGTTTACCATGGAAGCAGGTGGTGTTGCAGTAGGAATGCAGACAGAAGAAAGTTGGCTATGAGATCCTGGACAAAGTATGTAACCCCTATAAGCCTCCTTGAGGAAGGGAATAAAAGGCAATGTACAAAGCTGTTGCAAGGACTGATGCATGTAAATATCCTCTGTCAGCTGCAAAGCTCCATGAAAGTGATGATTGTTTATGCAGGGGGCTGTGCTGGCCAGGATACCAAGCAAGGTGGCATCGATTGCCTGAGTCTTCACGTGTCTTCCTTTCTTGATGACAGCAGCCTTACTGATGCTCTGGTCCACACACTGGTGCTTCCTTCTCATGTGCAATCCAAGGCTATTCCAGTTGGTACATAAAGAACAACTCTGTGAATAGGGGACTAGTGCCCTGCCAGAGATAGAACATCTTAGGCTATGGAAATTTTCAGTTTTGGGAATTTAAAAGTGCCCCTATGCCTACACACAATCCTTGCCTCTGACAACCTTATAGTTTACAGCAGCAGTCCCCAACCTTTTGGCACCGGGGACCGGTCTCATGGAAGACAATTTTTCCATGGACTGGGGGTTTGGTGTGGTGGGGGATGGTTTTGGGATGAAACTGTTCCACCTCAGATCATCAGGCATTAGATTCTCATAAGGAGTGCATAACCTGGATCCCTCGCATGTGCAGTTCACCATAGGGTTCGTGCTCCTATGAGCATCTAATGCCACTGCCGATCTGACAGGAGGCGGAGCTCAGGCAGTAATGCTCACTGGCCCAACACTCACTTCCTGCTGTGTGGCCCGGTTCCTAGCAGGCCTTGGACTGCTCTCAGTCCGTGGCCCAGAGAATGGGGATCTCTGGTTTATAGCAGGCAGCAGTTTAAAAACCATTTCTCTACTTTGGCTTCATTACACACACAATATATTTATTGCATATTAATTAGAAACAATAGATGGATAGAAACAAAGGGAGAATCCATTGTAGCTCCTCACCCAGTGAAAACCACTGTGACATTTTAATGTTAATACAGCCATATTTTTTCTGTGTATTTGGTGTGAACTCCTTTATGACATTTTTGTGCATAGTAGTCATGCTTTTTTATTTTTCCACGTCAAATCAAAACTATCTCAGTCATCCGCTTTTTAGATTCATTCACTCACTCAACAGGTATTTATTGAGTGCTTATTTTGCGTCAGGCACTCTTCCAGCTGCAGAGAATACAGCAAGGAGAGTGAATAAAAAGTCCTTTCCTTGCCCAGCTGACATTTTATCTTAGTTGAGGGAGACAGACGATAAACAAACGAGTAAGAAATATAGCAAAACAGCTGGGGATAAGGGCAATAAAAATATCACAGCAGGGGAAGGGCTTTGGGAGTGTCAAGCAGGCTTCAGTTTAAGATGAGTGCTCAGCAAAAGCCTGAAAGCAATGGCCTGAAGGAGAGAAAGGATTGAACCATCTGGAGACGGAGGTAAGAGGGTTCCAGCAGAAGGGACAGCACATGCAAAAGCCCTGGCATGTCCTTGGAAGCACAGGGAGATCAGGGTGGCTGGAAGAGAGCGTGTCAGTGGTAGGAGGGAGTTGGAGATGAGATAGGAAGGTCACCAAGTCTGACTGTGTAGGGCCTTGAGGGGTGGTAGAAGGATTTGACTTTTCTCTGATCATGATAGGGAAGCATTGGAGGATTAGAGCAGAGCAGTAACATGACTTAACCCTAAGAATAAACTACAGGCAGGAAAAGGTAGGAACAGGGGGACCCGTTATGAGGCTATTGCAATAATCCAGGTGAGGGACAATGATTACTTGGACCAGGAGGACATTACAGGTGCGAGATGAGATGGAGTCTTGATATATTTGAAGGTAGAACTGACGGGATTTCCTAGTAGAAATATGAGACAGGGAAGAAAGGTCAGAGGTGACTCCAAGATTATCCTGAGGCAACCAGGGAATGGAGCTGCCATTTTCTGAGATGGGAAAGACTGTGGGAGTGTGGGGCTTGAGTAGACAGATTAGAAGTTGGTCTTAAAATTTTAAGTTTGAGATGATACATAGCCAAATTGGATGTCAAGAGGCAGTCTGGGGTTTGGGAAGAGGCTGAGGCTAGAGATACAAATCTGAGTTTTGAAACCAAAATATTGATATTTAAAGCCACAAGATTATTAAGGACGTGCATGTAGACAGAGAAAAGTTTCAAGGAGTGGGTCCTAGATTAAAAGGAAGAATGACCTCTTCTTCTTGGGGCAACCCCAGATCCCTGGGTGGCCCAGAAACTGACCCTGAGTTTGTACAAAAATGGTACAATTTCCATTCTTAAGTGGGAAGAGCTCTGACCCTTAATATTTGACTACAGCAAGCTTCTCTTGCCTTTAGTGACCACCTCACATCACAGATGAAAGATGAACATTTGTGGTCAGATAGATATGGCTGAGGAGTATTCCTTGATGACCTCACTCCTTGTACCTCCTGCTCAAGTTGCCCAAATTCCTCCAGTGCATGATGGTCAAGGGCACCCAAAGCTAGGATCTCAAGGTCACTATTCATAGTCCCATGCACGACCAACCCCACACAACTCCACCTGCTCTTGCAGTGCACAGTCAGAATCCTTTGGATGTCCAGTTCTCAGTTTCCTTCCCCTCACCATGGATAAGCCCCCAGGGATCAGTCAGCTTAGCTTTCAAACCTTGAAACAAAATGAGTTGATTCCACTCCCTTTCTTGCAGTATAGTGTTACCTCCAAGAGAAGACCCTGAATGTTAAGGTGTTTGAAGGGGGCCCAGTGAATGACATCCCCTTTCTCACTTTCTCACTTGAACCAATTAAGAAATAATTGAACCAATTCTGAACCCGTTAAGAAATAAAACAAAGGAGTAATAAGGCAGATGAAAGCCAGAATGCCACTTATACAGATAAAGCAGATGTTGGAGAAAGGCTCATCGTTGGCTTCATGTCTTTCCAAGTGCTGAACCCCTGAATTAGGCATCTCACCCACCCAAACATGGCAGAGTTGGACCAAGGATCCGGTCCCTATGAGATGTACAACATGGGTGAGTAGACCCAAGAAGTTCTGGGCTGTGCTGTCCAGCTTCTCCTCCCAAACTCACAATCAGAATAACCTCTCCCTCCAGGGCAGGGGGACTGAAGAGGGTGGAGAGAGTCCAGAAGTGCCATATCAGGGGTGCTGTCTCCACTTGGATGGAAACATCTTATGGGGATAAGCTATCCTCACTTTCAAACCTTCATCAACATAACTTCTAAAAGACAAAAGACTCCTTTAGCATCCTTGGAAGTGGTGATTCACTCTTCCAGTGGTGAACAAGGGGAACCTGGCACAGCTCTTACAAAGACAATGAAAAACAAACCACTATGTCATGTGTAGATATCAATATGCAAAGAGATGTGCACGCACATGTGGGCACACACAGACACACAGATGGATTATACAGTATGCTTATAGCATATTTTATAACTGCTCCTTTCACCTAAAACATCAAGACTCTCCTTCTAATACATATACTTTTAAAATTGCCTTAATGGACAAATGTCATTCCATTGTGTGGTATACCCATCTTTTAATAACCTGTCTCTTATTGTTGGTTATCTGGTTTGCTTCCAATCCTTTTCTACTATTAAAAAAAATACCTAAACCTTCTTTTAGATAAATTGGTTCATATTTTTTACAATTTCCTTAAGCTAAATTCCTGGAATTGGATTTGCTGGTTTAAAGGGCAGGCAGGTTTTCAACACTGGTTACATTTTGAAAATTATGTAACAGATGTCATTGACGTAGTCCAATGTGCAAAGGACAAAGAGAATAGACAAATAAGTTAGTTTACCTTGCAGGCTATGAGCTCCCATAGTGGACCTCTGTGTCTCCCACAAACCCTGGGACTATGCTGGGTACCTTAGAACTTCATCTCATTGTGTGTTAGCTGATGGACTGAAGAGAACTAATGGGAAGGGATGGTTATATATGGGCTTTCTGTATATGACAAAGGCAAGTGCATTTTCAAGAGTGAGTAGAGGCCTCTGCCAGCTGGGTAGAGGCAAGCATGGTGGTTCTTTTGCCAGAATTCCATGCTGTTTCTCTGTGCCTGAGTGATTTGGTTTGGTACTCTAATACCAAGCCAGACAAGGATACTACAGGAAAAGAAAATTACAGGCCAATATCTCTGCTGAACATAGAAACAAAAATCCTCAACAAAATACTAGCAAACCAAATTCAACAGCATGTTAAAGGATCATACACCACAATCAAGTGGTATTTATCTCTGGAATGTAAGGATGGGTCAACATACGCAAATTAATAAATGACATACCGCATTGACAGAATGAAGAATTAAAATAATGAGATTTTCTGCATCTCAATAAATGCAGAAAAAGCATTTGACAAAATTTAACATCTTTTCATGATTAAAACTCTCAAAAATTATAGATAGAAAAAATGTACCTCAACATAGCAAATGCCCTATGTGACAAGTCCACAGCTAATATTATACTCAATGGAAAAAGTTGAAAGCTTTTCCTCTAAGATTGGAAACAAGATAAGGATGTCCACTCTCACCACTTCTATTTAGTAAAGTACTTACTGGAAGTCCTAGCCAGAGCAATAGGAAAGAAAAAGAAATAAAAGGCATCCAAATTGAAAGGAAGAAGCAAAATTGTCTGTGTTTGCAGGTGATACCATCTATTAAAAAACCCTGAAGACTTCACAAAAAACTATTAGAACTAATAAATTCAGTAAAGTTGCAGGATACAAAATTAACATTTCAAAATCAATAATCTATCCTTTCTTTTCCTTTCTTTCCTTTCTTTCCTTCCTTCCTTTCTTCCTTTCTCCTTTCTTAAAATCATATAAATGGCCAACAAGTATATGGAAAAAATGCTTAACATTATTAATCATCAGAGAAATGCAAATTAAAACCACAATGAGGCATCACCTCATACCTGTTAGGATGGCTGTTATCAAAAAGATAAAATAAAAGTGTTGGTAAGGATGTAGAGAAAAGGGAATTCTTGTACACAGCCCCATGAAAAAACTTGGCTGCTTACACCCCTGGTCACAGGACGATTTGTGTAGTAGTGGGAATAGAAGCTGCTGAAGGGTTTTCAGCTTCTCACGGATAAAACTAAGGGAGTGTCTTGCTGTGACCAGGAAGATGGCCCTCCAGAACAGGGAGGGGGTTCCCACCTTCCCTTGGCTTCCCAGAGCATGGTGGAGAGGTTAGGACTCAAACAGATGTCTGTTCAAATCCTGATGCTGAGGCTATCTCACTGTAGGAATGTGAACGAGTTACTTAACCTCTCTATGCCTCAGTTTTCTTGGCTGAAAGTGAAGGTAGCAACACATAGCACTTAGGGTTGTGTAAGGAACTAATTGGATAATGTGTATATAAATTACTTGGTTTATGGTAGGTGCCCAATTGATGATAGCTGTTAGTCTGCATCAGTACCACTAAGTGTAGGCAATCAGGAAGCCACACTAGAATGCCAAAGAAATGGATAAAAAGACCATTGAACATCTCTCAGATATAACATCATTATGACCCCAGGGCATAGCACATAGTTAGCACTTGGTAAATATTTGATAAACTCAATGAATGAATGAATCAATCAGTATGTCCTAGGCCATCTCAGACATGCAAGTAGCAATGAGGGTGAAGAGCTCATCTCTGGAGGAGCTAAGAAAATCCCTGTGATGATTATACTATTAATAAAGCAGCAAATAATTAAGAACAGTTACTCCATGCCTGATGCTAAACTTCAAAACACCCTTATAAGGTGGTGCTTCACTTCCATTTTACCTAGGAGGAAACCGAAGCACAGAGAGGTCCCATAACCTGCCCTATCTCATGCAGTTACAGAGAGTGGAGCAGCGTCTATGTCTGGATCTTGGGGCAGGAAGGTGGTGGAGCAGTGCCTCCTCCCGCTTGGTTAAAGTGACAATGGGCAAGGAAATTGAACTCAATTTAGTGCTGAAGGCAGATGGAGGCATTTCCTGAATGAGGACAGGATACGGGGTGGTCACTCGGTTGAGGCCAGTTACGTGCATGGTGCCACCACAGTCGGCTCCTACGTGGCCTGATCAGGTTGCTGAAGCTTCACATGTTCTTCTGTTTGGAGTTGGGAACTGCACTGCCATTTATTAGATGATCCCAAAATGCCCTGATGTATTGTACACTTCAAGGTCTGCTTGGTCATGTTGCACTGTGTTTTCACCATTTTCATCATCCAGCTGAGTAATTTTACGTAGAATAACAAACAACACACAGCTATTTAAAAGATCTTTATCACTGACATTCCTACTGCAAACGAATGGCATTGCTATTATAAATCTGAAGCTCTCTAGCCCACAAACCTGTTTATCCTTTTTGTTTGTTTGTTTAAGACTTAGAATACAACTTTGTTAATGTGAAGTTTCTTAGGGCATTTTTATTACCCCTAACAAAGGACAAGCAAGAAAAATATCAGGACTAACAATGTCCTCTTAACATGGCCAAAGGTGATCGAGTGGGGAAATACTGGGGGGCCTGGCAGGGGTCACCAAGCCCTGTGCCACATGAGTGAGGTCACCTGCTCCCCAATTTGCTTGGACTATGACTGTGAGTGCCAAACGTGAGTCTTGGCCAGCTCCTGGGGTGTGACCAGACTTGTCAGCTATGACACCTGCCAGCCTGTCCTGACCTTCCTCAGGGATGACACTGGCTGGGTGAAGGGTGACCCAAGGAAGCTCGTCCATTGTTGGTACCTGACCCATGAGATGTGAAGGTCATTGGAGCTGAGCCAATCACATCAGCTCCCACTAGGATGTGGCCCAGGCACCCAGGAGAGAGAGGATTGGTCCACTGGGAGCAGCGGAACCTGCAAGGCCCCAAAATTGAGAGGGGCTGTGGCTCCCTGGGAAATTAGGATCATAAACTTTTGACAGTGCCTGACTGTAGGTCTGGTTCTCTGACTTTCCCTATTTCACAGAGAGGACTCATCATGCCTGGGTTGCACAGTGTCCCCTCCTAGAGCATTCTGGGTTGAAGGCCTTTGCTCCCCGCTTCCCTGTTCCATCCCTGGTCCTGGCTGAGGCAGGTGAGAGGAGTCCAGAATTGGGCAAGTTGGGTGGCTGAGTTCCATCTCCTTGGTGCTCTGCGTGAGTGTCCAAAGGACCTTTCCGGGCCATAAAGGGATCACTTGCCGCTCATCATTGCCAATGAACAGTTCTTCCTCCCTAAGTCCCACATCTCTGCTAAGGAGCCTGAGTATCTGGGGCCTTTCATCAGCCAAAAATAAGCTACCATGTATGAGGTATGGCTGTGCTGCCCTTCAACTTTTAGCAAGATGGTAGGGGATTGTGTGAAGAGCCCACGGCTGGCCCTTTCATGATTTATGTTGCCTCTCTGAGCCTCATCTTGAGGAGCACTTTGAGAAGGCCTGACCCATGCCCAACAAAAAGCTGATCTGCCAAAAGTACAGCTAGTGGGAATGACTGGTGACCTTGCCAATCCTGCAGGCCCCTCTGTGACTTCACTCTTAAGCTAGGCCACCGTAGAAACCATTCCTGGTCTCCATCTGGGTCTAAGTGGTGGTGGTGAGGTCCTGCCAGTGCCTGGCCCTCCCTAGAAGGAGCTCTTCGGGGGTTCTTAAGCTGTTTGTGGGATAAGCTCAGATAGAAACAAAAAGCAAGCTTACAAAGGACCAAAAGACTCCTATTGTCTTTGGTCCTCACTTTCTCTATCTGAAGACAATGAGGGAGTTGGACAAGCCAATCCCAGAGCCTTTCATTGCCCTAATCAAGATCAAATATAGAAATGTGAGCCAGAGGGAAATACAGGAGCCCTATCAAAGCTAGGCATGATAGGGCCTAGCTTGGTGTCACAGAGAGGAGGGCTCAAGCTAGGGGCTAGGAGGAAGACCCCAATCCCTATGGCCTGTTTGAGTGTATTATGTCCCTACCACATCAGCCAGTGTTTACAGGTTCTCTCCTGGGTTCTGATCTAATCTGATCTACTTCTGCACTGGGCTGCTCCGTCTCCCTGACCCCGTCTCCCCATCATCTGGGAAATTTTTCCACAGTTCCTGTTTCTCTCCTGAGCTTCCCTATCTCTGAGTCCTTAAGGGAAGGACAAAGTAGGACCCTCAGGTTGGGATTTCTGACTGCAAGCAACAGAAATTAATCAGATCTCAGCTGACTCGAGCAAAAGAGAAATGCATGAAAGGACACACAAGTAGCCCCAGAGAAAGGCATGTGTCAGGGTCAATTGATTTTTATCCTTGTGTGGCTCCACCAAGATTGAAATTCCTGGGAAGAAAGGATCTGCTTGGCCTTATGGGTTGGAGTGGGACTGGGTTAACATTTCTACCTATGTTGAAAGCATTTTCTAATGTCAGATGAACTGCTGTTATAGAAAACAAGGAGAACATCTGTTGAACAGACAAAAACAACTGATGCTTATCATTGGCTCATGCTCGTTAGAACATTCTGGAAACACTTTAGGATAGAGGGAGAAAGGTCTTGCTGTTTCTGCTCTTTGAAACTGCAAATAAAGAAAGTTCTGCTTTTGGAATCTGACTTAGCCTTAAGATGGATATGTTTAACTTGTCAGCATGTTGACAATGATAATGCCTTTGTTAATGAATGCCTTTGTTAACGAATGTTCCACATTCATTGACTTATTTTTTTCACAACCCCCTGTAAAAAAGGGAAGCAAGGCATTATTATTCCCATTTGACAAGTAAGGAAAACCAGGGCCTAGACATGAGTGGCAAGAACATAAAGGACATGCCTATGGCTACTCCTCTCCCCTCATTCTCAAACCCTCAATGAGACCAGAGGCCCAGCCCAGTGACCTTCTGGCTCCTTCATCTTCTGGCTCCTTGATCTCCATAATGAAGATGATGATGTCAAAGGACCTCCCTGGCCAGTATCTTTAAAAGGGAAATGACGATCAGGCGGGGTGACTTATGCCTATAATCCCAGCACTTTGGGAGGATGAGGAAGGTGGATCACCTGAGGTCAGGAGTTTGAGACCAGCCTGGCCAATATATGAAACCCTGTCTCTACTAAAAATACAAAAATTAGCCAGGCGTGGTGGCACACGCCTGTAATCCCAGCTACTCCAGAGGCTGAGGCAGTAGAATTGCTTGAACCCAGGAGGCAGAGCTTGCAGTGAGCCGAGATCACACCACTGCCCTCCAGCCTGGGTGACAGAGTGAGACTCTGTCTCAAAAAAAAAAAAAGGGTAACCTTGGACTCTGAGAAATTCTTCCATGTTTTTCCTAATATGCATCTCATGAGCTGCCGCATTTCCTTCTCTCGCACAATTTCAGGGATTGCAAGCAGGTTTTGCACTCCAGTTGCCAGTGACTGAAGTAATATGCTGGGAATCTTAGGTCAAGTGTGTGTGCCTGTCTGTGGCTGTTAATGTTCCAGTGAGCCCCCGGAGCCAGCCCAGTGCCTTCCCAGGACAGGAGATGACCTTCTCTCCGGGGATGACCATGAAGCTCCTGGAGCATTGGGTGCAGGAACAGGGCAGGTATCAAGTACAGAGGCCCAGATTGTCGCTTTGCAAGCAGGCTGTGTTAGGCTCTAGCTGTCTCTCACTCATTCCCACAGTCTATATATTCCCTTTGTTTCCCCAATTTTCTTCTTTCTCCTTGCCTTTCTCCTCTTCCTTAACTTATCTGTCTCTCTGTCTCCTGTGCTTTCATGTCCTCTTTCCTCCTAGAAGCCCAGCCCCCTTGGTTTCCTCTTGTCCCTCTCAGGGACAAGAGTCTAAAAAGACAATATGTCCAGGCACAGTGGCTCAAGCCTGTAATCCTAGCAGTGTGGGAGGCAGAGGCAGGTGGATCGCCTGAGGTAAGGAGTTCGAGACCAGCCTGACCAATATGGTGAAACCCCATCTCTACTAAAAATACAAAAGTTAGCTGGGTGTGGTGATGTGCGCCTGTAGTCCCAGCCACTTGGGAGGCTGAGACAGGAGAATTGCTTGAACCTGGAAGGCAGAGGTTGCAGTGAGCAGAGATTGTGACACTGCACTCCAGGCTGGGTGACAAGGCGAGACTCCTTCTCAAAAAAAAAAAAAAAAATTAAAATTAAAAAATAAATAAATGAAAATAAAAAGAATATAACCCATAGGTTATTGTCCCTGGGTTTGTCCCTGATAGAAGCCCAGCCTTGGCCAGTGCCCTATCACATATTATCTATTATACGAGCAGCGCCATTGCTATCGCGAAGGGATCTGTCATAGAAAATGCAGAGACTTTGAACCCCAGACTCAAGGTTGAATCTTCCTCCGCCGTGTGGCTTGGAGCAACTTGTTTCACTTTAATGCGCTTCAGTGACCTCTCTATAAAATGCATAATCATCATCATTAGTTCCCGTAGAGAGTGCATGAGATGACAGGTGCAAGGACCAGCCCAGGGAGGTGCCTCGGTCACAGGGAGTGACTTTCCTAGGAGTCTCCTCACACGTGTCACTCTGCCTGGGGCCAGCTTTCCTGGGGGACAGGTGAAAAGCCAGGCCAAAAACACAGGAATGTTTCTGCTGGAATGTGTCCCTTCCTGCCCTCAAGATCCCATCTCCTCTTCTAGCTTTGTTCTCACTTTTCAGTTCCCTTAACGTGACATCTCTGGTCACTCCACACTGGGCCACCAACGGGAACTGTGAATGATAGAAAAGACCCATCCCGGGGAGTCATGAGTGAGCATGGTCCAGCTTCCCAGATCCTGCCCCCAAGGCTGCGGTTTAATCACCAAACCATCTGAGCAGGTGTTACACGTAATTCGGGCCAGGTGTGGTTTAGGGAGGAGGTGTGGAATGACTCAGATAATAGATTTTGAAGTCAGGGTTATGTGAGTACAAACCCTGACACGTGTCTCCAAACCCTGTGACCTTAGGCAAAGTTACTGATCCCCTCCGAGACTTGGTGCCCTAACTGTAAACTTTGGTGATGACCCCTTTCTTAAGGGATTATAGGAAGCATTAGAGGTCATCTGTGGAAACCCTCTGACACACAGAAGGTGTGCAATCAATCCTCCCTCCCCCATGTTCTCCACAGCCAGAACAAGGAAGAATCGCACATGCTTGCATGGTGCTCAGTGTGCCCCGAACTGTTCAAGCGCCTTGCCTGTATTGTCTCATTTTATCCCATCACAACCCCATAAGGTCACTTATGTTATTATCACACTCATCTTACAGATAAGAAAACAGAGGGATGGAGAAGTTAAGTAACTTATTCAAGGTCACCTAGCATGCCAGAGCTGGGAGTGACAGTGGCTGTAATTGGTGGGCATTTGAGCTCGACTTGCATGGGAAGCTTTGGTGGAGGGTTGGGGGATCCTACGCCCTAAAGGGCACACAGGGCTATAGAACTCCCACGACCCCCTTGCAGATGCTGCCCATGGGGTATGCAGAAGAGTCACATGAGCCCAACTATCTAAGGACTTTGTCTGCAGGGGCTGCTGGATTTGTGGCCACCAACTTCTGCTGGACCTGTCTTTTGCTGCATTTGCTCGGCCACAGTTTCTCAGGACGGTCCCCTTTTCTCTGGAGCTCTTTCCAGCAAGTTTATTAAAAAGAGGGACCAGGTGAGCAGAAACAGATTGGATGTCAGAGACCAGGAGACTTCTGGCCACAGAGCCTGAACCATTTACTCTGTTACCTGAGATTATTTTTTCAAATGTCAAAGGCCTAATTTAGGATGACCCAGATGTTCACCAGTGCTCCAATTAATAAAGAAAAATGTATTTAAAAAGCCAACTGCAGAAGCAAACACATTTTGCTTTCGCAATTCTGTTGGGCTGCACCCTGGCCTTGACCTTAAAATAGCTCAGTTTACGTGCTGACAGCATATACATACACAGTCAGGATTTCCTGTGTCTCCACCTCACCATTTCCTCTCTGCCTCGGAGCTGGTCCCCTTCATTCCTCTTCCTCTCCCTCCCCACAACTTGTTTAGGTCCGTGAATAAATGTATAGGAATGTTCTGAGAAGCAGGAACATTTAGACTCCAGCCAGACAGGAGTTCAAATTCCACCTCAACCATTTCCCAGCTATGCAAGCATGAGCAGTTCACCTCTCTGAGTGTCAGATTTTCACTGGAAATTGTGAGAATACATGAAAATGATTTATCCCAGAGCCTAGCACAAGGTAAAAGAGCAATAATTGGAAGAGACAGGGAAAAGCCTTTCACCAAAAGCTAAGTGTGAGTTGGAGGCAGGGTGCGGCCTAGGGGGCCCCTGGCTGGCTTTTGGAGGACCTGCATGCCATTTGTCTCCCTCCACGGCTTCTGCCCCAGACATGGATTCATCCTGCTCTCATTTCTGCCTCTGAGATGGGTGGGCCCCATCTCTCCACAGAGCCATCTGCGACTCCCTCCTACCGAAGTAAAATGGACTTTTCCTACGTGTCTGCCCAGGACTCAGCCAGACTGATGAACTGAGCTTGGGGAACATTTGAACAGATTGAGGTGATGTTTTTACCAAGGCCCAGGAGCGATGCTTCAGGCAGCTCCAGCTGTCCGCTCGGCCTGTATTTCCCAAATATTTTGGACCAGGAGTGCCAAAAGCAAGCCCCTGGTCCAAGACACTTGGGAAATATTGGCCATGAACTATTCTGGCCATTTAGGAAATACTGGCTGTAAACTATGCTTAACACCAAAGGAGGACCAATGGTAGCCACTTGGGCAACAGTAGACAGAACCATAGAGGAAGATCTTTGCCTTGAACTTGAAGTCACACTGCTCAGGTAACTGTTCTGCCAATCTGTGCATCTGTGACCTCTACCTTCCCATTGCAATCAGGAGCCAAGGTCCAAAGATCACGGTTAGACCCCACTCTGCTTGTGACTCATGCATGACACAGGGCAGGCCATTACCCTACCGTTCTGGATGAAGGCAATAATCGTGTTTGACCTCTCCCTGCCTCGTAATGCTGACTCGGAGGATTAATGAGGAAATGAGAGCTAAGCTTTGTGAATGCCAGCCTTGTTCTCACGCTGGCTCCTCTGATTATTCCACAAAGCCAATGAGAAATAGCAAAGGTCAAAATTCTCTGTGAGGTTGAATATTCATGTTGCAGGAGGCGCCTCTCCAGGTATGGTTCTGCGCTCATGATCTGTGTGTCTCTGGTGCCAGGCCCCAGGGGGCACACTTACAAAAGGTGTACGGGGTGACGGTGGTGGTGGCATGGGTGTGGCATCTCCAGGTGCAGGCCACATGCCTGGGGTGTTTCACATGGCAAGTCAGCCACAGAAATGGGTCTTGCTGGGCCTTTTGGAAGCTTCCAGTGGTGCACCTCACAGACTGAACAGCCCCTCTCAAGATGAGGGTTACCATAAGCAATGCCATCATCTGTCTCACTGAGATGCTGCTACTCAACATTGGCTCCTCTTGTTTTCCACAGTCAACCTTCATATGTAATTTAATTTTGCTCTCTCTTCTGGTCAGTTGACAAACCCCGCAACACCATCTCTAGGATGCCATGGCTGAGGCCAGAGCTCTAGGAGGGCAGGAGCAGGGAAGCAGATGGGACAGTCGGCTGTGGCCCTGCTTCATGCAGCCAGCTTGGAGGAGCTGCTTCCCTCGGTGCTGTGGATTTTTTGAGTTAAAATTGAGAGCTTCCGGCCGGGCGTGGTGGTTACAGCTGTAATCCCAGCACTTTGGGAGGCCGAGGTGGGTGGATCACGAGGTTAGGATTTCAAGACTAGCCTGTCCAAGATGGTGAAACCCCGTCTCTACTAAAAATACAAAAAATTAGCCAGGTGCGGTGGCAGGCACCTGTAATCCCAGCTACTCGGGAGGCTAAGGCAGGAGAATCACTTGAACTTGGAGGGCAGAGGCTGCAGTGAGCTAAGATCGCACCACTGCACTCCAGCCTGGGCGACAGAGTGAAAAAAAAAGAGAGAGAGCGAGAAAGAAGAAAGAAAGAAAGAAAGAAAGAAAGAAAGAAAGAAAGAAAGAAAGAAAGAAAGAAAGAAAGAAAGAAAGAAAAAGAAAATTGGGAGCTTCCTTGGTAAAAGGTCTGGACAGCATCAAACTGGTTACCTCCAAATCATCAGACTTAGGGGTAGAACAGATTATTTCCAATTTAAGTTCGTTTGATAAGTAGTCACTCACATGGTTCAAAAATCAAAATAATATAAATTAGATATGATGGGAAATCTTGCCCACCTCTACCCTGGTTCACCCAGTCCCTCTGCCATACCCCTATGGGAAGCTACTTTTATTAGCTTCTTATGCATTCTTCTAGTATTTCTTTATGCAGATTCAAATATGTATTTTCATGCTGCCACCACCGTTAAGCACACAAAAGTTAGCATATGGTATTCCCTGTGTATCTGTCAGAATCTGAATAGGAAGCAAACGGCATGCTCCAGCCGGATAACTGAGGAAGGTTTAACTGTTCACAAGGGTGTGTGGACTAGGTGTGCAGGAGGCAATGAGGAACAGGGCTGGCAAATGCAGGGGAGTCAGAGGGGGGGGGGTGCCAAGGAGTAAATACCCCCACCTCGCTCCCTTTCCACTCTCTGGGCCTTCCGCAGGGCCCCCATTGGCCAATCCCTACCAGAAGTCATAAGGCAAGGAGGCCTGGCAAGGAGGCCTGTGGATGCAGTCTTTACAAGTCAGCCTCCGGACACAGAGCATTATGGAGGCAGGTATGGACAGCTCAGGGGTCCCGTGGAGAATGCATAGCACACCCTCCAGGGACACTGCCTTTGATTACCTGACAGTGTATCCTGGAGATCTTTCCATATTACTCATGAGTTAGATTTTAACATTGCTCCTGTTCCACTTGATCACCTTCTGCCCAGCATTGCCAGTGCACTTCTCCCAGGACAGCTGCTGCGCACCACTGCAGAGGGTATTACACCATCCGGCCATCACATGGCCTAGGTCCCAGTGTCCACCAGCCTGCTGGAGTAATCCTTTCCTTCAAAAGCCAAACATAGATCTCCGGCCCCCTTGTACATCCCTGTCAGCAGGCCAGTGCTCTTCTGGGTACTTCCAAGAAATGTTAGGGTGTCACAGTCTCCTCGCAGTCGCCTGACCGCCTCCCTGCTCCTCCTTGCCTCTGGCTCTTGGGCCATTCCTTTGCACACCACAGGCTCACAGGCTTTGCCTGAGCATGGACAGAGCTCTCCCCACCCCATGCAGTGCCTCCAACCCATAGCACATGTGAAACACTCTGCCCTTGGGGCATATGGACAGCAGAGGGTATTAAGGCACAGAGAAGGAACACAGTTAACATCTATCAACAGTCCTCACTGCTGGCAAAATTCATTGTTGGCCCTGCCCCAGGGAGTTCTTTCTTGGCCATCTGTTTCCCTGGGCTCCTGCTACTGCCATTGCTGGGCCCTCCCCTCCCATCCTTCCTCCATTTCCTTTCTCCGTGGAGACCCAGCCCCACGCCACACTGCCTGTCCTCCTGCAGTTCGGCTGCTGCCTCTTTCTTCTACTGTCTTATACGAAGCAACTGAGCTCCCACTTGCCTCGCAGTCTCCCACAACTATGAGTCCAATAACTTGTTCTGTTTCTTCTTTTTAAAAATGTTATGTGTTTATATTTTAGAGATGGGGTCTCATTATGTTGCCCAGGCTGGTCTCAAACTCCTGGCCTCAAGCATTCTTCCTGCCTCCACCTCCTGAGTAGCTGAGATTAGAGGGGTACACCACCACACCCAGCAATTAACTTGCTCTCTCAAACCAAAGGGCTGTTTTCTCTCTAGCTGATTCCTGCTAAACCCCTATCCACATTATCCACTGGAAACATAACATGGGCCATAGAAGTAATGCTAGATATTCCACTAGCTATGTTTAAAACATTAAAAGGAAGAGGTGAGATTAATTTTAATATATTCTACTTAACCCAATACATACAAAATGTTATCTTTTCAATGTTTATGCAAAAGAAAATTATAATGAGATATTTTCATTCTGGCAGATCATGAGCTATTTTAAATTTGGTGCGTAGTTTGCACTTAACAGCACATCCCCCTTCGCACAAACCGCTTTTCTAGTGTTCTGTAGCCACATGTGGCTAGTGGCTACGATATCAGGCAGAAGGGCCCTAGAATGCAGAAAGACCTATAGCTAGCTTTTTCTAAACAACCAGATGCCCACCCTCCACCACTCAGCGGATACAGTGAGTTCATGCTAATGAACAATGTATATTTCATTGCCCTTGCTTCTCTCGCCATGAAAACCTCTATGCCCCCTCGTAGCTCACTGAGACGTTTCCAGAGATGAGTTTAATGATCTTTGTCCCGGACTCTTGTGTCTTTGTCTCCTGCTCTGAGGCCAGAACCCCACCTCAGCTGCTGTTTCCAGAGCCTCTGGGGAGTGTCGGCACTGCCCCCAGGACATTGGCTGTGTTCTTCCAGGTGCTCCAGTGGCCTTAGCCTGTGAGTCCTCATTGTACCAAAGCTACTCCATGTACCTCTGGGCAGGAGGAGAATGCCATGCTCCCTAACTCCTTGTCACACCAAGTCAGCAGGGCCCCCCCAGTGGTGTTGTTTGAATCTAAACTCACAGTGGAAACAGCTCCTTTAGGAGGACTGAGGTAAGAATCAATATTTGAGACAGGCAACATTTATCCCTGCTACTCCTTTCTCTTTTCAAGCAGCTGTGCAAACCTCCTTTCCTTGTCTCATTTATGTTCATTAGTATGTGGAAAAAAATGGGAAGAGGCAACACAGTGTTTCCTAAAGTAGTTTCCTAGGATGTTACTTTGCTTTTACTAGAGGGGGTCCTTTATCAAATAAATAAGTGCTGAGTTAGGCAGGTATCTGAACTATGGATTTCAAGCCTTTGGTACCATAATGTGTGCTCTATTATCCATAGTATACAGCATCTTTCAACTCTTCTGACTGTGGGACTCCCTTTTCTGTAGCTTATTATGAAGGATGAGAATTTCGATAAATGTTTTTTCAGTGTCCTGATAAATACATGAAAATCTCTCTCTAAGTCTAGTTAGAAGTTTCTCTTCTTCCTGAGAGCCCTGGTAGAAGCGGGGTTTTGGGAAACAGTTCTCAACCCCTTGGACACTAGACATCCTGCTCCACCCCCAGCTCTGTACTCTGTGTCTGTACACTCTGCAGGGCCACCATGCACCTGCCCCTACCCCCACCAGTTCCCAAGCAGATATCTGATTGATGCAGGGATCTGAAATCCCCAAACACTGAGCTCAAGCCAGACTCTGGGGACTTGCTTTCTAAGCAAAAACCTGTTGCTGCTACATGTCCTGAAGGCCCTGAATACAGCTCCCTCTCTCATTTGCTTATCTTTAAAATATTTTTGATTTTTAATTTTATGAATTAATCTACACTTATTAGCATTTAAAATAATAAATCTCCCTGACATCTGATTGGCTGCCCAGAAATAACAGCTATTATCAGTCTGGACTTCAACCTCCACTTCTTCCTATGAGTTTATTCACAGTGTAAGTACCTATGAAAATACAGGTTTTGTTTTGTGTGTGTTTTTTTTAATGTAGCACATTGTATGTATTTTTCTGCAGCTTTTTAAAAAACGTGATGTCTTAGAGCTCTTTTTACATCAGTACATGTCAGTAACTCTGTTTTCAACTAGGCCATGGAATTTCTTAATATTGATCTGACCATTCGCTAACTGATGACCATTTAGAGTGTTTCCAATTTTCATATTTGCAAACAAATTTGTAGTAAATGTCTTTGTGTACACAGATGAGCATATCTCTATAGTTCAGAACCACAATATGGATGATTAAATTAAAGGTGATGCATATTTAAATTTTATAGATATTGCCAAATTGCCCTCCAAAATGACTGTACCAATTTACCCTCCCATAGAATAGTACAGAGAACCCATTTCCCCACATCCCAGACAATTGTTAGAATCATCACATTTTAAATTATTTGGTGAAGTTGTAACCACCTGATGAGTTTCCTGCCTGCTGCACAAATAAAGAGCATGGCATTGCAGTGAAGAAAGAGGATTAATTGATGTGAGGCTGGTCATGCCACCTGGGAGATGGAATTATTACTCAAATCAATCTCCTCAAGATTCATAGGTTAGGAGTTTTTCAAAGGTAGTCTTGGGGAAGGGGTTGGGGTGGCTATGCAATGGGTGCTTGCTGCTGTTTGGTTGGGTTGGAGATGAAATAATGAGGAGTTGAAGCTGTTCTCTTGTGCTAAGTTGCTTCTGGGTGGGGCCACAGGAGCCATCAGTATCAGATATGCAAAAAACCTGAAAAGATATCTCAAAAGGCCAATCTACAATAGTGATATTATTTGCAGGAGTAATTGGGGAAGTTGCATATATTGTGCCCTCCAGAATAATGGGTGGCAATCTACACCTTAGCACAGGGGTGTCCAATCTTTTGGTTTCCCTGGGCCACATTGAAAGAAGAGGAGTTGTCTTGGGCCACACATAAAATACACTAACACTAACAATAGCTGAGGAGCAAAAAAAAAAAAAAAAGTCACAAAAAAAATCTCATACTGTTTTAAGGAAGTTTATAATTTATATTGGGCCACGTTCAAAGCCTTCCTGGGCCACATGCAACCCAACTAGCTTGCCTTAGCAGAATTCAGGCTCCTCTTCTCCTCCTAGCCTGGTGGCCTTCCATTTGCTTTATAAAGGTGATTGAGTTTTGCGGAAGGGCTATTATCATTTAAACTATAAACTAAATGTCTTCCAAAGTTAGCTCAGCTGCTTAAAAACTAAAGGCTGGCTAGATCAAATCTTCCCCACTGCCATAATTTTCTCAGTGATATAATTTTTATAAAGGCAGTTTCAAAGTGAGGGTGAAGAGAGGTAGGAGAGCAAAATATTTAAGAGGCAGCATCCCAAAAGGCAGGCCCCTGGTCCAACAGGCAAGTTGGACCCAACTCTCAGGGAAACAGGGTTAACAGAGCAAACTGAAGAAGACTTTAAAAGCAGTGCAGTTAATATCCCCAGAGGAAATAAGGAGGACATTACATCCATATAAAAGTAGGCTGATATGAAACTAGAAACAATTAGAGGGAGTAGAAACAAAAGTTTGACTATTCAAACTTTTAAAAACCTTAAGAGTTGAGATGAAACTGCTGAAGAGCAAGTGATAACTTGTAAAGTCTGGTTGAAGTTTTTACCAGAAAGGGCACACAAATGGACAAAGATGTAAAGGGTGTGAGAAGATAATTAATAGACATAGGTCTAGAAGTTTGAACATTCATCTAATAGGATTCTCAGTAGGAAAAAAATAATAATCAAAGAAATAATAAAAGGAAACTACCCTGAACTGAAGAAACACTGGCAAGAAAAATCAAAGTAGACCCACACTTCAACACTGATTTTTTTCACTTTGTCTTCAAAATCTTTTCATATTAGAATATAAACATCATTCTACCTCATTATTTCTGATGGTTGCATAGAAGTCCATAATGTGTGCATGTACAAATACACACCTCATAATGTATTTAATTATTTTTCTGTTCATGAACACTCACGTGATTTCCAATTATCACTGTTACAAACAATGGTCCAATGAATACCCTTGTACCTACATTTTTTTTCTTTTTTTTTTGAGGCAGAGTCTCACTCTGTTATCCAGGCTGAAGTGCAGTGATATGATCTTGGCTCACTATAACCTCTGCCTCCTGGGCTCAAGGAATTCTCATGCCTCAGCCTCCCAAGTAGCTGGGACTATAGGTGTGCACCACCACACTGGGCTAATTTTTGTATTTTTAGTAGAGTTGGGGTTTTGCCATGTTGCCCAGGTTGGTCTTGAATTCTTGGGCTCAAGCGATCCACCTGCCTTGGCCTCCCAAAGTGCTGGGATTACAGGCATGAGCCACCGTGCCTGGCCACATCTTTGTGGATATGGGTGAATATTTCTGCAGAATGGATTCCTAGTAATGTTTTGTTTTGTTTTGTTTTTCCTTTAATATAGAGCCTTGCTCTGTCGCCCAGGCTGGAGTGCAGTGGTGCAATCTTGGCTCACTCCAACCTTCGCCTCTCGGGTTCAAGCAACTCTCCTGGCTCAATATCCCAAGCAGCTGGGACTACAGGCACTCACTATAATGCTCGGCTAATTTTTTGTCTTTTTGTAGAGACAGAGTTTTGCCATGTTGGCCAGGCTGGTCTCCAATTCCTGACCTCAAGTGATCCACCCAAAGTGCTGGGATTACAGGCATGAGTCACCGCACCCAACTCCTAGAAATGTTAATGCTAAATTGCATTTAAATTTTTTATTTATAGCGGCTGCCAAGATGCCCACTGGAAGGCTGTAACAAATGACATTTATGAAATTGCTGATTTATCATATCATAGACAACACTGGATTTTAGGGCACATTTCTTTTGTGTCAATTTGATGGGTGAAAAGTATAATTTGCATTTATCTAATAATATGTAAGATTGAGCTCTTTTCACCTATTTGTTAACCATATTCATATTCTCTTACGTAAATTTTCTGTGCTCTTTATCCATTTTCCTATTAGATTTATTGCCTTTAAAAAATGAATTTTAGAAGCTTGCCTTGTATTCTTTCTCAGCTCTCAATGGGTCCTTTTCTATCTGACATCTTTCTTTAGCACTAGGACATTTTCTTCTACTGTATCCTTTTTATTTCCTTCTATTCATTCTCTGGTTCTCTCCTCTGGAAATCCTATAAGAAACATATATCAATGTTTGCTTCTATACTTCATATCACTTAACTTTAAACAAGATGGCATCTCTTTATTTTCTTTCCTAATACATTTGGGAAGAATCCTTTAGCTTGATCTTCCAGTTTACTAATTTGGTTTTCATTTGTCTAGTCAGCTCATTTCTTGAGTTTTTTTTTTTTTTTTTTTTTTTTTTTTTTTTAATGGCAGTCCTGGTTTTAATTTCCAAGGATTCTGATTGTCTCTTTTTCATAGAGACTTTATTTACTTTTAAATGGATGTGCTATTCTCTTAACTCTCTCTGGCATATTCATTTTAGTTACTTAAAAGTTTCTTATGTTTTAGGTATAAATTCTACTTTCTCAGAGTCAGTTCTATTTTTGTGTTTGGTGCTTCTTTCAGGCTCTGGCTTTTCTGAAATATCTGGCAATTCCTGCCTGTCTGTTGATGTTTGTAGATGAACATATGGACTGAAGAGTGTTGGTGGCTGGAGGACATTTCCTTACTCCACGTGAGAATGCTATTGCTGTGGCAGGGAATGTAGCTTCTTATATAGGAGCTAGCCTCGGGTTCCTGTGTGTGTACAGGGGAACCGTTATGGACAGCGGAAGGGAACTAGCACAACCATCCTGCAGACCACCCCTAACTCGCCCTTTCTCCTAGCGCTTATTGCTTCCTTCTGGAATTCTGGGCAGGGAGGATTCACTCTGTGATGATTTGCATTCAGCTCTGCAGCATGACAGCCTCTGTTTCACTTCATCATCAGTCTGTTCTTTCCTGTTTCCCAGAAGTTCCTTAATCTCCTAGACATTGACCCTACTCCTGACTGTCCACAACCACTACCACTCAATTTTTATTTTTGTATTTCCTCTGTCGTTTCCGTGAGATTTGGGGAAGAAAAGAGGCAAACATCATTGTGTCCTTAGCTATGTTGAAGTGTAAAACACTTATTCTACATTTAGAATTATTTCATGAGAATAAGTTGCCAGAAGTAGGGTTACTGGATCAAAAAGCAGGAATATTCTTAAAGGTGTTGATACATATTTACAAACTGTTTGCTAGACTGAGTAGTAGAACAGAGGGAGGGCGGTGGCTTTGGCAGGGAGATGGCTGGGTTACAATCTCAGTTCCTTCACTTGCCAGTTGTGTAACCTGAGTTAGGGAACCACTCTGAACCTCAGTCTCCTCATCAGTGAATCGGGGATGGTAATGGAACCAACATTTAAGAATGCCGTATGGACAAATTGTGTCAAGCATCTTCACCAGGACCCAGCCTATAAAGGTGTTTGATAAATGGTGTGAGTCAGCGTTTTTTCAAATAAGTGGTTTGTCAGCATCAAAAAATTGTGGATTCAATCAGGTGCTTGGGAAGCCATTCCCTTTCACGGCCACTGGCATTTCATGCTCTCAGATAAATCACTTCCCAGCTTGGTATCTCTATTTCCAAAGAAAGAAGCCCCCTTCCTACCTGCCTTTCTGTGAAGCCTTCTGTGAAGATTCACTATTATTTATAAAGCCCCTAGAAATGTTCAGAAAAGAATCTTTTTTCATCCTTGGGGGTATTTTAATGAAGGGTCCTGAGCCCCTGCCTCTAGCTCCAGAGTCGCTACAAGATATATTCCTCTTTCTGAGATCTGTCAGGTATAAACTACTGTGGGAGAAAATGTCTGGTCCTTATTCTGGGCCAAATTCCGGAAATTTAATATCTTCCTCAGTTGGGGTGTTGTTCTTACAACTTCCTTTTCCTATTTGACAACTTCTTAATAAGAAATCTCCAGCAAATCTACTCCAGGGAGGCAGTCTGAACCTTCACCACATGCCAGTCCAGGATGCCAGGAGCTGAGTGTTTCTTGTATGCCCAGCCCATAAGAAGGGCTGGAGGTAGCTCTCGCTGGAAACTCTGAGGCCACTGGCCCAGGGGGCCAATGACCTCAGGGTATTAGGAAGCATAAGGATGAGAATATTTAAAGAAACCAACTCAATGGCAAAGAGACAGAGAGAAAAGCTTCTGGAATTAAGGCAGGCCCAGTGCAATGGTCAGCCAGGGCCAGCACTATGAAAGGTCATTGAGGCAAGGTTCTGGCAGAGTGGATGAGGCAAAGTAGGCTGGGAAGGGAAGAGGAGAGCTCATTTGGAGAAGTAACAGGAAAAGTTATAGGGCAACCACAAGGCCTAAAGAATCTTATTTTAATTTTATTGTTTTATTTTATTTTTAGTAAGCAGTAAAAAATTAAAAACAAAAAATCAAGGTGCAGGGCATGAACTTGACCAGCACCTGGCCTTTGCACGGTAAGAGCCACCACTGTTTAAGGATCTCTTCCCTTCTTCCTCTTTCCTAGCTCCACTTTCACTGGGGCTGGTGGCCACCAAACTGGAAGGGGGCTGGATGGAGGTAGGTGGGGCCATCGGGAAGTGCCTTGCAGAGGCTAAACAAGAAGAAGTCAAGGAGGATGCAGGGTATGGGTGAATGCCTCAAGGAGAATAGGGATTCATTCACCAAAGAGACCCTTCAGTCCCCCATCCCTTAGCCCCTATCTGGACACAGTTGGCCTTTCCCTCTGCTCCCCGAAGGGCTGTGCAGCTAGCACAGGAGAGTGCTACCTGGGAGCTGAGTATTCCTTGACTTCCTGCTGGTGAGATAGGAAACAGGCACAGAAAGATTAGGTAACTTGCTCAAAGTCACACAGCTAGGAAGGGGGAAGCTGGCATCATACCCAGGTAGTTTCTAAAGTTTCTGCAAGGTATAAGTACAATATCCCAAGAAGCTCTAGGAAAGCATTACCAAAGGTTCCCAGAGGGCTCTCAGAGCATCTACGTACTGTGAGCAAAGTGGTCCAAAGCAGAAAGGCCTATATACGGCTGGATTGGAGAGCAGGGAAGGATGGCTGTGAGCAAGTTAAGTCATAGCCCTTGGGAAATGTATTCTCACTGTACTGTCCCCAGTCAATTGCAAATTCTCTTCATATTTGGGAGGATTTGTATTAGTCATTCTCACACTGCTATAAAGAAATACCTGAGACTGGGTAATTTATAAAGAAAAGAGGTTTAATTGACTCAGTTCCACAGACTGTACGGTAAGCACTACTGGGGGGCCTCAGGAAACTTACAATCATGGCAGAAGGCAAAGAGGAAGCAGACATATCTTACATGGTCAAGCAGGAGGAAGAGAGCAAACAGGGAGATGCTACACACCTTTAAACAACCAGATCGCGTGAGAACTCAATCACTATTTTTTTTTAAATTATTATACTTTAAGTTTTAGGGTACACATGCACAACGTGCAGGTTTCTTACATATGTATACATGTGCCATGTTGATGTGCTGCACCCATTAACTCGTCATTTAGCATTAGGTATATCTCCTAATGTTATCCCTCCCCTCTCCCCCAACCCCACAACAGTCCCCGGTGTGTGATGTTCCCCTTCCTGTGTCCATGTGTTCTCATTGTTCAACTCCCACCTATGAGTGAGAACATGCGGTGTTTGGTTTTTTGTTCTTGTGATAGTTTGCTGAGAATGATGGTTTCCAGCTTCATCCATGTCCCTACAAAGGACATGAACTCACCATTTTTTATGGCTGCATAGTATTCCATGGTGTATATGTGCCACATTTTCTTAATCCAGTCTATCATTGTTGGACATTTGGGTTGGTTCCAAGTCTTTGCTATTGTGAATAGTGCCGCAGTAAACACACGTGTGCATGTGTCTTTATAGCAGCATGATTTATAATCCTTTGGGTATATACCCAGTAATGGGATGGCTGGGTCAAATGGTATTTCTAGTTCTAGATCCCTGAGGAATTGCCACACCGACTTCCACAATGGTTGAACTAGTTTACAGTCCCACCAACACTGTAAAAGTGTTCCTATTTCTCCACATCCTCTCCAGCACCTGTTGTTTCCTGACTTTTTAATGATCGCCATTCTAACTGGTGTGAGATGGTATCTCATTGTGGTTTTGATTTGCATTTCTCTGATGGCCAGTGATGGTGAGCATTTTTTCATGTGTTTTTTGGCTGCATAAATGTCTTCTTTTGAGAAGTGTCTGTTCATATCCTTTGCCCACTTTTTGATGGGGTTGTTTGTTTTTTTCTTGTAAATTTGTTTGAGTTCATTGTAGATTCTGGATATTAGCCCTTTGTCAGATGAGTAGGTTGCAAAAATTTTCTCCCATTCTGTAGGTTGCCTGTTCACTCTGGTGGTGGTTTCTTTTGCTGGAGAACTCAGTCACTATTACAAGAACAGCAAGTGGGATGTCTACCCCCATGATCCAATCACCTCCCACCAGGCCCCTCCTCCAACACTGGGGATTGCAATTAGACATGAGATTTGGGTGGGGATATAAATCCAAACGATATCAAGGTTAATAGTGAAAAAAATGGACAAGGAATTATTTCATTTTTCTGTAGGGCAGGTCTGCTAGTGATAAATTCTGTCACTTTTTGTTAATTTGGAATATCTTAATTTTGACTTCATTTTTGAAAAATAGTGTTGATGATTATAGAATTCCTAATTGACAGTTTTTTACTTTCAGCATTTTGAATATGTTATTGTGCTGCCTTCTGACCTTCATTTCTGATGAGAAGTCCGTTATTCGTCTTATTAAGAATCCCTTTTTTTTTCCGGTTTCCAAGATTTGTCTGTGTTACGTCTTGGTGTATATTGACTTGAATTTGTCTTGCTTGGAGTTTATTGGGCTTCTTGGATGTGTAGATTAAAAGTTTTTCATCAAATTTGAGTTTTTAGCCATGATTTCTTCAAATAGTGTTTTGCACTTTTTTTCTTCTCTCCTTCTGGGATTCTATTATACATATATTGGTACACTTGATGGACTCCTACTGGTTTTTGAAGCTCTGTTCATTTCTCTTTATTCTTTTTTCGGTCTCTTGATCAGAATGGATAGTCTCAATGGACTTATCTTCAAATTTACTCATTCTTCTGCTAGCTAAAACCTGCTGTTGAGCCTCTCTAATGAATTTTTCATTTCAGCTATTGTACTTTTTGACTCCAGAATTTCCACCTGGTTCTTTTTTATAATATTTGTCTTTTTATTGAAATTACCTATTTGGGGCAGGACATTGTAATATTTTTCTTTATTCCTTAAGACATGGTTCTTTGAACATGTTTATAATAGCTGATTTAAAGTCTTCATTTGGTGATCCAATATAAGGCCTCCTTTATGAATAGTTTCTGCCAATTGCTTTTTTCCCTGGATATTAACTATACTTTTCCATTTCTTTCATGTCTTATAATTTTTGTTGAAAACTAGACATTTTAGATAATATGATGTGATAGTCTGAAAATCAGATTTATTCTCTTCCCAGGATTTATTGTTGTTATTACTGTTTACTGAGTGACCTTCCCGGATTACTTCTCTGAAGTCTGTATTCCTTGTAGTGTGTGGCCACTGAAGTTTCTACTCAGTAGCTTAGTTGTCAGTTAATTATTGGTCAGAAGTTAGTTTAAATTCCTTGAACCAATAAGTCTTCTATCCTTCCCAAGGGACTGTGTGTGTGTTGAGGCATGCTTCCAATACACAAGCAGTTTACCCCTCAGCCGTAGCTTTCCTGTTTTGCTTGTGCAGAGCTTCGAGGTAAGCCAGAGATGAGAGATGAGGCCCTTTCATTTTTTTTCCTAGGCATGTGCATAGTTCTGGATATGCATGTGGTTTTCTGGATTGCCAGGGATCTGTCAAAACTTTTCAAAATGTGTTATGGACATCTCATTTCCTAAATCTTTCTTTTAAATTTTTGGCCTGCTCTTTAGTGTGGATGCTTTAGGGATGGGATTTTTTTTAGATGTTCTAAACCCCAGCTGGTAGCTCCAAGGCTGCCAGTTTTTGTAGTTACAGTAGAGCTAGGCAGTGATTGTTGGGAGTAGGTCAGGTCGCAAAGCCATAAACTGACCAACCTGGGCAATATAGCAAGACCTCATCTCTATAAAAACAAAATTAAATTAAAAAAATTAGTCAAGTGTGGTGGCATGGGCCTGTAGTCCCAGCTCCCTGGGAGGCTGAGGTGGGGGGATTGCTTGAGCCTAGGAGTTTGAGGTTACAGTGAGCCATGATTGCACCACTGCCCTTCAGCCTGGGTGACAGAGTGAGACCCTGTCTTTAAAAAAGTAAAACAAAGTAAAGCCATAAATTGCTACTCTTATGGAGGTTCAGTAGTTCTTCTTAAGTAAACTTGTATTGTTGCAAGCTTTTGGTTGATTTTTGGAGTTAAGAAAAAGTTAATTTTAACAATTTTTTGCCAGTGTTTTCATTGCTTTTATGAAGAAACAGATTTATGAAGGTTCTCACTCTGCCATTCTGGTCCTCTATTAATTTACATTCAGCAGTTTATCCTTTTTTGTTAGTCTAACAATACCACTGTAGACATTCTTGTACACATGTCCTTTAAGCATTTGTCTGATTACTCTTAAATAAATTTTTCATGCTGGATCAAGGAGATAATGCTTGAAATTTTTATACCCCAGCAATGTAATAACAGTGTGGTCCCTTCAATAACACGCTCAACTCCTTTCCAGAATTGGGTTTGATCATTCTTTTACGTCTTTGCTGGTCTGATATGCAAAAGAATCATTTTTTGTTTGAATTATCATGTCCTTGATTACTAGTGAGAATAAATATCTTTTCCAATATTTGCCACTATTTGCTCTTCTTTTGTTTATATTATAGCTTTTCTCTATTCCTGTCTCCTCCCATCTCCCTCATTCTCCCCCACCACATCCCCCATGAAGAGCCTGAACTCTTTGAAAGGTTCAATTCCACTATTGCCTTATAAACCAATATATCTAAGTGCCAATGAAAAACTGTCTCAGACCAACTCAGAAATGCATGATGAAGTCATAACCAAAATGTCTTGGTGTAACAGATGTTACAGCTTCAGCATCAGGGGTGTTATTGCCTTGTACAATTGCTTGTGTGATCCCATTTTCCTGGGGTAGCACAGACGGCACTCCCAGCCTAACAGGAATCGGTTTTTCTGCTTTATGATGCACTCTAGAACCGCTAATTACGTCCATCTCACCCCCAGCTATTTGTTATCTCTTTCCTTCTCCAGACTGAGAGATGGAGGAGGGAAGTCAACCTGGCTTGTCCGAGGGGTGCAGGATAGCCTGCAGGAGCCCTGCCCAGACTTTGAATGTAACTCTCCCAGTCACAGCTTTTCAGGGGCCATCTCACCTGAGTCACCATGGGGACAAAGTACAGGAGGAACTTGCCTTACCCTGCTCATGGGAGACTCCATCACAAGATCGTGTCTCCTGCAGGAACAGGGGGCCCAGGAGACTCAGGATCCCACTCTGGCTCTGCCTAGAGTGTCGCATCCTAGAGAACAGGAGGATACCCTCGGGCAGCCCTTGCCTCTTACAGAATCAACACGGTCAACAGGAAGATGAGAGGCGGGACTGGCTGGCTTGAAGTCCTGTCCAGCCCAGCCACTTATGATTGGGTTACCAATGAACACCTAGCCCCTGCGTGAATATTCAGAGGTTGGTGAAGTGCACCCTCCTCAACCCTCACCTCCTGCTACCCACACAGGACACCAGTCCTCAGTTTGGTCTGGGGAGTCAAGCTGCCTGAGCTTGAATCCCACCTCCACTTTCTACTGGCTATGTGACCTTGGGCAAGTTATTTAAGCTCTCTGCTCCTCAGTTTCCTCACCTATAAAATGGGGACAATGCTATTACCTACCTCAGACAGTTGCTGGGAGTGGTTCTAAGAGAGGTAACAGATATACAGTGCTTCCAACTGTGACTGATAGACAGTAACCACTCAAAAAATGTTAGCAATCAAAACGCTTTAGAGTTTAGCCACTGCTCCTAGCCCTGCCCTCTGCAGCCATTGTCTATCTCAACAGCAGGAAATCTGCTAGGGCTGGGGCACACTGAGCACTGTGCCAGGATGCCCACCACCTGGGGATGGGTGAGGAGATGGGCTGGTGGAACCCTGGAACCCTGCTCCTGCACTGTTTCCTGGGAGAAGAATTTGTGCCTGCTCCCAAGTGCAATATATGGAGCCCCATGACTTAGAGTCAGAAAGATATGCCTTTAAGTGCCTGCTCCTTATTGACTCTCCATGAGACCTTCATAAGGGTGAATTCCTTAAGCTCTGGGTGTCGATTTGTTCATTTTGAAAATGGAAATCAGAGTATGCACCACTTGCTGTGTTAGGGGAAAGATTAAATTGCTAATGCCTAAGACCTGATAAACACCACTGGCACCACACTAAGGATTCATCTTGGGTCGTAAAAAGTGACATTCTGCTCTTATCATAAAGAGCCCCCCGCCCCACCTCCACAACCCTATTTCGAATAAAGGACATACCAGTTTCTGCAAATTTGGTCTTATTTAAAGCCAAGCAGAGGTGGCTTTTATGTGATGTGACATAAAAATTCAGACTGAGCCCTGTTTTGCTTTCTCTTTTGGCTGCTAACTTGACCTAGCTGCCTTTCTTCCCCTCACACCACGGGAGTTCGGGTTGCCAGGTAAAATCAGCACAAGTCTAACACTTCCTGTCAGCTCAACCTGAGTTTCTTCCACTTATGCTGTCTGCAGTGGCTTCGGCATCCCGAGCCAAGGGGCCAAGGGTGATGTGTGGCTGTGCTGACACATCCCCTTCCCCTTGAGTAGCCCTGGGACCTGGGATGCGGGAGAGGGAGCAAGTGAGCCAGTGCTCAGAGAACAGCCACCTACAGACCCCTAGGCAGGAGACCCCAAAAGGCCGCACTTAGCCTCCACAAAGAACCAGGCCCTCTTCCTCAGCGGAACCATTTCCAGAACGCAAAGCATCCTCTGGGGAGGTCCAGCTGCTGTGCCTTTGCCACTTCTCAGTGCTGAGCTGGTTTGGCAGGGAATGTGGCAGGCAGCAGTTGGCAGTCACAAGGGTCAGAGGAGCATTCTGTGGCATTTATACAGAGTCACGTTTCTGACTTGACTGAAAGTAGAATCTTTAATAATATATAGGTTTTAAGTGACTGAGGGTTGCTCTTGCCAAATCCTAGCATAAAGCATATTTTTACAGCTGGGATGATAAATCCCTGAAAGACGGCACTTACCATGGAAACGCTGACACAGCCTTTCATTCCCTTCACAGTGATTAAAATCCTTATTTCAATTTGTTTTTCTTTATTTTGAGCTAGAGTCATTTGCAAGCCCAGGAATACATCTCTCTGTGAAAGAAAACGAAATGCTGCCCTCTGTCAGAAATAAAATGAAACTGTTCTTAACTCACTGCAGTGGTACAAATCTCGCCTTGAAGAATCATGAAAACCCAGGAAATCAGGCTTTCTAGCCAGAGTAGAAACTCCTGCAGAACTTACCTTGTTTCCTAGGGAAAGTAAGACAGAGACAGGAAGGCAGGCAACCAACGGTGTGTTATCAAACCAGGGGCCACTATGGGCATCTGGAGATTTAGCCTTTGAGGAATTCCGGGAGCCATTGCAGCCAGTGCACATCAGGACCATCCTGCCTACAAGGTGGGATGCTCTGGGGTGTTTGTTCGCCAGTTCCCACCAGTCACTGGTTTCAAGCTGCCGCACATCAGTGCTTATGCATTTCTGGCCTGCTGCTCATTGCGGGCTCCAATGGCCAGAGGGAGCCCTCAGGCAAAGAGATGCAGATTTGGCAGTTGGAGGCCCAGCCCTTGTGCTGGTGAGGCTTGAGTGCATATAGGGAGCCCTGATCTGTCCACTGATCCCACTCTCCATTATCCCTTTTATGCTTCTTTGGACTGTTTTATTTGCAAGTATATTTAATATGGTTTGGATGTTTGTCCCCTCCAAATCTCATGTTGAAATGTAATCCGCAGTGTTAGAGGTGGGGCCTAGTGGAAGGTGTTGGGGTCAAGGGGGCAGATCCCTGATGAATGGCTTGGTGCCCTCCCCATGGTAATGAATGAGTTCTCAATCTTAGTTCACAGGAGAGCTGGCTATTTAAAGGAGGCTGGCACCTCTTCCTCCCTCTCTTGCTCACTCTCTCGCCCTGTGACATGCTGGCTTCCCTTCCCTCCTGCCATGACTAAAAGCTTCTTGACGCCTCATCAGAAACCAAGCAGATGTGGGCTCCATGCTTCTTGTACAGTCTGCAGAACTGTGAGTCAAATAAACTTCTTTTCTTTATAAATTACCCAGTCTCAGGTATTCCTTTATAACAACACAAAATAAGCTAACACAATATTTCATTCCCTTGGGGTTCAGGGAATTCCCTCTGTTTATCCAAGTCTTATCATCCGTGCTGAACCAAAAGCTCAGTGATCCTACTAACCAAATGCCCAGGAATGTCTTTCTACCTTTCCAAATCTTGTAATTGGAAAATCCATAATTGACCTGGCCACATGTCTTAATTTGCCAGTGAGATCTCAGCAGTGTTTCTCATTTAATAGCTGATGTGGTCTCAAATTTCCCAACCTAACAAGGCTTCATTCAACTCTGCAGATCATATTAGAACTTGGCCTAATGAGACCTGAGCATTTCCCTGATTCTGCACATGGTCAGAGCTTGGCAACAGGGTTTTCCAGAGTGTTCCACAGATAATCAGTCTGGAGAGATATTCCTCAGAATGGGGATTCAGAGATGAGATAAGCCTGGTAACATCACTAGGTATAGCACCCTCTTAAAGATCATAAGGCCCACCAGGATATTAAAGGCTCTGAGAAGTCCTGCAGGGAATAAATCCAATTAGCTTTGTTTAACTCAATGTTTCCCAACTTATTTCATCACTGGACTAGTTCTTCACGAAACATCTATTATCATCCTGTAACATACCAGATATAGTACACTTAACTGGATTTGCCTTTTATTTGTTTTCCCCCCTTATTTTAGTGAATTTTAAAAATATTTTTATTATACAAGTATGACATGTTTTGTAGAAAGACTGGGCCGGAGGCAGTGGCTCACGCCTGTATTCCCAGCACTTTGAGAGGCCAAGGAGGGCAGATCATGTGGTCAGGAGTTCGAGACCAGCCTGGCCAACATAGTGAAACCCCATCTCTACTAAAAAAAAAAAAAAAAATACAAAAAATGAGCATGGTGGTGGGTGCCTGTAATCCCAGCTACTTGGGAGGCTGAAGCAGGAGAAGTGCTTGAACCCGGGAGGCAGAGTTTGCAGTGAGCTGAGATCGTGCTTTTGCACTCCAGCCCGGGCAACAGTTCGAGACTCCGTCAAAAAAAAAAAAAAAAAAAGACTGAAAAAATACAAATAAGGAAAAAAGGAAGAAAAGGCACCGTGACATAATTACTGTGAACATTTTGGGTTCCGGAAGCGCATGTGTCCATGTTTCAGCATTCCTTTGTGAGAAGCAGTTTTTACTATAACAAAAATTAATCTGTCTTCCCAGATTATATTCGGTTTTATGACCCTTGATTCTAAGTAGCAGATTTCATAAAAGAAAACACACATTCTTCTAGCCAGCAAAAGCCAAAGAACCATTCTGAATTATTTCCAAAACCCCAGGTGGAGGAAAATTCCTCTACCATATGTTGCACCTTTTATGGGAAGTGGCAGGCCAAGAAAATAAATGAATTGGTAGGAAGAGGAAAAAATGTGATTTCTCAACCATGGAAAAATATTTATTATAAAAAAGGCAATAATGAAATACACTCAAGAATTTGGAAGGTTGTCTTTGGAAGATGAGCCCAAAGGTGACTTTCTTTGCTGCTGTAAAATCAAAGCATAAAGATAAGTATTTTGTAAAGCATCCTCTCTCCCCCGACAAAACCAGTCACAGTGGGAGTTAAAGCAGAGTAGGGAACACCGTGTCTTGGTTGTGGGAGAGAGAGCCTTGCCTGGGAGGTGACACAGCCCCTGGGGTAGGGCCAGGTGCGTCTCTCCCAAGAAGCACTGGGCTTGCTGCATGACCTCCAGATGCGGCAAGCCATGTGTGGGGCCATGGGTGGCTGCAGGGGAAGCAGGAGGTACAGCTGGTCACAATGACATCAGAGCAGGCCGAGGAGGGAGCACCTTAATTACCCCTTTCACAAATGGTCCCTGAAAACCTGAGCATGTTTCTTTGCTAGGGGCTTTGCCCTGGCTATCTGTTCCTTCAGACTGGCATCATCTTTCAGGTCTGAGTTTAGAGAGGGCCTGTGAGGAACCCTAGAGCACATAGCATTGGGGCAGGGCCAATATTTGCCTGACTGCAAAACCTACAGTCTCAAGCTTTGAGCTCTCACAGGGTTTTCAGATAGTTACAGTTTAAGAAGGGAAGATTTCTGCCTTAAACTTGGCACGTATGTGCTATCTGAAGTCTTGGGGAGAATATCTGATGCATAACTCCAGATCTCCTTCTTTTCAAGATAATGGCGTGTCTGAAATGGCTGAAGACAACTCCGATTCTGTCCTTTGGGGACTGGAAGACCATTCTGGGGTTGGGGGTGGGTACAGGCTCTGTGGACACAGTCACAAGCCACAGCCCCCTTGCTGCTAGCCTGTGTCCCTTGCCCTCTTGCAGCAAGAGCCAGCCAGTCCTCCAAGCTCTGTGACAACACTGCACAAGGCATGGACCCAGAGGAAGCCCCTCCAAGCAGAGCCAGCTGCCCACCGATGATGGCCACTGAGTGCCAACCAGACGCCACACTGTCCTACTGCCAGAGGGGGAACCTAGAGAGAAACATTCACTTTCATTTTATCTCATCTTCTTGTGTCAACTCCTCAGAGCGCTATCCCTGACCCCCTATATAACACAGCATCCCGTGTCACTGTCAAACCCCTGATCCCTGTTTATTTTTCTTCTTAGCATTTATCACTCCCTCATATCATGGTGTCTCTCTCTCCCTCTCTCCTTAATGATAGGCAGGGACATGAACCATCTGTTCACCTTGATTCTCCAGCACCCAGAACACTACCTGGCACCAAAACATGCTCAATAAATATATGTTAGTT
Source organism: Homo sapiens (assembly GCF_000001405.40). Classification (NCBI taxonomy): domain Eukaryota; kingdom Metazoa; phylum Chordata; class Mammalia; order Primates; family Hominidae; genus Homo; species Homo sapiens. The sequence continues at coordinate 43,158,607 of NC_000003.12, read as the reverse complement.
GAACGTCTGCCTGTTCTTACAGTACGATGGGTACGTATCAGAGCTTCAGGAGTCCAGGTAAGGGCTGGTTGGGTATTCAGTCAGTTTGACTCCAGTCAGAATCCTGACTTCTTCTTTAGTTATTGCAGTAGGCGTCCGCTGTCAGAGCAGCAGTGGATGACACTGAGGGACCTGGGCTCTAGCCCCCTTCTCCTCTGTGACCTCCAGCAAGTCCCTTCCTCTCTGCCCATCAGCTTCCTCACTTAGAAAAAGAAGTGAGATGGACTCTAAATATCTTAGGGTAGGTTTCTATCCCCAAGGCAAGCACTAAAAGAAAAGTGGTTGATTAGGAAAGAAAACCAGTAGGGGAGTGGGAGGGTGGGTGTGACCAGCTAGGAGGAGGCCATGCAAGGGTGCAGTGTCAGGCAAAGTGCCCTGAAGGCTTCCCCTTGGCTACATCTTGCAGGGAACCCTGGCGACAGTGCAGGTCACACCCCAGAGTATCTTGGTCAGGGTGAGGCTGGAGCATGTACCCCTGCATTGTCATCCTTGGTCAAGTGCATCCCTAGAGGGCTGTAAATTCCAGGCATTTCCAGCCCTCCATAAGCACAGGCAGAGTGAACTCCAGCAGGCTGCGGGCAGCCCTCAGATAAAGACACAAATGCTGCCTGTTGGGGTGGGAATGGTAAAGGGAACGACCGCAATATGGGTGGAGTGTTGACATGGTCTCTTATGTGAGATTTAAGAAGGTCCTTTCCCACACAGTACTCAACAGTCTTTCTAGAAATGTGAGTTTTGACAAAGGACTTACCAGGTGTGCCAGCCTGTGCAAGTTACTGAATCTCTTTAAGCCTCAACATACTCAGCTGTGAAACCAGGAATAATGACATCTCCTCTACTTGTATCCTTACTAGTTTAAAGATGCCCCTGATTCGCTACAGAGGGTTGCACAAATGGCTAATGATGCTACCATGATCATTCTCTATTAGTTCTCAAAGCAATTTTAAGGGATTCAGAGGCTTGCTCTTCATATTAGTGCATTACTATGTGCTATACCATGTAACACCCCAAATTTCAGTGCCTTTACACAGTGAAGGAATATATTTTTACTTATGTAACAGTACAAAATGTTTCTAGGTTGTTCTTTGTTCCCTTGGCTGGAGAAAGGGAACAAAGTAGATGGGGATATCAGCTCAAACCAGTCATTCAGAGACCCAGGCTGAGAGAAGCTCTGCCACCTTCATCATGTAGCTTCCAAGGTCACCCAAGATCATCCCGATGCACATTGACCTTGAGCAGACAGATGGGGAATAAAGAAAGGGTCATGCACAGAAGGCTTTCATGCTCCCGTTCCATTGGCTGGAAGTCAGTCACATGACCACATCCAGCTGCACGGGAGGCTGGGAAGTGTGGTCTAGCTGTGGACCCAAGAAGAGAAAGAAAAAGGTTCAGTGATGGGAGAGCAGGCTTTGCCACACCTCTGCATTTTACAGCTGTCATCGTGAAGACATGAAGCTACTCCCTCAGTAGTCTGGCTTTCACAGGTTTTGTCTGTGCTTCACCCCCTCCTCCTGCCCTAGGCCCACTCTTGGCAGGCACCCTTGCCCTGCCCCCTCACACTACCCACACGTGCTCATGGACCAGTTCCTGGATTCCTGCTGTATCTCAGCCTGGAGGACACACCTTACCATAGTGGGTTCTTAATGGGGGCAATGAGGTATATTTGTGGTTTCAAAGTTTCTCCTACAGATTTTTACAACCTGGTAGGTGGTACCCAAAGCTCCCAACTCAGCATTTAAACACAGAGAGCTCTTATTTCCTCCCTTTTTACTCCTGTCAACACCTGCCACTTTGGGGCTGTTGTTGCTGTCTATAATTTATAATCACCATTTCAGAAAGAAGGTATATTCCTACTGGCCTGATGCACGTCCAGTACTTTGGCTCTTCCAAAGGAAGAGGATGGCTAGAAATAGGATCTTGTTTCACCTTCAGCATCCCGTAGAAGATGAATACTTCATTTTATGTACAAGACAATCCAGGCACTTCCTGAGAGTCAGAGACTTCCTTGCGTAGCTGGATTTCAAAAGAGAAAGCCTGGGTTCATGCCTGAGAATAGAAGAGAACCATAGCTGCTTGGATCCAGGTGGGCTTTCAGACCTCATGCTTCTGGACATTAGCTTGGTTACCAAAAGCATGTGGAACCCAGCAACAAGACATTCAGGCGCTTCTGTTCCATCCCTTCTCCCTGCATATCTTGAATCTAGGAGTATCAATGATTGGAGATTTGCCCTGAGAGATAAGGAACCAAGTCTCTCTTTATTTGTCTTTTAATCCTTCCTTAAGGGCTCTGTAATTCAGCATGTTTGGAATTATAAACAGCTACATTAGTGGTTGACTGTGGACACGTTTCTGTAACACCTGTACCTAAACTACAAGAGTGTGCTCGTAGGGGTATCCTCTATTTCCCAGGTTTGGATGAAATTTGAGCCACAGAGATCATCTGTGACTGTAGATTAGGAAGCTCAAGTCCACTAATGTGGCCTAAGACCCCTTCCTGGGCCTCAGTTTCTTTATTTGTAAAATGGAGTGGCTGTACAAAAATGATCCCTCCGGTTCCTTCCAGCTCTGACACCCTTCCATTGGATTCCTGCCTTGGCCAATGGCTGACTCACTCTTTGAAGAACACGCCTGTGGTTGCAGTGGTGGTAGTTTCCTAAGATTCCAGGCGAGGGCAGCAGGCAGTAAACGGACGCTGCTGCGGGAATTCGGGTGAGGAGCATCTCTGAGGCAGGGAAGGATTTCCAGAAGAAGAAGGGCTGTGGCCACCATGACTCCTCTTCCTTTCTCTTGTGATAATGTAGGCTGGGGCATCCCCCCATCCCTATGCCCTCTGATACCTGATGGTCCTCTATCCCTGTAGATTCCACCATCCTTGTTAACTACAGGGCTGCCCGTATTTCAGGCCTCTTCCCTGTTTCGGCCCTGGAGACCATGTGCTGCCTAACAGCCATCCTGCCTGCCTGAACATTTATTCCCACATCGACGCCCTCCCATCCCAGCACCTCACACTCTGTTTCAGCCTTGCTTTCTCCACCCTTTTCCCCACCATCACCTCCACCCTATGGGAATGAGAACACAAATGACTGTGCCTCCCTGAGAGTGAACAGTTGCAGTCACAGCTTCTAAGGAGTGTGGGCCAAGGCTGGTCCTCAGCTGTTGGCTCACAACATCTTCTTTCTGGAAACTCAAAGGTACTGCCTAGAAAAACCCACGGACGCCATGCTCTGCATATACCTCGTGCTCTGGTGTTTCAGCAAACAGACCCTGGGGTCCTATTTAGAAGCACAGGAAACCTTTTTGTTCATCCTCTGCTTGCACTTCTGAACCATGCCTGGCTTCCTGTCAGCCCCAGGCCTCTGCACATGCTGCTCCTCTCCCTGGAGGACCCTCAGCCCTTCTTTCCCCTGCCAGCTCCTTCTCCCACTGCAGGGCCCGGCTTCAGAGGCCTCCTCTTTTTGGCTGTTCTCCCCTTCCTGCCCCTGCCCAAGTCTGTGTTCAGATCCGGATTCCATTAAAACAACAAAAACCTAATCTGGCTGACAAGCAAAATGGGAAATTGTTGCAGGGACATAAGATATCTCTCAGTGTGGCTGGGAAGTAAGATAATTGGATGTGGGAACAGGAGAGAAGAACAACCTGGCTGTCCAGTCTAGGTGCGTCCCTGGAATGGGCAAGCCCCATTCATTGTCTTATGTGTCTCAGCCAAGCTGCAAAGGCCCAGAGAAAGTGTGATTGGCTCATGCCATGCAGTTGGCCCTGGGCTGACAGTGGACTGGTTTACAGCCCCTCCAAGACTCTGTCACAATGTGGGACAGGCAACTCCCAAATAAACTCGAGGTGCTGATGGACAGGAGGAATGGAAACTGAGGGGGCTGGCAGAGAGCAACACAACAAACTCTGAGACAGAGAATCATTTGCAAGAGGTGTATTAGGGAGGGTTCTTGGGATCAATACCTGTGGAAGGAAAGGGATGCAGGCAGGATTGAGCAGGAGAAGTTGAACTGAACTGCAGTGCAATACCAATAAAGACCTCAGCTTTAGAGATTTAGAGCCCTAAGTTGGGGCAAAAGACCAAGGCCTTTTTACCTCTGGGTTGACCCAGGAGGCCCATCTGAGTTGGAAGCAGGTGTGGCATTGGATAAGGCAGTTTTCTTGAGCTGAAGTGCTTTCCTGAAAGAGCTGCTGATAGTGCTCTTTGCAGCTGCAGGAAAAGTGCTCCACTGCTGAGGGGGTACCTGGGCAGTACATCTGGTGTGCACAGTAGAGCTGATGGATATCATGGTCTCCTTCAGTTTTCAGGGCTGCCTCCCTACACCTTTATTGCTGTGGGATCACACCTTTCAAATACATTTGATTATCTCTAAAATAAATACCATTAAGGAAACGGACCTGCTGCCATCTCACAGATTTCAAAGTAAAAAGAAATGAACGTTGGCTTATAAGCTCATTTACAATGCTTGTGCACCCAACCACCACTGTCCATTAGAGCAGTCAGCTGGGAGCTGCCTGGGGTGGGAGACGCTCCTTTACCAGAACAATCCCCTCCTGACGGCAGAGGGCCTCCTTTGTGTAATTTCCCCAGATGCAAACGCATCCCTCACGGACCTTCTGAGGCTGATCTCATGAAGCTGTAATACACTCCTAGCTCCCCTTGGAAATCTGAAAACAGTGAAACCCAGTCCGGACCTGTTCCAAAAGTCTCAGCTGGCAAGGCCGGGGGAGCGGCTGGGATCTGGGGAAGTGGCTCAGAGCCCAGGAGTTATTGTAGGGACAGCCCTGTCAGGCCTCTATGGAGCAGAAAACTGCAAGGCCAGAAGGGTTGCATCCCTTGACACCTCCCCCACCCCATGACATCACCCACATGGCACGGTTGGCCTTATCCCGCAGCACTTGAAGATGCTCAGACCTTGAATCGCTCCCAAGGTCACACAGTGACTCACATGCTGCTTGTTAGCATCATCTACTGTTTCTTCTTTTTCTTCCTACAAGAAAAGGCGTAACAGAGGGATTGTGCCAAGTGGGTATTAGAGCCTTGTCAGGGAAGGCAATATTATACGATTCTAGTGGCTTGAAATAACGACGCATAAGAAACCTAGCTCATAAATTTACCATTGCTATTTGTCTATGGATTCCGCGTCATGGATTTTTTGCAAGTCACCCAGTGTCTCACGCAGCTGCACAGGGCTGCAGTGAATACGGACATCTGACACCCAGAGAGAGGGGCAGGCCACAAGGCTGAACACGAGAGCACACCCAGGAGTATAGGGAACATTTATTTCCTCTGAACCCATCCTCTCTGTGCTGTCTTCAGAGGTGAAGAACAAAAATAATGCTCAAAAAGATTGAAAGGACTGGTAACCTTGCTGCACAGAATCATTATTCATTTCTGATCTGAATACATTAGCAAGCCAAAGAAAAATCCAGTATACAATATGCATTCAGACTCCATGACCCTTATTTCCCGTTCCGCAACTTCGAAGGTTGGCTCGGTGACTGAGCACAGACCCTGCAGGCTAAATCAAGGCAAGCTGAAGCTGGAGATGGTTCTGGACCTGTTGGTGAAATCTCTAAGTTAGCTGGTTACTTTTCAGTGCCTAAGCTGTGCATGGAACACAGATCAAATGTGCAATACCAAGCGCCACAAGGAAAATGTCTTCACGTTAAAGGAACAGAGCCTTGCTGACTGTGGTTGCCGTTCACAATGGATAGTCCTGTGCTGCAAAGACTTTTTTTGGATCCCTGCCAATGTTAGTCTCTGCAAGACAGAATTTGATTTAATGCAGCAGGAACTGAAGACCCGCAAGACAGAATTTGATTTAATGCAGCAGACACTGAAGATCTGCAAGACAGAATTTGATTTAATGCAGCAAGTACTGAAGACCTTACTCTTCGGGGACCCTAATTCTATGTGGTATTGTGGATTTCAACGCACTTTCTGAAAGCCACACTTTTGGCTAAATGTAGCACATCATTGGGACCTGGTCCCAGCTCTTTTATTAACTGTGTGAGCCTTGACCATGACATTTGATCTCTTTGTACCTCACTTTTCTTGTCTCTATGAGGTGGGTTAATATTCTGAAATACCGACTGAGTTTTTCTTATCATATTTTCCTATACTCAGCCCTTTCCCCAACCCTTACTCTTATTTAATCAGCCAGGCTTTGTTTAGCTTATTTTTGCATTTCTTTGCCTCAGGGAAGCAGTGTAGATTAGAGAAAAAGGATATTTTTTCCTGACTTTTAATGTTTTAGACCCAATAGAACTCAGCAAGAATATGAAAAAGATAATAGATTTGGAAGAACAATAATGTAAGAGCAAATCATCCTGATTCTAAAACTAGAGATTTCCCTGGCTGCAGGAAAGAGCAACAGAGCAGGAAAGATTCTACAGACCTGCTTGGTCCATGAGCTGGGGAGTCCTGCATCCAGCCTCCTGCATCCCTGGTGAGTTCTGGGACAACAATAAGACAGGTTTGAGAGAATCTGGGGATAGATAGCATCTGGACCCCTATTCTTGGGTAAAGCCCAGGAAGTAGTAAGACTCCCAAGTTTGGAGGTAGGGAAGTGAGACAGGAAAAGGAGAAAAACCAGCAGATATATGCTCATGAGTGGGTAACCACTGTGAGCAGCTGGGGCTCAATTCTGTGGCAGACCCCTGAGAAACCATGAAGAACACAACTGTTCCATTGGAAGACAGGGAAGATGCAGCATTTGTCCACTGATTCTCTTCCTTGTTGGATGAGAGTAGCCCAGGGGATAATCTCCCCTTCATTTCTTGATAGAGCAAACACCCACAATGGTGAAAAAACACCTCATATAGAAGAGCAAAGAATATACATGCTTGGGGAGGAAAACCAGCAGCATGTAGGGTTCTCTATTCCCCATCTGCAGGCAAACTCAGAGGTGGCCCAGGAGGGTATGGGATGAGACACTCACAGCAGTTTCTACATGAGAGTGATGTCCCAGCTGAGTAATCGGGTTCAGATAAAATGAAGTTGAGTAGAACAATAACAATTCAGAATCTTGCACTTCTATATGAATGAATCATGGTTTCCCAGGTAACTGCCCTTGTACAAAATCCTAACAGTAGCCATTGAGTCTTCTCAATAATCCATGAGATGGGCATTAGTTCCATTTTACAGACAAGGAGACTGAGGCTCTGAGAGGTTCAGCAACAAATCTCTGAGACAGGATTTGAATTTGTGTCTGCGTGACTCCAAAACCTTCCATTTGTCCCCTTGAACTCTATTTCCTGACCAGCTCTTGGTGTCCTTCTCTCCTGACATCTAACCCCACCATTAGATGATGACCTCCCTCTTGACCCTTGAATCTGATGGCTGACATTGTTCTTACTTGCTCTGGGGCCAGCCCTTGTGGACAATGCTCCATCTTATTTATACCTGTGCGTGGCAGAACACTTTCAGTTGCAAGTGACAGCATTCAACTTCAAAAGCTTAGTTGTTGTTGTTGTTGTTGTTTTTTTTTGAAATTATTTGGGAAGGATCTAGGATATTTCATGTACACCTGGGAAAGGCAAAGGTGCTGATGGGTCTCAGAGATGCCTGAAACTAAAGGCTGTGAGGCTCTCTCTCTCTCTCATTTCTGTTTCTCTCCGAGTGTCAGCTTTATTCTTGCCTAGTGCAGGCTGGCCTCCTACACATGGCTAGAAACAGCTGCCCCACTTTTCTCAGAACCAGCTAGAGAAATTAAGAAAAGACTGTTTTGACCTTGCTTGCACAAGCTGTCCATCCTCAACCAATCTCAAGGCTGTTCCCAGAGAAGGTAGAGCCACTGTGAGCCAGGAAGTAGCCCTAACTGGAGTGTGTGAAGCCCCTTCCAGCCAACATGGATTCAGACACTAGGGCTCCATCTTGAGAACCTCATAGCCCTTGAAACAGGGCTAAACACATAGTAGATGCTCAGTGAACATTGTGGCAGACTGCATTTCCTAAGATGTGTGCAGCAATGTCTCTCAACCCACATTATCTTCTTTCAAAGTGATTTCTCTCAATGACACTCTTCTCATTGAGACATTGTGTTCATTCCATATTCCTTCCCCTCAATTTGGGGTGAACTTCTGAGGGTATTGAAAATGACACTTGGTTATTTCTGGGTCATAAAAGTCAATATAGCTTCTGCCTATATCGGGATGCTTACTCCTGGAACCCAGCTACCATGCTATAAGGAGATCTAAGCAACCATATGGAAAGGACCCATGTAGATGCCATAGCTGGCAGTCCCAGCTGGGGATCCAGTCAACAGCCAGCATCAACCATTAGACCTGTGAGTAAATGAGCCTTCAGTGGTTCCATACCCCAGCTGTTGGGTCACTCCCAGCTTTCAAACCTTCCTTCCCAGCTGAGACTCCAGATATCATAAAGGCAGACACAAGCTGGTCCTATTGTGTAGTGATATGGTTTGGCTTTGTGTCCCCACCCAAATCTCATCTTGAATTGTAATCCCCATAATCCCCATGTGCCAAGAGACAGACCAGGTGAAGGTCATTGACTCATGGGGCAGTTCCCCAATGCTGTTTTCATGATAGTGAGTGAGTTCTCACAAGATATGATGGTTTTATAGGGGCTCTTACCCCCTTCGCTGGGCACTTCTCCCTCCTGCCACTTTGTGAAGAAGGTGCCTTACTTCCCCATCCACTTCCACCATGATTGTAAGCTTCCTGAAACCTCTCCAGCCATGTGGAACTGTGAGACCATTAAACCTCTTTCCTTTCTAAATTACCCAGTCTTGGGCAGTTCTTTATAGCAGTGTGAGAATGGAGTGATACATGTAGTTTCTAAATTTCACACCCACAGGATTCATCAGCATAACAAAATGGTGGTTGCTTTACCCTACTAAGTTTGGAGTAGTTTGTTACACAGAAATAGTAATTGGAACAAATACTCACCGGTTGCTTTGCTTATGTGATGCTATTTGACTGTATCCTGTGGCCTAGAGTGATTTTGTGATCTCGTCCTTGCCTAGCTAGTTATTTGAGCTCTTAGATGAGCAGGATTTTTTCCTAGTAGAGACATGTCTCTGTCCTCTGCTTCATTCTCCTATCCCTTCCTTTCCTCCCCCTGCCTAGACCTTGATAAAATGTCTTGCGTTTTGGATCTCATCTCTAAGCTTCATTTCTACTATTGGTTCATAATGTATCTTTCCTGTTAAAATATGACCAAGCCACATAAAGACACAAGAGTGGCAATGAAGGGAAAGGTAACAACACAGTATCTATATTAGGTCATGAAAGCAACTGCAGCCTGAGCATCTCCACTGACGTCTGTGCATCTCTCAGGACTGGTAGGCAGAGCAGTCATGCCCGCAACTCACCCAGGTTGACAGTGTGTCATAGCATCTGTATCACTTTTGATTCCTTATAAAGCAGATCTTGAGACTAGAATTTGGGTACAGATAATTTATTTGGAAGCTGTCTTGGTTTGTCCTGGCTGCTATAATAAAATACCTTAGATTGGGTAATTTATAAACATAGAAATTTGTTGCTCACAGTTCTGCAGTCTGGAAAGTCCAACCTCGAGGCACAAGCAGATTCAGTGTCTGGTGAAGGCCAATTCCTCGTAGATGGCACCTTATATCTACGTGTCCTCACATGGCTGAAGGGGTGAACAAGCTCCCCTGGGCCTTTTATATAACGGCACTAATCCCATTCATCAGGATTTTGCCCTCCTGAGATAATAATTGTCTTCTAAAGGCCCTACCTCTTAATACTATTGCATTGATGATTAGGTTTCAACATATGAATTTTGGGGGACACAAATATTCAGACCATTAGCAGAAAGTGGTCTCAAAAAAGCATGGTAAGAGAAGGGGAAAGAGAGTCCAAGAAGGGAGGAAAGCCAATAGAGTATATAATGATGATCACATTAGCTGTGGGTACTGGTGCTGTAACTGGGGTATAGTCCTACTGGGAACCCACTAAGCAACTATGCAGATCATACCTCAGAAGTGTCTTATCAAGGGGCCAGAAGCTGGGGTATTTATCCACCAACTCTTTCCCCTTATTAATTGAAGGTTGCTTCTGGTCATGGACTCCCTGGAATTCCTGCCCAGCTTCTCATACATCAAGCACAGTTCTACAAGCAGAGAACACCCTGGGGAGTAAGTCACAGGTACTGTGGTAAGAAACTGGCAGTGTGGAAGTCCTAGCCAGAGCAATCTGACAGGAGAAAAAAATAAAAGACACCCAAATTGGAAAAGAGGAAGTCAAATTATCTCTGCCAATGATATGATCATATACCTAGAAAGCCCTAAAGACTCTTCAGAAAGACTCCTAGATCTGATAAATGAATTCAGTAAAGTCTCAGGTTACAAAATCAATGTACACAAATTAGTAGCACTGCTATACACCAACAATGATCAAACTGAGAGTCAAAAAACTCAATTCCTTTTACAATAGCTACAAAAAAAAAAAAAAAACCTTGGCAAATAATTAACCAAGGAGATCAAAGATCTCTACAAAGAGAACTACAAAACACTGCTGAAAGAAGTCAAAGATGGCACAAACAAATGAAAATACATCCCATGCTTATGGATGGAAGAATTAATATTGTGAAAACAACAGTAATACCCAAAGCAATCTACAGATTCAGTGCAATTGCTATCAAAAGACCAATATCATTTTTCACAGAATTAGTAAAAACAATCCTAAAATTCATATAGAACTGAAAAAGAGCCCAAATAGCTAAAGCAATCTAAATGAAAAAGAACAAATCTGGAGGCATCACATTACCTGACTTCAAAGAATACCACAAGGCTATGGTAATCAAAACAACATGGCACTGGTATAAAATAGATACATAGACCAATGGAATGGAATAGAGAACCCATAAATAAAGCCAAATACTTACAAACAACTGATCTTCAACAAAGCATACAAGAACATACAGTGAGGAAAGGACACCCTATTCAGTAAATGGTGCTGAGAAAGGTGGATAGCCCCATGTAGAAGAATAAAACTGGATCCCTACCTCTTATCATATACAAAAATTAACTCAAGATGGATTAAAGACTTAAAACCTGAAACCATAAAATTCTAGATGGAAACCTAGGAAAAACTCTTCTAGACGTTGGCCCAGGCAAAGAATTTATGATGAAAACCCCAAAAGCAAATGCAACAAGAGCAAAAATAAATAAATGGGACCTGATTAAACTAAAAAGCTTCAGCACAGCAAAATAAATAATCATCAGAGTAAGCAGACAACCTACAGAATGGGAGGAAATATTTGCAGTCTATGCATCTGACTAAGGACTAATACCCAGAATCTACAAGGAACTGAAACAAATCACAAAGAAAAAACAAATAATCCCATTAAAAAGTGGGCAAATGACATGCATAGACATTATACTGCTCAACATCACTAGTCATCAAGGAAATGCAGATTAAAACCCCAATGAGATACCCCCTACCCAAGCCAGAATGTCCATTATTAAAAAGTCAAAAAACAATAAATGTCATAAGTCTACTTTTGTGGGCTTTGCTTCCAATGACAATTTAATTTTCAGAGCCTTTGCTGTGCAGTTTGTCCTGAGGGTGTGTCTAGTGCCACTGGGGCTCCCACTGATCCCTGGATGCTGCCTATCGGGCAGAAGGAGCTTTTCCAGATCTCAACCACCTGGTGCCTCTAATGGGAGAAAGGAAGTCTCTGGCTCACAAAAGCAAAGATTGCTTTCTGGGCTGGGGCACTTGTGGTGGGATACACTTGCCAGGGCCACCCAGTCACCAGGAGGAGGAGGGGAGTCTCCAGCCCACAGGGACAAAGATACTTCTGGGGCTGGGCCACCTGTTGCAATGAGATCACTCTTGTCTGAGATGCCTGGCTGCCCAAGTGTCTCTTGGAAGGGGAGGCTTAGGAAGTCTTAGGCCCAGTGGGGAAGGAGAGTGCTGTTCTTGGCTGCTTATTGTTATCAGGGATCCTGATCCATGGGTGAGGGACTTAAGCTGCCCTGCTTCCATGTTGTTCCTTCAGTGGTGGGGTCCCCAACCCATCAGCTTCCCTCTTTCCACTGTTTAGAGTTCTCCTTTGGTTGGCCATTTCAGAGTTTATAGTTGAGGCATTTCCAGAGTTTATAGTTGTACTTACTGGGGAGAAGCAAGGAGAAACAACTGTACACCATCTCATCTCTGTCTTGTTTTGTTGGCACAAGAACCCAAAATAGCCACATGGCAGTTCCAACTTCCAACTTAATGGGCCTACTGTTGAGTGCCCTGGTGTAGGCCTTCTTCTCTCAGGGAACAAAACCTAGACCAACAGAGCCCAACCTTGTAAAGGGTAGAATAGAAAATTCTGCATGTGTGTTTTTAGTTACACGAGTGAGACGGACCACTGTCACTGCCACCCCTTGACTCCTGAATCTGTTTACTGTGGCTCTGGGAGATGTGGTATACATAACAGTTGCTGGTTTCAAGCATATATCACACCCCAGAGGGCAGCGCCCCAGCTGCTCATGGTCTCCCAGCTGGTGCCATGATGGAGTCTTCGGGAGGTCATGCTACTCTTCTGCCAGGGCAGCTGCTTCTGGGTGATGGGGTACATGGCAAGACAATGAAGTCCATGGTCATGAGCCCATTGCTGTGCTTCTCTTACTCTCAAACAAATTCCTTTGTTGGAAGGAATGAGAGATACCATGATGGTGAATAAGGTATTTTACAAGTCCATAAATGGGGCAGTTGGCAGAAGCACTGTGAGCAGGGAATGCAAATTCATGTGCGGGACTTATATCTCTTCTAATGAGGACAAATCTCTGCCTCCTGTATGATGAAAGGGATCCAATGGACTCTACCCACCACAAGGGAGCTAATTAATTCCTTAGGGAATGGTGGATACTGAAGAATGAGCATTGGCCTCTGCTGTTGGCAGGCACTTAGTGGTACCAGTAACCACAGCACCCACAGTGGAGAAGTCCAAGTTAATGAGTCCAGGTGAATCCTCTGTATCTGCCACCATGTTTTCTTCCTTCCATCTCTCCTCTAATCTCCTCCTCTTCCCTCATTATTTCCTTTTTCCTCTTTTTTGTTTTCTTCTTTCTCTTGACTAAATGTGATTGTTTTCCTTATATAATAATTAAAATGAATTGCTATCTCATATCTCTGTACCACTTAATGATCTAGATCTTCGTTTTTTCTTAATTAAGGTTAACATGAGTCGATTCAGGTTTTTTCCATTCAATTCATAATTTTTTTTCTCCATTCATCACTTTAAGTATCTCCTTTTACTTTCTGGCTGGTATCCACTTGGGGAGTTACGAAGCATAGAGGCATTGTGACTCAGCGAAACTGGCAATGGGTCCTTCCTGTGCTGACTTTGCTGAACTTATATTATCCCACCACCCATAGATTTCTTTATCTCCTCACACTGGGACCCTCTGAATCTTCTGCATTCCCGTCTAGTTTTCTGTTAGGGTGTTCACACTGACCTCTGCTATTACTTCTCCTTGAGGTACTCTTCAAAGCATCTTCAAGGCCACTAATATTTTCTCTTTGCTAGCATTTTCATGCCTCCTCCTTGGAGACATAGGAAATATCTGGCCGTGCTGTTGCACCATCTGCAGACTTTGGGAAACTTCGTAAAACCATCAGAGCTCCCTGGCTACACTGTCATCCCTGGTCACTTCTGCTCCAGTATGCATGGCTTGATTTTCCAGCTCCCTCATTTTCCCTTCAGCTTTGTCCCTTCTTCTATGTAGTCCAGAGAGTGAATTTTTTCATTTTGGCAGAGAACACATTTTTCTTCATTTTCATTTTGTTTTTTGGTTTTAAGAACAAAACCTTGCAGATAGAATCACAGCATCTGTGCCTTCCTCGCTGATCTTCTTTCCCACTCCGTCTCCGAAGGGAAACATTATCCTCAAGTTGATTTATATTTTTCCTTATGGAAATTTTTATACTTTTAAAACATATATTTATCTACAATAAATTCTATCTACTGTGTTGCCTGTTCTAAATCCTTTTATTTGTGGTATTGCATCAGAATGCACGTAGGATTTTTCTATTAGCTTTATTAATTTAACCTTATGGTTTTAAGATTACGTTTATACATGTGGCTCTAATTCATTAATTTTAGCTGCTGCTCTGTATGAATACTTTACTATTTATTTATCAATTCTTTCATTGATATGGACATTTACACTGTTTCCATTTTTTTCTTTTTGCAAGCATAAACCCTCCTTGTGCAGGACCCCTTATGCACAAGTGTGAGTTTTTCAAGGCATACACCTTTAACAAGAATTGCAGGAATTCTAGGACACAGGCTATCAACACCTTTAACTTCATTAAATATCAAAAGATTGCTTCACAAAGTGTTGTAGCAATTTACATTTTGACGAGCAATGATTAAAAACCACCAATCTCCAGGATCCTTGTCAATATTAATACTGTCAAGTTGTTTTGTTTTGTTTTGTTTTACATATTTGTCAATCCAAGGAATGGTATCTCATTTTTGTTTAAATTTGTGTTTCCCTGGTTAATAAGAAGGTTGAAAACTTGTCATATATTTATTGGCTATTTGAATATCTTTTTGGAACTGCCTTTTTATATCATTTACTTACTTTTTGCTTGGGTTTTGGATCTTTTTGTTATTTGTGCAAGTACTACCTGAAATTTTGGGTAGTAATTCTTAATAACAATGTACAAATATCTTCTAACAGTCAGTGGTCTTATTTTTTGTACTTTATTTGTGATATTGTTTGTTTTGCAGGTGGGCTGGTAATTAAACTCTCATCTCTTGGCTTCAAACTCACTTCACCAGCAACAGGAGATTTCACATTTAACATAACAAAAATGCCATTATTTTCCTGTGTGGTTTATATTTTAGTGACTTGTTTTTTTAAAAATTTCCTATCCCAGTGTCATATTTTCCTACATTTTCTTTAAAAACTTTGAAGTTTTGTCCTTCACATTTAGTCCTTTTTTGAGCTCACCTAGAAATTATTTTTGGATATGGCATTAGATAAAGATCTATTTTATTCCCACATGCATTATCTATATCTTCAGCATGATTTATTGGATAACCCGCCTTTCCTTTATTGATGTGTAATACCATCCCTGTCACGTTTCCTTTCCATGTGTGTATAGTCTATTTCTGGGGCTCTCTGTTTTGTCCCTTTGGTTAATCTTTGTGTCATTAGACAAATATTATAGCATCTTATTACTGTAGCTTTATAATGAACTTTGACATATGGTAGGGTAAGATCCCCACTCCTTAGTCTTCTTCAGAATTATCTTGAGTCTCCTTAGCCCTTTACTTTTCCATATTAATTTTAAGATCAGCTTATCTCAAATTAAAACATAAAAAGAAATGCTTTGAGAGTTTAATTAAATTTATGCTGTATTTATATTTCTCAGGGGACAAATGACATCTTTACCAGATTATATTTTTCTATGCATGATCATAGTACATTTTCCCATTGTTTCAATCTTTTCCTCCTAGGTCTTTCAATAATATTTTGAATTTTGTTTATTAAAAATCTTGTTCGTCTTTTTTGTTTTACTTCTAAATAGTTTTGTTGTTGTTGTTCCCACTCAATTAGTATCTTTTTAAATTTTTATTTTGTAATTCTTTTTTGCTCTATGTATAGAAGCACTGCTGGGTTTTTTGGTTTTGTTTTGGTTTTGTTTTTGGGTTTTTTTTTTTTAAGCTTATCTCCTGCAATCTGAGAAAAAGCACCAGTCTTCATTGTTTATCTAAAGATTTCTTACGTTTTCCAGGTGGACTGTGACTCTTCTGCTTTGAAAGCCCTTCAGTGCCTCCCCATTTCACCCAGAGGGAAAGCCAACGTCCCTACCATGGCCTGTGGTCTTTCCCCTCCCCTGATCTCTCTGACCTCCTCTCTTGCTTCCCTGCCCCTCCCTTTCTGCACTCTAGTCACACTATTTACTATTCTTTGAAACACACCATGTTTGTGCCTGCCTAAGGCCTTTGTACTGACTGCTTCCTGTGCCTGAAATACTCTTCCCCAGATTCCCACGTGGCCAATTCTCTCAGCCCCTTCAAATTTTCAACTAAACATCACTTTCTCAATGAGGTCTAATCTTGGCCACCATATTTAAAATTTTAATCCCACCTTACTCTACCCTGGACACTCTTTATCATTTTATTCTCTTCTACCCATAGTTTTATCATCATCTAAGACATGACATCATTTATCCATTTATTATGCTTGTTGTCTCCCCCACGACTTCGTTAGAATGCAGACTCTACAAGGTGAGAGAATTGTATCTGTTTGGTTCACTGACATATCCCAAGTACCCAAAAGAGGGCCTAACACATGTTATGGGCTAAATAAATTTTAAATAAATGGATAGATACAGCATATTAAAAGAACCAAGATGCTTTGCAGTAAAGAAACCTGTTTGTTTTTGTTTAACCCAGCGTTTCACGGACTTATTTGACTACAGAACACTTTTTATTTTTTGCCTGACACCCACTATCATCCCATGGAGATTTTAAATATGATGCTATAACATCTTCAGTCCAGTGGACAGTCATTTTATGGGGCCTAACGTTTGGGGTAAAACAAGGGCTTCGTGGCACTCTTGGAACACCCAGAGCTGAAAAATTCAGCTTGCTCAGTGAGGTCACACAGTGAACCCAGACATTAATTTCCTCATCTGAGAAATGGGATCTTAATAATCAAATGCTCTTGATTAAAGTCTCATGACATGGGTGTTCTAGGTAAATCAGGGTAAGTGGATCTCATACAACTTTCAGAAAGTTAGGAAACATGCTTTAATAACTTAGAAAGTACAATGGGATCTCACAGTGCCTCATAATGTGGTGACTGGTGCTTCGATGTCACTGGGATACCTGAGAAGGCCAACACTTGGATAATATGAAAGCTGGATGTCAGAGGATGTCAATAAAACCAAAGGTGTCCTTCGCAGAGTCTCAAATGTCATGCAGGATGCAGTTATTCCTAGTTCATTGGCTAAATCCAGTTGCGGCAGGTTGAGATTCCAGGAGACTCTGAAACTCTGAAATTTGTATGCTGGTGGTATATTGAGGTGTCTCATGGGAGCAACATCTGTGAAGGCTGAGGGAGGCAAAATTGGGCAGAGGGAGAACTTGAACTGCAATGTTGTTGCAAACTCAGCTGGTCTCACAGGGAACTCTCAACTATGATGATCCTGTAGAGATATCTAACATTGAGGAAGAGAGCTGAGCCTTTTTTCCCCATATTAATAAGGAGCTGAGGGAATAAAAACACTGGCCTCTCTCTCTTCTCATCCCCTGATCTCCTACTAGTGCTTCTCATTGGCCAAATTTCTTGCTAAGCTTCCCCTTTCCCAGTCCTCTGATTAGAGAGAAGCTTTTGTGGGTACTTTTTCCCTCTTTTGGTGTTTCTGGGTTGTTAGCTTCTTCAGCTCCAAGCCTTAGATATATAAGGCAAAAAGTAAGCCCAGAGAACTCACTCCCTTGTTGTTCCTTAAGTCCTGAGGTCCCTAGTTAGTTTGCATTCTTCTCTCTATCTTTCATGGCATTTTTTGTTCATTTTGTATATAATATCCAGGGAATTTAGATGTACTTAGCAGGAGGAATAGGGAAAAGTACATTTACTTCATATTCCTGGAAATCCCTGATCACTTTTTTTTTTTTTTTTTGAGAGAGAATCTTGCTCTGTTGTCCAGGTTGGAGTACAGAGGCATGATCTCGGCTCATTGCAACCTCACCTCCTGGGTTCAAGCAATTCTCCTGCCTCAGCCCACCAAGTAGCTGGGATTATAGGCACATGCCACTGCACCTGGCTAATTTTTGTATGTTTAGTAGAGATGGGGTTTCATCATGTCGACCAGGTGGTCTTGAACTCCTAACCTCAAGTGATCTGCCTGCCGGGTGAGCCACCTTACTCAGCTTTTTTTTTTTTTTTTTTTTTTTTTTTAAACAGTCTCCCTCTGTTGCCCAGGCTGGAGTGCAGTGGCATGATCTCGGCTCACTTTAACCTCCGCCTCCCAGGTTCAAGTGCTTCTCCTGCCTCAGCCTCCTGAGTAGCTGGGATTACAGGTGTGCGCCATCACACCCAGCCAATTTTTGTATTTTTAGCAGAAACAGGGTTTTGCCATATTGTCCAGGCTGGTCTCAGGTGATCCGCCCTGGCCTGGCCTCAGGTCTTCTGCCTGCCTCGGCCTTCCAAAGTGCTGGGATTACAGGCATGAGCCACTGCACGCAGCCCACGTTTTAAAATTAATATAAAAGAAGTATTTTTAGGAAGATGATATGACTTTTTACAGTGGTTTATAATTGATAAAATGGATGCTGGCCTTCTATATGGAAAAGTTCTCAGCTTATGTGACTTGATACTTTAAAGACTTGGCTTTCCCACAGATCTCTTGACTCTCTTTTGCAGAATAGGTGCATATAACTTCTGATTCCTTAGTATAAGGTGGCCCATTAATTATGGATATCAGTTACCAATAATTCAGTAAGCCTCCAATGAGAACAGCTATAAAATTCAAAGTGGTCTCTTTTTTTATGTTTTTAAAATCAAGCAAATTTTCTTCTACAGGCCAGGCCTAAGTCTATAATAAGATGCAAACAAGTTTAGTTAGAAAAAATAATTTGTCAACCTGAAAAAGAGCCTTAGAGAGACAGACAGCATCTCTAGAACAAAAGATTTTAATTGCAAATTGCAAAGCGTTGCAACTGGGGATATATGTGCTATGAAAATCATAGGCCCACACAAGGAAATTCAGGACAAAGGGAAGTTTTTAAAGACAAAGAGAAGACCATGCAAACTGCTTTGAAAGAAAGCTCATTGGTTACAGGCACTCATTGCAGGAGTTGCTGTTAGTCCATCAGGGAAGAAAGCCATTGCTGTTCAACTGTCCTGGTCCAAGGGTACTATCTGAAATACTGTAGGCCAGAGGAAATTCCTGTGATGAGCTCTGCTTGCTCTGTTTACAAGATAGAGCAAGCAGGGCAGGCATTTCAGGAAATCACGTCTGACAGCTTCTTCTTCATGGCCCTCTCTGACTTCATTTTGGTTAGGGTTTTCACATAAATGACTATTTTGTTACTGTTAACTTCCACATGTTGCAGGAGTGACATCAATGAAAATGGTGGAATAAGGACATCTAAAAGTCTCTCATCTATAAAAACCATGAGAAGGCCAGGCACAGTGGCTTATGTCTGTAATCCCAGCACTTTGGGAGGCCATGGCGGGTGGATCACAGGTCAGGAGATCGAGACCATACTTGCTAACACAGTGAAACCCCATCTCTACTAAAAATACAAAAAAATTGTTGGGTGTGGTAGCATGTGCCTGTAGTCCCAGCTACTTGGGAGCCTGAGGCAGGAGAATCACTTGAACCTAGGAGGCAGACTTTGCAGTGAGTTGAGATCACACCACTGCACTTCAGTCTGGAGACTCTGTCTCAAAAAAAAAAAAAAAAAGAGAGAGAGAAACTGGCAAAAAATATTAGAATAAACTTTGTCTGAACTCTGGAAATTAACAAAAGGCTTGTGGCAATTCAGAAAGCATTAATTTAAGAAAAACGGCTGAATCTTGGTAAGAACAGTGAATTTGGTGATATGTAATTTGCTCCACATTAGTTCCCCCTTATCTTCCCAGGACATGTTCCAAGATCCCCAGTGAATGCCTGAAGCACAGATAGTCTCCAATCCTATATATACAATGTTTTTTTCCTATATATATGTGCCTATGATAAAGTTTAATTTATGAATTAGGCATAGTAAGAGATTATCGATAACTAATCATAAAATAGAACACATAACAATATACTGTGACAAATATTATGTGAATGTGCTCTCTGTCTTTATCTCTTCTTTCTCTCAAAATATCTTATTGTATTGTACTCACCTATTTTCAGACCATGGTTGACCATGGAAAGTGAAACCGTGGGTAAGCGGGGGACTCCTCCCATACCTAATGTGCAGTAGTCTTAAAAACTAGCATCCTACAATCATGGTAAAAAAACACTAGCAGCTAGGCATCCACTGAAGGGGACAGAACAGAACAGAACAGGGTTAGAGCTCCTTCAAAGTTTAGTATCAGAGAATTGTCATTATTTGGCTTTTATTTTTGTTCCCTGGAAGACATCACTTGCAAAGCTCTCTTTATTTCACCTGATTCAGAAGTCATTCAGTGGAACCCCCTTTTCTTTAGGGGCATTTATGGAAAAGATGGGAATCAACTATTAAACTATGCAGCTGCCTAATGGATAACAGTAGGGCAAACAATAGGTTAACCAAAAACATAAAAGGAAAATTGAGGAAAGAGATGTCCACATAGAGGATTTGAAAAGCTCTGACCTATTCCCGGAAATCTACAGGCTGTGCTCTAAAGCTGTGCATATGGCCAGGGCTGTGTACATGTTAAGGGAAGACCTGTGAAAGCCCTAAGCTCTCACCTCTGTCTGACCTTGAGGCTCTGCATGAAAAAAGTGAAGGGTAAGGCAGAATTGTCAACTGCCAATCTGAGTGTTGAAGAGGTACATCACCCTTGGCAAAGTCTGGGAGACTACAAGTTCCACATATTTGAGGAAATATCTTTCCAACCCATACCTAACAAAGTAACAGAGCAGGGACACCAGTGGCCACAGACAACAAAGATTTAGACTAATGCAGAATTAGTTGAAAAAAAGTCATAAACAAACAAACAACAACAATAACAAATAGCAACAATTAAAAAAAAAAAACTGGGAGAGGACATCTGATTTTCAGAGTTGCCATATTGTATTATCTAAAATGTCCACATTTCAACAAAACATTGTAAGAAACAAAAAGTATGACTAATACACTGGAAAAATGGGCAATTGGTAGAAACTGTCCCTAAGGAAGCCCAGGCATTGTACTTACTAGAAAATAGTTTAAATCAGTTATTTAAAATATGTTCTAAGAACCAGTTTGAGACAAGCCTGGGCAATATAATGAGACCTTCTCTCTACCAAAAAAAGGCTAAAAATTAGCTGGCATGGTGGCACATAGCTACTTGGGAGGCTGAGGCGGAAGGATCCCTTGAGCCTGGGAGGCGGGGTTTGCTGTGAGATGAGATTGCACCACTGCACTCCAGTCTGGATGACAGAGTGAGATCTGTCTCAAAAATAAATAAACAATAAATAAATAAATAAATAATGTTCTAAGAACTAAAGGAAACCAGGCCTATAGAAATAAAGTGTGAGACTAATGTTTCAATAAAGAGAAAATATAAAGAAAAAGGTAGAAATTACAAAAACGAACCAAATAGAAATTCTGGATTTGAAAAGTACCATCACCAAACTGAAAAATTTATAAGAGGTTCCAAACAGCAGATTTGAGCTGTCAGAAGTAAATAAGCAACAAACTCAGAGATAGGTCCATTGAAATTATTCAGTCTGAGGAACAGAAAAAGGAACAAGGAAAAATGAACAGAGCCTCAGAGACATGTGTGACACTGTTATGAACTGAATGTTTGTCACCCTCAAATTTATGTGTTGAAACCCTTTGACGCCCAAGTGATGGTGTTAGGAGGTAGGGCCTTTAGGAGGTAATTAGGATTAGATGAAGTCATAAGGGTGGAGCTGTCGTATTGCCCTTAGAAGAGTTATGAGAGAGCCTTCTTTCTGTCTCTGCCCTTCTGCCATGTGAGGATATCGTGAGTAGACGGTTGTTTATAAGCCAGGAAGTAGGCCCTCACCAGGCATCATATTTACTGGCAGCTTGATCTTGGACTTCCCAGACTCCAGAACTGTGAGTAAGAAATGTTTGTTGTTCAAGTCACCCAGTCTATGGTTTTTTTGTTATAGTAGCTCAAATGGACTAAGACAGACACACCATCAAGCGTATCAACATACATATAATGGGAGTCACAGTGACAAAGAAGGAAAAAAAGGGGCATAAGAATGTTTGAAGGAATGATAGCTGAAAAGTTCCCAAATTTGGTTAAAAACTGTCTACACATCCAAGAAACTCAACAAATTCCAAGTAGGGTAAACTCAAAAACATCCACACCTATACACATCATACTCAAACTACCAAAAGCCAAATATAAAGACAGAATAACTATCGAGGAAGTGAAAAAATGACCCACAGAATGAAAGTTTTTGCAAATTATGTGTCTGACAAGGGTCATGTATCCAGAATATTTAAAGAATTCTTACAACTGAGTAATAAAAAGACAAATAATCCAATTAAGAATGGCAAAGGTTGTATACCTATCTAAAGAAGGTATACATATAGCCAATAAGCACAAAAAAAGGTGCTTGACATCATTAGTCATTGAGGAAATGCAAATCAAACCATGAGATACCAATTCATACCTACTTGGATGACTGTAATAAAAAGGATAGAAAATAAGTTTTGGAGAGGATGTGGAGAAATTATATTTTACATATTATATGCCTTAGAATATTATATATTATATGTATCATCATATATTTTAATTACATACTATATATCACATATTATATCTTCATTTTATATGTCAACAAAAAATGATAAAAAAGGCCAGACACAGTGGCTCACGCCTATAATCCCAATACTTTGGGAGGCCAAGGTGGGCAGATCACGAGGTCAGGAGGTCGAGACCATCCTGGCCAACATGGTGAAACCCCATCTCTACTAAAAATACAAAAATTAGCTGTGCATGGTGGCACGTGCCTGTAATCCCAGCTACTTGGGAGGCTGAGGCAGGAGAATCACTTGAACTCTGGAGGCAGAGGTTGCAGTGAGCCAAGATAGCACCACTGCACTCCAGCCTGGCGACAGAGCTAGACTCCATCTCAAAAAAAAAGAAAAAAGAAAGAAAAAAAATACTCTAGTTGCCAATAGAACGATAAACATACCTGTGATATAAACTTAATGGAAAAGGAGAAAGACCTAAAACTGCAAGTTCACTGCGAATGTTGCAGTGTATGTGGTGATTAAAACACGGCAATAGTCTTATGTTGGAGAAATTAAAGATTTTTCTGAGGTATTACTTTTTAAATAGATGAAAATTGAAAAAGGAAACATAAGCACTGCTCTAATTAGTTATTTTGACTTTCCTTGAATATTGCCACATCATGGCATAGATGCATGATAGTCTTGTATGTTTCTAATATTCAGTGGGATTAATAGCCGATGTTAATTATTGGCTAAGTTTGGATATCCAATGTTAACTTATCAAATTGTCAGAAAACAGAAAATTGTGAAGTGAATCACTTGAAAATGGTGTATTTTTAAAAGTTTGATTACCAGTACATCACACATTTTCTTTCATATTGGACATCAGTCTTTTAATGAGCCTGAGCTACAATGGATACACACACGATGAGAAAATAGAAGGAGAAAAGAAAGAGATGGAAAAAGAGTGTAAGTGGGGAAGGCGGGAATAACCAAGAAAAGCTTGATACAATGTGCAGGAGCTACTTACATGCATGATGAGAGTTAAATTCTGAGTAAGAGCTGTGATGAGAACCTGCTGATGGCTCTCTGTGGGTTGGGCTAGACTTTTGATGCTAGGACGATGGACAGCTCTCAAATCCTACATAAAATGCAACTGCTTTTCATTCATTTTGGAGCAAAAATAATTTGCTTCCTCCCTTCTAGAACTGTGTAGCCCAGATTTCCTTTCATTACAAAAATTTTCAAATATTCTTAAAAACACAATAATACAATAAGCCTCTATCTGCCCAATCCCAGTTATCAACCTGTTGTCAGTCTCATTTCATCTACCCAAACTTTTGTATATTTGTTTTACGCTGGGGCGATTTAGTGCAAATCCTAACATCATAGTATTTCCCCCCAAATTACTTCAGGATGCATTTCTAGCTGATAAAGACATTAAAAAATATGACCACCACGCCATTATCGCGCCTAAAAAAATTAATAAAAAAATCTTCATATAAATGTTCAATTAGCGTCTAGTCAATATTTTGGCCAAGAATGCCTCAGAGTTGGTGCTTTACACTTCGCATTGCATCACATGAGTAGGCACATAATGCTTGGTGATTCCACTTTTGTAGTGCCGAGATGGAACAGTGGATCCAGGTGTTATCACCCTGATTTTTTCGTATAAAGTTCTCCATCAACATTTCACCCAGTGGTTTCAGCATCCATTGAGGATTGTTGCCTAAAATTACTCTAAAATATTTACTAATTGTATCCTTCCATCTGCCTTTATTAGTTGGAATTGTCCACACAGAACTTGCATTACCTATCTGGTTACACTGAAAAGCAGTTCATGCAGAAGGGACAGGACAAATGCTGGAATCTTTCCCTTTCTTTGTCAGGATCCCTAGTAACATTGAAGATTGACCAGTAAATGTCTATTTTTCAAAAGTATCATTATAAACATGGATTTTGATGCAGTCAATGGCAATTTCAGTCTACTGCATTAATTTTTTATGCTTAAATTGTTTCATTTTTAGCCAGTGGGAGACCCTTCAAGTTGACCCCTGGGTGCCTTTGATATGATCCACTAAAATTGACAGTTATCTCCTTTTGTGGCACAGCCAGGACCATCTTGTACATTCCCTGCTCTGGGTGTGAAATCAGCCATTCCTCAGGGAACTCTGATTTCTTTTAGTGGGAAATGGTATTTAGAGACTACAATTCAGTCATAAAGGTCACTCATTGCTCCTAGGCCCTTTCAGCAAACAGATCTAAGATACACACATGTCTTTTTAGAAACAAAGAAATAACGAGGTACTGGTATTTCCTATTTACTTACGAGATTACAGCGTTTTCCCATTATTTCTTTGGTTGTACAGTATCTTCTTTTCTTATATCCTCCCAGCTTTTTCTGCCTCCCTGAATTTGGTTGGATAGGCCGAAGACCTAACCCCACAGTGGCTTCAGATCCATCTTTTAGTCCCCTCCCCAATTTTCCATCCGAGCACCTCCCAGCTCTGAAATGTAATGAAATGTCTGATAGTTTCCTCATTAGAACTAACGTAGTGGAAATGAAATGAACTTGAGGGCATGTGCTGAAAATCTTCCTATTCCAGGCCAGCCCAAGGTCATGTGAGCCATTGGATCCCATAACAGTAACATTTCCATGTAAACCCCTCACAGCTTTCCCAGGAAATCACTCCTGGCAGAAATGCCTCCCTAGCAAAATCACAAGCAAAAGTAATTAAATGAGGTTGGTAGTCAAGAGCATATCGCCAGAGAGCCCATCTCTGATATTCCTCTGAGACAAAGCTGAGTGTTTTTCCATTCTTTCTTTCTTAAAAAATTGGAGTCAGGTTGAATTATGTTCCATAGCAACTTCTGCCAATGAAGTTGTCATGGTTACAGGTGAACTGGAAAGTGAGCAGTGACAAGCTGGGCTTGGAGTCCCTGAGCTACATGTCTTAAAGATACATCCATTTGTCTTCTGATCCTGGCCAGAAAAGTAATGAGAATTAATAGCGTTTCCCAGCAAGGTATAACCTTTGGACAGATGCAGACCAGGGGAAGATAGAGCCAAGGACCTCTTCAAATAAATATTCTCCTCCAGAATCCAGGGTCACGTTATTCCCCCATGCCTTCATCTGCCCACGCATGGGGGATGGGGCTGAATCACTGTGTGCTTGCAGCTTCCCAAATGCAGAAACCGTGAGCCACTCCCAGGAATTCTCCTTAGATTAGAAACCAATAAATAATATCTCCCTCTCATCTATGTTAGTGCCGTCCAATAGAAATAGAATGCGAACTACAAATGCAAACCATGTATGAAATTTTACATTTTCTAATAGCCTCATTTTAAAAGGTTAAAAGAAACAGGTGAATTTTAATAATTTATGTTTAACCCAGTATATCCAAAAATGCCATTTCAATATGTAATTAATATTAAAATGAGAAATTTTACATTCTTTTTTCATACAAAATTTTTGAACTTTGGTGTATACTTTACACTTACGGCACTTCTCAATTCATTATAAACTCTCATTGGAAATACTTGACCTTTACTGAGATTTCATAAATCTTACAGTTGAAAAAGTTGGTTCACATACTCAAGTTAATCCAAACGTACTTAAGGGTTTTAAAATAACAAACTGAGTATGCTCTAAATATTAAATTTAAATGAATTAAACTGAAATAAAATTTAAAATCTAACTCGTCCATCTCACTAGCCACATTTCAAGGACAAAACAGCTACATGTGGCTGAGGACTACTACATTGGACAGCATGAGTCTAAGGCTTTGCTACTCAAAGTGTGGTCCCAGATCAGCAGCATCAGTATCATGTGGGAGCTTATTGGAAATGTGTTCTTGGGCTCTACCTCTGATCTGCTGATTCAGAATCTGCATTTTAACATGATCCCCAGATGATCCTCATGCGCATTACAGTTTAAGGAGCTCTGCTTTAACGGAAAAAAATCTAAAACTCTTAATGTGGCTTTTAAGGCCCTTGATGAGCTGACCACTGCCCCAATTTCCACTCTCATCTGTCATTCTCCAAATCCATTTTCTATCTCTTCTTCCACAATTCAGTCTCTGTTCTTGCTCTTCTCCACTTACCTGGAAGGCTCTGTTTCTTTTTTTCCCATGGACTCTCACCTTCCTTCCAGACCCATTCAGATGTCACTTTCTCTGAAACCTTTTCCGATCCTTGCATTCTGGCAGTGTTAAACATCATTTCTCTGCATTTTGTATCACTCTGTACCTTTGCTACAGAGTCCTGTTCTTGCAGCCTGGCTTTAACACCTATTTACTGTGAAGTCTTGGGCAAGTTACTCAACATCTCTGATTTTCACTTTTTCATTGGGGAAATGGAAATTATAAAACTGCCTTCATGCACTTGCGGGGATTATAGATGCAATAATATTTCCATGTAAAGATATCAGTAGTTTCTAAGTCATGGGGCATCTTTGGCCGCTTATCACTTATGTAACATCTTAGACAGTCACTTAAGCCCTTCCGGCCTCAGTTTCCTCATCTGCAAATAAAGGAATGCGACTAAGTATTAGGGTTTGAATATCTGTTCCTCCAAAACTCATGTTGAAATTTAATTGCTACTATGGCAGTATTGGTGAGTGGGACTTTTTGTTTTTGTTTTTTGAGACAGACTCTCACTCTGTCGCCAGGCTGGAGTGCAGTGGCACCATCTCAGCTCACTGCAACCTCCGCCTCCTGGGTTCAAGTGATTCTCCTGCCTCAGCCGCCTGAGTAGCTGGGATTACAGGTACCCACCACCACGCTCAGCTAATTTTTGTATTTTTAGTAGAGACGGGGTTTCACCATGTTGGCCAGGCTGGTATAGAACTCCTGATCTTGTGATTTGCCTGCCTCGGCCTCCCAAATTGCTGGGATTACAGGAGTGAGCCATCATGCCCGGCCAAGTGAGTGGGACTTTTAAGAGGTGTTTAGGTCATGGTATTAATTAATGTCATTATTGCAGGAGAGTGTTCACCCACTCTTGCTATCGTTCTCTCTCTCTTTTTGCTCTTCTGTCATTCAAGGCCTTCTGCCATGGTATAGCACAGCAAGAAAACCCTCACTAGATGCCAGTACCTTGATCTTGGATGTCCCAACCTCCAGAGCTGTGAGCCATACCTTTCCTGGTCTTTATAAATTACCCAGTCTGTGGTATTCTATTATAGCTGCACGAAATAGACTAAGACACTGGAGCTCTAATATTACGTTTCTGAATTACATTGTTCAGTGTGAAATTTCCTTAAAGACATTAAATGATGCTGAAATTTTTGCTCCTTTCAGCTTATGTGAGCACAGTCTTTCATTTTCCAGAGTTTGCTTTTCACCCATCTCTTTGGCTCTTCTCTAAGCCCTTCCCCTGGTTTTAATTGGTTGGATCTGCTTGTGGTTTAGTTGACTGGTTAGAACATTAGTCTGTAACACCTATCCCCAAGAGCATAGGTGGGATAAGCAATCTGGGTGAGAAGCGATGCTCTATGCATTGTACATAGTCTGAAACCATTCTTATTCATTCTTAGTGCATATTTGACGTGTCCAATCCAATGGATATTGAAGAAGAAACATCCAAAACACAAAGTAATACACCTAAATTATGATTGAAAACATATGCACGTTCATCTGCTAGAGCAGAAGAATGAAGGAATCTATGCATGTATGAGGGCATCAGGTGCTCAAATTTGGCCAAGAGGTGGTTTGTTGTGATTGTTCATGAGGCCCATGGGCTACTGAGGTCCTGTGGTGGATGCCATCACTACTGCCTTCTTCAGGGGTTTCTCCCTCCAGCCGCAACTGTTGTGCACATGTTATTGCCCAGCGGTTGCCATTTTGATATGATCCTGACCCTCCCTACTTGAAGCAGTCGCTTGCTCCTGGAGAGGCACTTAATCTCTTCCTTGAGACTTTTTAGGAATTGGGAAATAGAGTAAGTTCCTCTTTGTTGGCCTGGCATTTCCAATATAAATCTTAAGGATTATGGTTTCTCCCATATGGTGGAAGCTGATCTATGGTGAAGGGAAGAAAATGAAGCCAATATGTAGAGAGAAGCTGAGACAAAAGATGGAGCACACCCATATGGCCTCACTCCTGCTCTTTCAGGATTTCATGAGCCAATAAATTCCATTTCTATCAATGGTCATTCCAATTGGATTTCATTTACTTACAACCCATAAACTCTGAATTCTTCTTACATATGAGGTCCTGGTGTGGTTGGCTGGTTAGCCTTCTGCCAGTGCCACAGATATTGGGAGTGCTGACCAGGCTGTCCGGGGGAGGATGCTCTAGAGCTAGATCATGACCCGGCATCCCAGTGGCAGCAGCATCCCTAGCATGCAGGTGTTACTTCAGACCATTAGAACACAAAGCTCTTAAGCATCCAGGTCACAAAAGTAGCTTGCCTTGTTCCAACTCATTCTAATGCTATGTGGAGAGAGAGCATCAAGCCAGGGGACACAAGTGTCCAGGCCCCCAGCTTTTACATTTCTCCATGTGAATTGAAATTCAGATCCATAGCTTATAGATATCAGTATTTTGTGAGGATAATCAGTTTGAATCAATTCTCTCCAACTGATCATTTCTAGGGCAAGTGCAAGACAGTTTCTGGGCAAGTAAGTTTTTGTGGCACACTGAGTACTGACAGCTTCCCAGAACAGCAGCACCCTGAGGCCTTTTGCTGTTGCTCAGCCTTCTTCTCCTGGCACCCATATCCCCACCACATGTCTGGCTTCAATATTCCTGCAAGCTCCTGAGCCTTGTTTGTTTATTGTTTTTAGAAGCTTATACAGTTTTTGGGGTTTTTCTGAGATAGGGTCTGGCTCTGTCACCAAGGCTGGAATGCAGTGGTATGATCTCAGCTCACTGCAACCTCTGCCTCCTGGGCTCAAGCAATCCTCCGACCTCAGCCTCCTGAGTAGCTGAGACTACAGGCATGTGCCACCATGCCTGAGTTTTTGTTTTTTTGTTTTGTTTTGTTTGTAGAGATGGGGTTTCACCATGTTGTCCAGGATGGCCTTGAACTCCTGAGCTCAAGCAATCTACCTGCCTATGCCTTCCAAAGTGCTGGGATTACAGGCATGAGCCACTGCACCCAGCAGAAAAGCTCTTATAGTTTTCATATGTCAAAAAGTAGAACTTCAGAAAGAATCTGATAATACTAACATTTTTAAACACAGAAAGAGAAAAATGTTTAGGTGAAGAGGTCATTTCCAAGTCACAAACCTACATGAGGTGTTAGGGCAACTCAAAATACTACAGCTCTGGAACCACTGTGCAGACAATACAAGATTCTAGGGGGTAATTTGATAAAATTTACAATGGAATTTTGTTTTTTTAAAAAAATTCTCATCTCCTCCAAAATTCTTTTAGGTTGACTCCAGACAAGTATTGGATCTGAATGTGAGGTTTAGAGGCTCTCTTGCTATTAGGAAGAAAGCAATGCAAGGGAAGGGTGTGGAAAATGGATGAGAATTTTTAGCAAGCAAACATTTCCCAGCATCTGTACTGTCCATGTGAATTAATTATAAACAAGAGCAGTGCAATAGCCTGTCTCTGAAATGGCCCCTATGGTCTCCCTGGCCTGGTAATTCACACTCTTGTGTAATCTCCTACCACTGAGTGCATCCTGGACCTAGTGAATCACTTTTAACATGTAGAATACAGCAAAAGTTATAAGATATCACTTCCCAAATTAGATTGCAAAAAGACTGTGACTCTGTCTTGCCAGCCCTCTCTCACTGTCTCTCAAAGCCTTTGCCCTGGAAAGCGAGCTGCCATCTTGTAAGCTGCTCTATGGAAAGGCCCATGTATGGAAAGCTCTATGGAAAGCTGCTCTATGGAAAGGCTCTATGGAAAGGCCATGAGGCAAGGAACTGATGTCTTTGGACGACAGCTGGAGGACCCAAGGCCTCCCATCAGCCACATGAGCGAGCATGGAAGCAAATCCTCACTGAGTCGAGCCTTCACATGTAACCAGTGGACCTTGGTCCAAACACCATGATTATAGCCTTGTAGACACCCTTAGTCAGATAAGCTGCATCCAGAATAACTGACCCATAGAAATTGTGAGATAATGAATATTTGTTGTTTTAAGCTGATAACTTTTGAGGTACTCTGTTATAATACAAATGACTAATACAAATGACAATGTGAGAGCCAAGAGAGACCCCTGCCTACTTCTCCAGCCTTATTGTTCACCAGTTTTATCCTGCGCTCCAACCATAACAATTTAATTTTTTTTTTTTTTTTTTTTTTTTTTTTTTTTACCATTTCCTAACACTCTATGTGCTCTGGCTCATTGGTAGGTTTCTGCATACTCCATTCCTTCTTCCTAATATACTAATCTTTACCACCATCCCCCCAACTTCCTTGTCTATCTAATTCCTATTTATTTTTCAACTCTCAGCTTAAATATCATTTCCTTTGGGAACCCCTCCCTGAGCCCCTAGGTCTGGGTTAATGCCCATGATAGTGCCCCCATCACATCCTGTGTTGTATTAATGTTTACTCAAAAAATTGGCTGTCCACCAACCCTAATAGGCAGTAATTGCCACCATGACAGAGATTGTGTCTGTCTTGTTTATCACTGACTTGTGTCTTCTGAAGCAGGCCCAGAGCCTGGCATATAATAAACAATCAATAAATATTTGTTGAAGATTGTTGAGAACTAGGAAAAGAGGATTGTAAATGAAGGAAGACGGACTGGAAGCTAGAGTAATTAGCCCCCACAAAAGTAATCAAAGCAACAACAAAGGAGACCCCAGCTTGGGATATTTCTGAAAGTAGAGCTCATGGGATAGGAGTTAGGTGGCTTAGCTGTGAGTAGGGCAGTTGAAACTGTTCTCTGAGGTTAATGTATAAAAGTGGGTTGCTTTCCACGAATGCCCAGAAGTGAGAGAGAATTTAGGTGGGGTGTTGTGATCAAATCTAGGGGTGGGAAAGGAGGGAGGCTCTATGGAAGAACATGTCGGGGGCGGGGGACTTTAATTGGATGTTCACACCAGAAGTGTCTGTCTTGTCACAATGTTAAAACATTTTCAAATCTTCTGGTTATGATCTTCTCACAAGGCAGAGGCATTTGGAAAATGTGCAAAGCATTTCTGGGGTCTTAAAATGTGTCATTTGCCAGCTTTACCATCCAAGTCCAGTTCCATCATCTATCTTGGACCTCAATTTTCTGACCCATAAAATAGGAGGGGTCATCTAAATCATTGCTAAAGTCCCTTTAACCTCTATAAAATAAATAATTCCTCTATGATCTGAGAGAGTAAGCAATTGGCTCATGTTACTGGTATAAGTAGATTCTCCTCAATGGAATAAAATATAATAATCTCAAACAAAGTAAAACATGCACCATAGCAACAAAGAAAATTAAGCGCTTATTAAAAATAGAAAATGATAATTTTACAACATCTGCGTTCATCTCTAAGGCACTTAAAGGAAAGTGGTTTGGGCCAAGGCAGATGAGTCAGTTCCCTCATTCCAATCTATTTGTGATTCCCATGAGAATTGCTGTCACTTCTTAAAGACGCCTTTTGCCAAGACACTTGTGATCTATGGGTAAATGAAAAAGGCAGGTTACAAAACAAGGCACATAGTATGACTTCTCTTGGCATGTTGATGTACTCACACAAAGAAAACCTTTTAGGAGGTGATATACCAAAAGGCTAACTGCAGTGCTCTCTGGATGGTTAAATTAAGGGTAATTTTAAATTACGTTGTTTTAGCTTCCATGGCTTTTGCTTTTGCCCATAAGAAGCATACTATTACTCCTTCAATAAGGCAAGCACAAAAGCTTTGTCAAAACTCCTTTTATTCCCAAACTTGCACATCCTGAGTAGTGTAAGCCTTGCAGAAAGAAGACTGTGTCACAGACATCATTTTATCAACAGAGCTCCAGCGATCTGCAGTGTGAGCAGGCTGGGCTCCCTGGGGCCTGTGTCCAGTCCAATCTCCACCTACAAGCATGTCTCTGATGTACCCTTCAGAAAACAGAGGGATTATTTCCTCATGTTTTCAGAATTTTGTGTAGTAGAAACTTTGATTAGGCAAAGGAGGCCTTTTCCAGCTTTTAATTATTATGACATCCATAATTCTTTTTAAATAAAGTCTTCCAAGATTCAAATAAAATGCACTATATGTTGATTGTAGACACTTTGGAGAATATAAAAAAGTAAAAATAAAATAAAAATCACCTATAATCTTACCACTCACAGAAACATGTTTCATCCATTGAAACATGTTGGAATATGTTCTACTTTTTTTCTTTGCTCCCTCCCAAGCTTACATATGTGAATGTCTTGATGTGACCAGTCATGTCCTATTTTTTCCATATAAAATTATATCTGAAGCATTCTTCCATATAGTTGTTTTTCAAAAGCATGGATTTAAGTGGATTCATGAGATGCTATCATATAGATGTGTCATAAGATACTTACTCTCCTGTTGTTGGACAGTTGGGTTGAAGTCTTACTTTCTTTCTTTTTTGGCTACTGTAAAAATATAGTTATTATATTTTCCTGGATTGATGTTTTTGTCATGACGAAATGTACCTGTTTCTCCCAGCAATATACTTCTTGGCACTTTAACACGCTTTATCTTTAGTTTCTATTTGGTTAATTCTTGCAGTGTTTGTAGTGTTTTCAATCCTTGTGCTTTCTTGTAAGCAGCACATAATTGAATTTTATTTTCCTTGATCTAGTCCGACCTTCTTTGTCTTTTAATGGAATATTTAGTTCATTTATACATAAATGTGGTTGCTGATATCTTAGGGGTTTAAATCTACAATATTATTATTTGCTTTACCTCTGCTGTGTTCCCTTTTTCTCTTTCCCTGTCTCTAATTTAATCATCTTTGTTGTTATTTCATTTTCTCTCCTGTTAAGGTTTGTTAGTTCTCTATCTTTTTAGTGGTTATTCAAGAGATTTCAACATGTGTCCTTGACTTTTGAAAGCCTAATATAAATTAGTACTCTTATCATTCTTCTTCAATTTTGTAAGGTTCTTAGATCATATAACTCAACTTACTCCTCTTTTTTTGTATAATTGTTGTCATATATTTTAATTCCATGTGTACTTTAAACCCCACAAGACATTATCATTAAAATGGTGTTCTACAGTCAGTAATCCTTTATATTTATTCACATATTTACCTCTACATTTTTTCTTCATTCTTTTGTGAGTTTCCATACTTCCATCTGGGATCATATCCTTCTGCCTGAAAAACACCTTCACTATTGCTTTTATTACAGATCTGATAGTGGTAAATTATCTCAGTTATTGTTTGTCTGAAAATGTCTTTATTATCCCTCTATTTTTGAAGGCAATTTTTGCTTGGTATAGAATTCTATATTTGTAGTTATTTTCTTTCAGCATTTAAAAAACATTTAAATTTTTAAATTAACATTTAATTTACTCTGAATTTTATTTTATTTTATTTTTTAGAGACAAGGTCTCCTTCGGTCACCCAGGCTGGAGTGCAGCGGTGTGGTCACAGCTCTCTGCAGCCTCAAACCCCTGGGCTCAAGTGATCCTCCTTCCTCAGACTCCCAAGTAGCTAGGACTACAGGTATGCACTACCATGCCTGGCTAATTTTTTACATTTTTTTGTAGAGAAGAGGTCTTGTTTTGTTGCCTAGGCTACTTAAAATTTTAACAACAATTAAATTTTTTTTATTTTAAAAATGTTTAAATGTTTAAAGATGCATTTTGATTTCCATTATTTATTTTAAGAAGTCAATTGTCATCCTTACTATGACTTTTTAAAATGCAATGTGTCTCTCTTTTTTTCTACCTTTTAAGATTTTTTTTCTTTATTTTTGTTTTACAGCAATTTTACTAGGATTTGCCTAAGTATGATTTTCTTTGTAGTTACCTTGCTTGGATTTCATTGTGTTTCTTAATATTTTTAATCAAGTTTTATGTCTTTCATCAGTTTGGGAAAATATTTTGCTATTTTCTCTTCAAATATTACTTCTGTACCATTTCCTCTTTCCTTTACAGGGTTCTAATTATATGCTTATTAGATTTTATTTTTACTATCTCCCATTTGTCTCTTAAATCTTTTCCATATTTTTTCTTTTTTCTCTTCATGTGTCATCTGGATATTTTCTACTGACTTAACTTCCATATTACTAATTCTCTCTTCAGATACATTTAATCAGCTATTAAACCTATCTAATGTGTTCTTAATTTTCTTTACTATATTTTCCAATTCTTGGATTTTCTTTAAATATGTTGAAAAATACATTCCAATTCTCTGGCAAAATTTTTCATTTTGTCATCTGCTTTCTTAAACATATTAATAATACTTATTTGAAAGACTATGTTTAATAATTCTAATATATGGATCACCTCTAGGTCTGTTTTTATTGTCTGATTTTTTCTTTCTGCTGTCTCTTGATATCCTGGGAATTTTGGTTGAATGTGAAACATCATGTGTAAAATATTGTAGAAACCCTAAATGAGCCTTTAGCTTATGGCAGGCAGTTAGAGTTAGGACAGATGATGTTAAGCCAATTGCAGATTGAGGGTGAGTATCAGTTTTTTTGAGGTCTAATTTATTTTTAGCTAACCTTTACTCCAAGGGTGTAAGGTCTCTAGGGATTCCATCTGAAAGCCTGAGTTATTTACCAGAGTCTCTCTTTTTTAGTGGGACTTCAAAACCAATTTTTATCCCCCATCTCTCTGAGGCTGCAAAATCTGTTAATCTCTTCAACCTCTTAGCTGACACTATCTGCTCAGTTTCTCTAAGCCTACACTATTGGTGATTTTGTGATTCCGTATCACTTAAAAACTTCTTTTTGTTGCTTAGCATCTCTGGCTACACCACTCACGAATCCACAGATCTTTTGTTTGTTTTTGTTTTTTTGAGACAGAGTCTTGCTGTATCACCCAGACTGGAGTGCAGTGGCACAATCTTGGCTCACTACAACATCTGCCTCCTGGGTTCAAGCGATTCTTCTGCCTCAGCCTACCAAGTAGCTGGGACTACAGGCACGTGCCACCACGCCCGGCTATTTTTTGTATTTTTATAGAGACGGGGTTTTGCCATCTCTATAAGACCAGCCTGGGTTGGCCAGGCTGGTCTCAAACTCCTGACCTCAGGTGATCCACCCACCTCAGCCTCCCAAAGTGCTGGGATTACAGGCATGAGCCACCATGCCCAGCCCGTTCCACAAATCTTTTGAGGGGAAAACAGCACAGAATGTCAAGTCACCTTATTTGATTTCCCATGTATCCTGAATCTTGGATGCTCAAGTTATGGCTGTCTTCGTAACTTTCCAATCCCTAAACAGATTTGCTTGAGTCTGAGCTTTCTAGCTGTTTTCAGTAAGAGGTTTCTTCCTGCAACAAGCTAATCTAACATTATCCTCTTTTTTGCTACTCTAAATATTACTTCAATTAGCATCCTTATACATAAACCTTTGTCTATATCTCTCCAAATTCCTTTGGATAGATTTGCCATAATGGAGATTTCTGAGTCAAAGAGTACACATTTTTAAGGCTTTTGATACATATTGTCAAATTTCTTTCTAGAAAGATCATATCAACTTACATCACCAGCAGCACTGTGTGAGGGTGTCCAGCCCAAACTGTTAATTGATTGCTATATCATATAGTATGCCAAGCTTTATAATAAGCAAAGATAGCTTCAAATGCTCGGAACCAATTTATTTTTACTCTGAAAATCAGAGTCAATTACCCAACACTTGTTGAAGAGGAAAGCAGATGTAGGTATTAAAAACGTACAACATGACTGGCATGTTACATATGTTACCTAAAAAAGTTCTGTTTTATAGGTATAGTCCATTACATCAATGCCCCAATTCCTGACCTGTCTCTGTATACATGTTCTTTTCACTTCTAAGAATCATGGATTCAGAGCTCAGCAATGTGACTTTCTTTGGCCAATGGCATTGCTGACTGACATGATACAAGCAGAGGTGTGAAAAAGCATTTATACCATTGGGCCAGTGCTCTTGCAGTTTTGCCACATCCATTAAAAGGGCCTGCTTCCCCTAGCTTGTTGGTACCAGTACAAGGGGAAGAAACATGCAGAGCAGGGCCATGCAAGGTAAACTTCTCCAGCCAACCCACATATGCATGAGCAAGCCCAGCCAGGATCAACAGAGCCAGCCCCTGCTGACACACAGACACGTGAGTTATAATCATAAATGATTGTTATTTTAAACCCCTGAATTTTGGGATAGTTTGTCAGGCAGCAATAGCTAACTGATAACAAGGTATCATTGTATACATTTTACGAAGGAGAAAACTGAGGCTTAGATAGATTCAAGTTTATAGCCAACCTGTGTTACATACTTACTTATTTTATGACAGGCACCTTTCTAAGTTCAAAGCTTATGTTATCATGTTAAATCTCCTCATAACATATGAAATAGATTCTATTACTATTATTGCCATGTTACAGATGAGGAAACAAGTAACTTGCCCAAGGTTATGCACTTAGTAAGTGGTGAGTCTGGCATTGAAGCCAGGCCTCTCTTATTCCAAATTCCATATGTTATCCACCTCATTATGCTGCTTCTACTAAACTAGGTATAAGGGAGTGGAAGTGTGGCAAAGATAGGGGGTTAAGTTAAAAACCCTGAACCCACAGAGCTTACAACCTGGATAGGAAGACAAGGTGTGCACACAAAGCATTCAATATGAGTATAAGGTAATGTTACAATATATCAGTGCCAAAGGCTTTCAAGGTCATGTCTCCAGCTCAGCCCATTTCATCTGAGCTCCACACATGTTGATCTGCAACTCTGTGCTTAACATCAATTGCTATTTCCCACTCTGATCCATTCTCTGCCTGACAGCTATCTTTTTTTTTTACATCTATCTTTTAAAACTCAAAATCTAATCATATTGAATCTTGAGGACATTATGTTAAGTGAAATAAGCCAGTCACAAAAGGACAAACACCGTACGATCCCCCTTATGTGAGGTACTTAGAATAGGCAAACTCATACAGACAGAAAGTAGAAGGGTGGTTTCCAGGAGTTTGGGGGAGAGGATAATGGAAAGTTATTGTCTAATGGGTATAGAGTTTCAGTTGTACAAGTTAAAAAGGGTTATGGGCATGGATGGTGGTGATGGTTGCACATTACGAATGCATTTAGTGTCACCAAACTGTACACTGACAAATTGCTAAGATGGTAAATTTTGTTATGAGTATTTTACCACAATAAAAAAATTTGGAAGAAAAAAGTGTAATCACTTCCTGGCTTAACATCTGTCAATAGCTTTCACTGCTCTGAGAATAGAGATAAAAACCATGAGCACAGTTTACACAGCACTGCATACTCTGTTCCGTGCTCACCTCTTTAGCCTCATTCAGCTCCAATTCTCCCACTTGCTGTTTCCCTCTTCATCTCCAGCTTCACTACACTGGTTCCTGGTGCTGAGGGCCTTTGTACATGTCATTCTTCCAGCATAAACTGCTTTCCAGAGCGCTCCCACCTCTATTTAGATAGCTCACATCTTCAAAGTAGCCCTCCATGATTTCTCAAACAGGAGCATGTTTTCCTGCCATCCTCTTTTAGAGCTCTTGGTTCTGTTCTTTCACTTCACTTTGTCACTGGTTTTATTATATACTTGTGTGCTTATTTGATTAATTTTGGTCTTTCCTGCTAGATTTTGAGCTTCAGGAGATCATGGACAGTGTCTGTCTTGTTCTTCATTGCAGCTACAGCATCTGGCACAGGGCTTCATATGAAGTGATAAATTAATGGATCAATGAGGCAAAGTACAGGAGATGCTGTTGGCTCCTGCTCCTACCACATCCCCTCAGCCTTCCTTACTCCCTTGTATATTGAAGGCTTTCTAAGGAAAGTACCTGGGATTCTCCATCTGAGGGCTTTCTTTGGAATGTTCAGTCCACAGGTGTGGGGCAGAAGGAAGTGCTGAGACTCCTGAAAACAGCTCCTGCCAAGATGGATGGTAAAGCCTCCCCACTACCCTAGGGTGGCTCTGAGGAGCACTCTGCACAGCCTCCAGAGTTTCCCTCTGGACTGAGCTACCACTTCCTGCAATGATGGCTTTAGTTCACCCTGTGTTTGGCTTCCTTCCCTTCCTTGTCTCACTTCTCACTCCCTGGTTAGCTTCCTGATACCACCTCTCAAATAAACCAACTGAAGAGAATGTCACAACAAATGAAAATCATGGGGAGGGAGGAGACATCCCCATAGAGGGTGATTTGGATAGTTTCTATGCAGCACCTGGGCTGTTAATTGGACTTCGCAAACCTGGAATTGGAGAAGGAGCATGGATGCAGCTCTATTTGCAAAGCTGCAAAGGAGAGGTGTAGAAAAGTGAGCAGCGGCCAGGCGCGGTGGCTCATGCCTGTAATCCCAGCACTTTGGGAGGCCAAGGCGGGTGGATCACGAGGTCAGGAGATCGAGACCATCCTGGCTAACAAGGTGAAACCCCGTCTCTACTAAAAATACAAAAAATTAGCCGGGCGCGGTGGCGGGCGCCTGTAGTCCCAGCTACTCGGGAGGCTGAGGCAGGAGAATGGCGTGAACCCAGGAGGCGGAGCTTGCAGTGAGCCAAGATAGCACCACTGCACTCCGGCCTGGGTGAAAGAGCGAGACTCCGCCTTACAAAAAAAAAATAAATAAATAAATAAATAAATAAAAATGAGCAGCCTGTGTTGGATCTCCTTCCCTGCCCACAGAATGAATGACTTTTCTTCTCTAACAAGCTGTGTTTGAGTTGTTTTAATAATTCTTTTCCATCACCTTCAGGAACCTTCCTTTTCCTAACTGGCAAATTTTAATGTGACAGTGAGATCATTTGTTCTTTAGGTCACATTGCCAAATCAGTCCTATTACTATTTTTGCTTTTTACAAAATGTCTCTTTCCCAGTACAGGATCAAATACTTGACAGAATAACAAAATATGGGACAGAGCAAATTAAAGAGCCTGGTCTCCAACCCTCAAAGTCAGGCCAAGGGCTGGCGATTTCTCTGGTGAACTGAGGAGGAAAGGGGTGACGGAAATATGATCAGAATAGGACAAACAGAAGGTTTCTTCTCTTTCACCCCACAGTCATTTAAAATGTCTGTCCAATGATTGCCCCCATCCAGCTTGGCTGTGAACCAGTAGATTCAATCAGACTAGAAGCGGGTTTTTTTGGTTTGTTTTTCTTTTCTTTTCTTTTCTTTTTTTAAATAAAGGAAACGAAGCCAGCAAGCCTACAGCCTTCTCTTTGATGGATGTAATTCAGCCCAAATGCCCAAATGTACATTGCAGATTCTCCAAAACACTGATAAATATCCCAAATGATATATTGCCTAGTGAAGGAAACTGTTGAAGAATGGTGTTTCCCATGCAGAACTAGGGACCCAAGTCTCCCTCTTGATTTGGTGCAAGAATTCCAGCAGTGGCAAGGCTGCTCACATAGCATCTGGGTAAAAGTCAACTCACCCATAGATGGGCCTCCACAGGCTAATCTGCAGATATTTTCGTGATAGAATTTGTGTATGATATACAGCAGATCATTTAGGTTGTTTGAAAAACAAAAATAAAGCAGAGTCTCAGTGAGAAACTCAATAACTGAGCATTCATTACTATCTTCCAAGCTTTCTGAGGCATTATTCAAGGCAGAGACCTTATCTATCTTGTTATTTTCAGAGTTTTTAACTGGATATAACATATCCTCCAGTCCTGCACCTCTTGACCATAAGGCAAAAATTTGTGCAGGCTGATGGAGGTACACAGTGGAAACTAAGTCAGAGACTACAGATGACTCTGGGGTCTTGTGAAGAGCTGACTTGTTCAGACTTTCAACAGGTGGAGTCAATGCCAAGTGAAGCTGGTCATTCTAGTAGAATGAAAAGACATTCAGGGAGAACTGAAACGGACCATAGTGAGAAAATTAAAGGTCAATAATTTTTTTTTTTTTGAGACGGAGTCTCGCTCTGTCGCCCAGGCTGGAGTGCAGTGGCGTGATCTCGGCTCACTGCAAGCTCTGCCTCCCGGGTTCACGCCATTCTCCTGCCTCAGCCTCCCGAGTAGCTGTGACTATAGGCACCTGCCACCATGCCCGGCTAATTTTTTTGTATTTTTAGTAGAGACGGGGTTTCACCATGTTGGCCAGGCTGGTCTCGATCTCCTGACCTCGTGATCCACCCGCCTTGGCCTCCCAAAGTGCTGGGATTACAGGCGTGAGCCACCGTGCCCAGCCTAAAGGTCAATACTTTTTTAATGGGTTCTGTCTCTCTCTCTCTCTCTCTCTGCTCTCCTTCCTTCTCTGCTCTCCTTAAGCATCTTGGGTTGGGAATCCTCTTCAACCTTGAAGGGCCAACTGAAAAGGTACCTCCCTACTGCCTTACTAATTAATAGTTAATAAGTACTGAACCATCACTATGTGATAGACATTGTGCCAATAACTTCCCAGGCTTATTCTATTTAAATTTACACTACCATATACTAAGATGGAGAAAAAAGTCTTAAAACGTGGCAATAGAATTTCTCTTATTTAAAAAACTGTCTTTTGAAAGCGTGAAGTATTTGATGAGTATAGGAGATCGTACAAATTGATTCACTGAGTGCTCTCTCCAATGAGAAACTCCATCTCCAGACTTTGTGCAGGTTGGGGATCACCTAAGACCCAGGTTCCACCAAGCAGATGCAAGCAGATGTAAGTTGGAAGAAGGAAAGGAATTCCACAAGGTGGTATCCTGCATGCGGAAATGGCAGAGAGGAGTTTGGCTTCTCTATGGCTGGCAGGGACAGGTCACTTCCTGCTCATAGGAGGGGCAGCATGATCCTGGGGCCAAGATGGCAGCTGTTCCCTCGGCAGTTTGGTTCTCGGACATTGTGGTTGTAGGGCTTTTCCTAGAAGCCCGTCTAGAGGCTGTTTCTTCTTCATCTCAGTGAATCTGTGGGTCACCTAACATCCCTTGATAAACCATCTTCTGCTTAAGCCAGCCAGAGTGGATTTTGTTGTGTGCAACTAAGATCGTTTCTGACACACAAGGCAGAAGATGAATCCTCAAGGGCCTGGGTCCAGCTAGTGCTGAGGCCTCAGAGAGCAGCAGTGACTGCCCTGCATAAGGCAAAGAGAAGCAATTGTGTTGAAAAAGCCAAGGGCAGGAGGAGAGGAGAGGAAAGCAGACAGCACACACATGGCATGGAGTAGAGGAAGCGGCAACAGAAGCCTCCATCGTAGTTGCAGACGAAGAGCA
This sequence comes from Homo sapiens, assembly GCF_000001405.40. Classification (NCBI taxonomy): domain Eukaryota; kingdom Metazoa; phylum Chordata; class Mammalia; order Primates; family Hominidae; genus Homo; species Homo sapiens. Next base: position 43,117,024 of record NC_000003.12, on the reverse strand, counting down.
ACTAACTTGGATGTTGTTTGCTATGTGGTGCATGGGACATGACACATCCCCAACTTTGTCAGTTCTTTGGTAAAGTCTATTACTCTATGACTCTCACAAATGCTTTATATAAGTGAGGGTTTGTTGCAGGAACTAGCAAAGCAGCAAAATTTCTTTGGACTGATGCCTAATAGCAACCATGATGGAAGTTCACTGAAGCCATGGGGTGGCCTTGCAACCAACCAGGCCAAGAAGCCGGGAGGATCCAAGTGCCTTTCCGTGATTCTCAAGGAGCAAGGAGCCCCCAGCTGACATCTGTGCATCATGCCTGCACAGCATCATTTCCATTTCTGAATGAAAAATTTGAGGCTTAAAAAGGTCATACAGTGACTCAGGTGTTCATGGTTAGATCTGCCTGATTTCAAAGCCTGAGCTCCCACTCATAGTAAGCTGCCAGTTTAGCCATAAAGCCAAATTAAAGTACCAGGAAAAAGCATATGATAAATACCAAGCCAGCAAGTAGAAAATGCAAAGGGGACAAGTCCCTTTGCTACCCAGTCCCAATCTGGGGATCCCTTACTGTCCACATGGACGTTGCAGAGTTGAGGGTTCTCTATGAGCTGCCTTCCCCTGGCCTTTGCTCTATGTGGCTTTCTGATGATCTCACCTTCTTTTGGGTCTCAGCTGTGAGCTCCCTCCTGGTTCTCTCAGAGATCACTAGCATTGTTGTGGACCTGGTCATACCCTTGGCTGTGTTCTTTGCTCCCTAGAGTCCTTCAAAGGCAACATTTTATCCCTCGAGAACTTGAAAGATGAGAAAGAGAGAAAGTGTCTTTCTGTACTTTTTCAATGCCCTATCTTTATCACTTTGCCACATGCCTAACACTGATGGAAACCTTACTCAAACTGGATCAAGCAAAAAGGAAAAAAAAAGGAGAGAAGGGAATTGATTGGCTCATGTTTCTGAAAATCTCAGGGATTTTAGCTTCAGGTCTGGTTGGATCCAGGGACTCAGAGGGTCTCTCATTCTCTTACTGTCTTTCCTTTTCCCCCCCAATCTCTTTACTGCATTTCTTTTATTCTCCAATAGAGCCTCACCTTAGGTGCCTCTTGGCATATTCCAGGCTCACATTCTTAATGACTCCCAAAGAAAGGGGCTTCTCTTTCTCAGGAGATACAACTCAAGTCCTAGAACTGACTCTCATTATCCACTTCTGAACCAAATCCTGTGGTCAGGGGTAGAACTGCTGTAATGGCCAAGACTGGGTTATGTCCCACCCCTGGCACTGGGACAAGAGCAGCCTACTCAAACCACATGGACCTAGATAGAGGAGGAATGGCTTTCCATGAGAACTCCAGGGAGCGTCCCCACAAGGAGAACAGATGCTGACTGAGCTAAAACAAGAAACATCCACTGTTCTGCCTTTACTGCCTTCTCTACACCCAGTCTTCCCTTCTCCTTCACCATATACCTTGTTCAGAGCATCACTCCTGGGCTCTGTTGGAATCTATCTGAATGCATCTCCTCCCTTTCTCAGTGGAACTTTCCAGATCATGGCTCTGCAAGGGACACACTCTGGCTTGCTGGCCATGTCTGCCCAGCCTTGCCTCATTTTATTCCCAATGTTCAGCACAGTGCCTGGCACAGATACAGTGTTTGGACAATGTCTGTGGCCTGATTGGATGAGGCTGGGGGAGCAGAGAGGCCACCAAGCTCTTTTTCATTGCTGGGGTGGACCCAGAACAACTCCATGGTGCTGTCTCAAGACTGCAAGGGAAAGACCCCAGATTCCAGGCTGACAGAGCCACTGTGTTGGGATTTCACTTGGCTCTGCTTCTTCTTTCAAGTTGCCAAATTTCTTACAATAACATATGCCAAAGGGCTCACCATACATGGAATGTATCCCTTAGTTGAAAAGAGCCCCAGATCCGGGGTCTGGGGAAGGAGAGAGAGAAGCCAGGATAGGTGCTGCTTGGGAGTGAGGTACAGAGGAAAGATGTCCCAGGGATGATGCTCTCTTCCTACCTGCTGAGGCCTGTGATGTTTTCGTGGGGAGAGGGGAGGATGGAGGAGGCACCAGCTATACTCGCACAGGTGTTCCTGCCATGAACATACAGCATGGGACGAATTGACAATGCTTCACTGGGATGACTCTCAAATGAAAATCCCCACTCCACTGTGGCTGTTTGAACAGTCAGGGCTGTAAAAATGGTCATTTCTCCCCATCTTGATCATATCAGAACTTTGAGTCCTTCTTTTCCAAATGCCTCACGAATTTGAAGAAAGTACAAAGCTGTGGTTGGATGATAACCCAGGGCTTTTTCCTCCCCATAGATGGGGCTGTTCCCATACAAACCAACAATGCCCTTCCAGGGGCCCTTTCAGGATTTCATTTAGCAGGAGCAGTTGGTAAATGGACCCACCAGGGACATGGAGAGCCATTTGCTTTGAGCTACTATATTAGTGCTGTGTCCTTATAGCCGGCCAGGCAGGAGGCCCACAGCACACAGACCCAGTGGGAAGACTGGGCAGCCCCCACTCATGAATTGCCAACTTAGTGCTACCAGCACTCCTCTGAATATAAAAGAAAATGACTGCTGTTAACTGGGTAACTGTGATGGCCTTGGAGTGTCTGAGAACCTAGTTTAAGACAGACAATCTCCAATAAGCTGACCTAGAAAATTCCTGTCACCTCTGCCCCTATGCCTCTCTGGGTCTCAGTTTCTTCCCCCGAAGATGAAGGGTAGACTCCCATTGTCTCCAAGAGTCTTGAGTGTTAACAGCCACACACTGAGCTTTGCCTTATCTGCTTCCTCTACCTGGAAAAGAACAAAAGAGAACAGTTATTTACAGACCATTGAGCAGCCCTCTTCAATCTTGGAGATGGTCTGCCTGTCCTCTGACTTCCTGTTGAATGCTTACTTTGGGGGCATTGCAGCTACAGGGGAAGTGTTTGTGTCATCTCCCTACTTTCGTGCTTTGGTTCAGAGAAGGGAGGCTGCACCCATACTTCTGCTCCATGTCTCTTCCCACCTCCCTCTTGGGAAAAGGAGTTGATAATCCAATGGGTCCAAGCCTGACATTCACTGGGGCTTTACGCTTAGTACAAATGCATTTCCATGAGCCCTTTCCTGCTGCAAGTAACAGCTTGTAGTGTGTAAGTGCACGCACATATGTTAGAACACATCTCCAGGATAAATTCCCAGTGGAGGAATTTCCGAGTCAAGAGCAAATGCATTTAAATTTTTAAACTTCTGATTGTCCTCCAAAAAGGCTGTACCTCATTGCAGAGTGCTAGTAATCTACCCAATATCCATTCTCCCTTAGTAATCAAAAAGCTACATATCTGGGCCTCTCTTGTAAATGGGGTGGCCAATGAGATGTAAGCAGACGTTTTGAGTAATACATTTAAGAATGCCCCTTTGCTTCTGCACCTTCCTCCACTTTCTGTGTGGATCTCTGTCTTGATGGCAGGAGCTATAGCAACCTTGTTATAACCTCAAGGATAGAAGGTGTGTACTAAGTACAGGGATAAGAAAGGCCAAATGAGCCTGGGTCCCTGAAAATCCTTGTAGAGGCTTCAAACAGTTCTGAGCTGTTTCTCATAAGTAAGCAAACAAAGTCCTAATTGTTCTAAGCTATCTCAGTCAGGCCTCTACTGCTAACAGCTCAATGTAGTCCCTAACTGATTCACACTGACTTTCTCACCAATAGCCAATAGTGTATGTACACCATATGTGTGTGTGTGTGTGTGTGTGTGTGTGTGTGTATATATATATATATATATAGAGAGAGAGAGAGAGAGAGAGAGAGAGATGGAGTCTCACTCTGTCGTCCAGGCTGGAGTGCAGTGGCATGATCTTGGCTCACTGCAACCTCCACCTCCTGTTTTCAAGCAATTCTCATTGCCTCAGCCTCTTGAGTAACTGGGATTACAGGGGCCTGGCACCACACCTGGGTAATTTTTTTTATTTTTAGTAGAGACGGGGTTTCACCATCTCTGGTCTCTAACTTCTGACCTCAAGTGAGGACAGGCCAGGCTCACTTGGCCAGGCTGGTCTCAAACTCCTGACCCCAAGTGATCTGCCTGCCTTGGCCTCCCAATATGTACACTATTTTTGACCATAACATTTCCGGTGGAATTATCCTCCAAGAAATCCAAGATGTGGGGCAAGAAAGACTGAAGTAAATTACTGAGTTGTAGATTTCAGAAGCAGCCATATTCAGGGGGTAGCTGTATCTATTTGAATAAATGAGCCACTAAACAGATCCAAGCAAGTGACCCATGATTGTCCTGTAGGGCGTGTGGAGGCCAGTTCATGGGGTTCTCAGTCATGTATTTCCCAGGATGTGTACCACATGGACTTCTTTTCAATGAAACCCAGAGTATTTACCACTAGAAGATGTGTCTTCCTTTTGTCACTCATTCAGAAAAAAAATCTCCTTTCGTAAGCCTGTATGGGCTGGACAATTCAAATAACAGTCATCTGCAGGAGCAAAGGAGAAGGGCAATGTTGAGGATGAAGAGGTAAAAGAAGGGAATGATTCAGAATTATGCAAATTGCACACAATCACAACTTAAAGTTGATTAAAGGCACTGCAATGAGTTAATCTTCAATTTCAGGAAATAAATGTCTTTTATAATTATCCTCCTCTCAGGTAGCATCTAATTATCTATAAAAATCAGTGCATAGCAGGGGCCTTATCAATGCCCTGATTTCACCTCCTGCTCTTGCAGGATGGTGAATACTCACTGTGGGAGGGAAAGTGGAGGGTCCCCATGGCAAACAGACTTGATAAGCTCAGATGCTAGCAAAATGGCCTATCATGCTATCAATGAGCTGGCCAAATATAACTTTGAATTTAAAATATACAATAGGGAAGATTTACAAAAATTATGTGTTATCAAAAATGATTATTACATTTTCAAATGCATTCTTTTAAAATTCCTTCAAAACTTCATTTCAGTGCCATATCTGGAGAAAGAAGGCCTGGTTGCTTGGCTGGGGGAAGGACCCTTGTGCTTTGCCTCTTCTCTCACAGCAGCTCCCCTAGGCCTTACTCTGGTCTCGTTTTTCTGATGTGGGCACAGCTTCCACTGGATTATCTGGCTTCCCATTTCCCACTTGCTTTGTGTCTGAAGATCACTTTTAAAAACCCAAATAGATGCATGGGTTTTAAACTGAGTAGAGTTATAACAAGTCGCTAGAATTTCTTCATGCATTTAACAGACAAGTACTTTTTAAAAATCTTATATATTTTTTGACATCGCCTATACTTATAGGGCCACCCTGTAACAGAACAGTAGAAGCAAGACTGGAAGAGGATGGAGGGAAAGAGAGATATTGCAGGAATTTACACAACTTGGCAGTGGGGAGGGAGAGGGAGCAGAAGGGGTGCAGCATGGCATTGGGGAGAATGGAGGGAGAGATGGCAGGTCAGAGATGTTAGTGTGGCATCACACCAAGCTGGGTTCCATCTCTGTGCCTCCATTTGCCAGCTACGTGGCCTGAGGCAAGACACTGAATGACTTAGCCTCAGTTTTCTCATCTGTAAACTAGGGACAAAAATAATCTACTGCATAAGGTTGTAGTGAGGATTAAATGAGATAATTTCAACATAAAGCCAAACACATGATAGGCACTAAACAGATGGTATCTCTTATTATCATTGTGGTAGGCAGCCTCCAAGAAGGTCTACTATGATCCTTCTCTCTTGGTATTCAGCATCTTCACATGGTCCCCTCCCAGAATGAATCAGTGCTGACCGATGTGATCAACAGAAGGCTGCAGAATTGATCATTTATGAGGCTCTGAGCCTTCTCAAATGAGATCACGAAAAGGAATAGCAGCTGCCTTGGTGTCTTGAATCAATTGCTCTGGAGGAAACAAACTGTCTTGTCTTGAGGACATTCAAGCAGCTGCATAGAAAGGCCTGCATGGAGAGATGCAAACTTTCTACCCCTTTGAGCTAGCCATCTGGGATGCAGATCCTCCAGGCTCATTCAATCAATCCTTCAGTTGACTATAGCCTCAGCTGACATCTGACTGCAACTTTATAAGAACCAATCAGCCAGGTCACTTGCAGATTTTGGACCCAAACAAATGGTGAGACATAACAAATGATCATTGTTGTTTTATGCCACTAAGTTTTGGGGTGATTTTTTATGCAGCAGTAGATAACTAATATGGGATGATAATATTCATTATCTGATGTTACATAATCAGATTTGAAAACCTAGTGGCTCAAAAATAACTAAAATCATTGATTATTTATTGTGGTTTCTGTGGGTCAAAAATTTAGATAAAGCACAACAGGGACAGATTAACTTTGCTGTGATGTTCAGGGTATCAGCTAAGGTGGCTTGAAAGCTATGGGCTTGTATTAGTCTGTTCTTGCACCTCTATAAAGAACTACCTGAGACTGGGTAATGTATGAAGAAAAGAGGCCTAATTGACTCACAGTTCTGCAGGCCGTACAGGAAGCACGGCTGGGGAGGCCTCAGGAAACTTACAATCATAATGGAAAGTGAAGGGGGAGCAAGCACATATTCACATGGTGACAGGAGAGAGAGCTTGCAAAGCAGGAAGTGCCACACACTTTTAAACCATCAGGTCTCGTGAGATCTCACTCACTATCATGAGAACAGCAAGGGGGAAATCTGCCCCCATGATCCAATTACCTCCAACCTGGTCCTTCTCACAACATTGGGGACTGCAATTCACCCTGAGATTTAGGCGGGGACACAGAGCCAAACCATATCAGGGCTGGAGTCATCTGAGGGCTCATTCGCTCATATATCTGGCAATATATATTGGTTGTCAGTTGAAAGCCTAGCTGGGGCTGCTGGCTGGTATACCCATTGTTATGGACTGAATGGTATCCCCCTGCCCTCGAATTCATATGCGGAAGCCCAAACCTTCAATACGTCAGAACATGACTGTACTTGGAGATATGGCCTTTGAGAGGTAATTGGGTTAAAATGAGGTGATTAGGCTCATTTTTGGGTTAGGCCATAATCCAATCTGACTGGTATACTCATAAGAAGAGGAGATTGGGACACACAAGAGACACCAAGGATGGGCATCCATAGGGAAAAGGCATGTGGGGGCTCAGTAAGAAGGCGGCCATCCTCAAGCTATGGAGAGAGGCCTCAGAAGACACCAACCCTGCTGACACCTCGATCTTGGACTTCCAACCTCCAGAACGGTGAGAAGTAAATCTCTGTTTTTTAAGCTGCCCAGTCTGAAATTTTGGTATGGCAGCTCTAACACATTAATACACTCATGCAGGTCCTATCCATGTAACCTGAGCTTCCTCACAACATGGTGAATCTGTTCCCAAGGCAACCAGAGAGAGACAGAGAGAGGATGTACCACTTTTATGACCCAGTTTCAGAAGTCACATAGCATCACTTCTGACATTTTCTGTTCATTGAAGTGAGTTACTAAGTTATGCCCATATTTGAGGGAAGGGAACTAGACTCCCCCTTTCAAAGGAAAAATAGTCAAATAATTTGCAGACATATTTAAAAACCATCCCAATCTTTACCATCACCACCATGTTCATCATGCAGATTTTAAGATCCTAGCAGGCCAGCCAGGTGGAGGTGTGTATGCCCCAAGCAACTTGGATTGGGAATGTGGATCTGGAATTCAGGGCTAGAGATGTGGGTTTGGAAGGCATCCACACAGAGAAATAGAAAGGGAATATGACCCCAGACAAAGGGAGAGGGCTTGGACTTGAGGAATGCCTAACTCAGCTTGGCATGCATGAATATGGATTTAAAATGCTGGGAAAGACCTCAAAAAGCCAGCTACCTAAGCCACCTTGGATATTTAATAAAAAGAAATGTACTAGTTTTTTCCAGTCTACTAAAGCTTCCTACCAGCAATGCTCCACAGCCAGAATAGTTTTCAAAACATGATGGACTCAAAGATGATCAGTGTCTGCAAACTGGGTCCTAGGTGACTTACAGGCCATCCTGTTAGATCCTATCCAGGAGATTCAGCTTTGGCCAGAACCCAATCCCTGTCCACCTCCAGCAAGGGGCTGCTCTCTTGGACTGTTAGGTGCCTCTTTCTATCAGTGACTATGACTGGCTATCTTATAGAGACCCATAAACTCAACATAGGAGCTTTTTAAAACTTAGAAGTTTTTTAAACAACTTATATTTAAAATAACAAAACAATATATGTTCACTTCAGAATAAATTCATACAGGTAACCAGCAAGATGACAATAAAAAAACACCCATAGTCTTACCACCCTGGGTCATGGCTCATTGAAATTTTGCTGATATCCTTCTGTGCTCTGTGCTGTTACTGTGCACAAATATATTCTTTTTAAAAATGGGATCTTATGGAATATTTTATACTTTTTTCATTAAATATGATATAATGTGAAATGTCTTCCACTCTATTAAGTAAATACTATTTTGCAGCATCTTTTCAATGATTTCTGAGATGATCTGTGATTTTACTTAATCCTGCATGACTGAGGAATTAAGCAGTTTCCAAATTTGTTTTTTTTCCTACTTTTTATCTTGAAATAATTATAGATTTGTGAAAATCTATAATAAGATAGTACAGAGAGGAATCTCTTCATCCAGTTTCCCCCAATGGTTACATTGTACGTAATTATAATACAATATAAAAATCAGGAATTTAACCTTGATAGAAAGTTTGTGTGTAGTTTTAGTCATTTTATCACATGTGTAGATTTGTGTAACCACTACCACAATCAAGACAAAGAACTATTTCATCAGTACAAAGGCTTCCCTTCTGTTACCCTTATATATTCACACCTACACCCTGTCTTCAACCTCTGACAACCACTAATATTTTCTCCATCTCTATAGTTTTGTCATTTCAAGAATGTTATACAAATGGCAACCAGAGTATGTAACCTTTTGAGACTGACTTTTTTTCACCCAGCATAATGCCCAAGTTGTGGCATGTGTCAATTGTGCCTTTCTATTGTTGAATGATATTCTTTATATAGATGTAATCACAGTTTATTTAACCATTCACCTATCGAGGGGCATTTTGTTTGTTGACAGTTTTTGACAATTACAAATAAAGAAAGTAGGAACAATTGTGTACAAGTTTGTGTGTTAACATAAGTTTCCATTTCTCTGGAATAGATGCTCAGGAGTGTGATTGATGAGTCATATGGGAAGCATATGTTTAGTTTTTTAAAAGAAACTACCATGATATACCCATCTGTGAGTAATATATGAGAGATCCAGTTCTGTGCATACTCACCAGCATTTGCTATTTTATTTTTTAAGCTGTTTTGTAGTTGTTGTTGTTGTTTGTTTGTTTTTGAGATGGAGTCTTGCTCTGTAGCCCAGACTGGAGTGCAGTGGCGCGATCTCGGTTCACTGCAACCTCCGCCTCCTGGGTTCAAGTGATTCTCCCCTGCCTCAGCCTCCTGAGTAGCCGGGTTTACAGACGCGCACCAACACATCCAGCTAATTTTTGTATTTTTAGTAGAGACGAGGTTTCACCATGTTGGCCAGGCTGGTCTTGAACTCCTGACCTCGTGATTCGCCAGCCATGGCCTCCCAAAGTGCTGGCATTACAGGCATGAGCCACCGCGCCCTGCCTTTTTAAGCTGTTTTAAATAGGTGTATGGTGATATCTCAGCATAGTCTTAATTTGCATTTCCTTTATGGCTAGTGATGAACATCTGTCCTTATTTGCCATCTGTATAACTACTTTGGTAAAATATATATTAATGTCTTCTGTATATTTAAAAACTTATGATCCAGGATACAGTTTATCTTAATATATATACCAAGGTTGCTTGAAAAGAATGTGTATTCTGTTGGTGGGTGAAGTATTATGTAAATATCAATTAGATTAGGATGGTATTAGTGTTGATCTTTTCTATATCCTTGCTGACTTTCTGTCTAGTGTTCTATCAGTTGTTGAGAGAGGGATGCTGAAGTTTCCAATTACAGTTGCAGAGTTGTCTATTTCTAATTATGGTTCTATCATTTGATTTATTTATGTTAAGGCTATGTCGTTAGGTGTATCCACATTTAGAATTATGTCTTCTTGGTGAATTGAACCTTTTATCATTATATAATTATCCCTTTTTTATTCTTGGTAATTTTCCTTGCTGTCAATTCTACTCTCTCTGAAAGTAATATCACCACTTCAGCCTTTCAGTTTATTATCATCTAAACAACACTATTCAGCCTTTGCAGTCATCCACAATTATTAGAATTTCTTGGTTAGAGGCTTTTGACTACATGTTTTTAAAGGTTTTTGGCTGTATTGACAAATTGCCCTGCAAAAATTTACCAACTTAATACCTTAACATTTGGGCTAATTTAAAATAATCATAAATTAAAGTCAGGGCTTTCCCAATTTGATAGGTAGAAATCTTATAACTCTATGGAGGTGGAGTTGGTGGTGGTAGGTGCATCTCTAGATGACTTAAGTTCAAAAAAAGTCAAGAGATCTAAAAAAGAAGTCAAAAGATCTAAAATTCATAACTCAAGAAATAGGGGCATATGTATATTCGGAGAATCCGCGGGAATGCCAGATGCCACAGCCATAAGTAGCTGCCCTTGAGGACTGGACAGCCAGGACTGGACGGTGGGATAAGGTGACAGCTGGTTAATGGAATGGTGCCGCAGAGGACTGGTGCTTTTGTAAGTTCTCTGTAGCATTACAATTTTTAAAAGCATGTAAACGTATTAATTACCTTGACTTTACAATGACATTTGGTTGTTGGTTAAACTTGCATTTAAATTTATTATCAGAACTGCCATAACTGTGTAATCCTAACACTAAGTAAAACTCAGCCTCTCGGCGCAAATTATCACTCCCAACATTCCGCAGGCTGGTGGCGGCGCGGGCTGTCCTCGTACGCAAAACTACACCTCCCAGGATTCCGCGAGCCAAGGTTGTGGCCGGGGCCAGGGCAACCGAACTCGCGGCTCTGCGCAGGCGCACAGGCTCCGCGCCGGGCTCGCCCGCCGGGCAGGCGCACGGCGGACACCTGCGAGCCTGGAGGTGGCGGTCGCTGCGAACCCGGCGGCGCGGCCAAACCTGTGCTGGCTGCCTGGGCCTTCTGGGCCTCCTGGGCCAGAAGCTGGCGCTGGGGGCGGCGGCGGGGTGGGAAAGCGGCGCCGCCGTGGGGCCTCCTGGACGCGTCGGCGGAGGTGGCTTCGTCCCGCGGAGTCCAGGCTTCAGGTAAGACGCGCGCGCGCTTGGGGCTGGAGCGGACTCCGACACCCGCCTGGGACTTGAAGTGGAGGTGTCGAACCCTCGGCCCCCTGGAGGGGACGACGCGGTGCTGGGCCCCGGGGTGAGGGGGAGGTTCTAGGACGCCTTCGGGATCCAGGAGAGTTTGCAGAACTGAGGGGTGACGTGTGAAGCGAGCTGAGGGAGGCGCGGGAGGTGGGCGGGGCGGGGGTGGACCCTCAGGGTCGGGGGCCGGGGATTGGGGGTCGGGGGCCGGGGGCCGGGGACCTGGGCAACGCCCTGGGGCTTGCCAGTTCGAGCCCTCAGCTCGTGGCAGGCACTGGCGTCGGGTCCTCAGGCCCTTTTGCTTTGGGAGGTGATGGGTGGTGCACATTTGGCGGGGGTGGTGGGGAGCCACGCGAGGTGCGCGGAGCGGGCCTGGGCCTCCCCAACTGCCTTTGAAGGCAGAACCCCGGCAGGCCTGCAGCTGATTCCTGGGCGCTTTGGGGGCCAGTAGGGCACCTACCATGTGTGTCCGGTGGTAAGAGCTTGCCACGGCCTGCTTGGCAGTGCCAGAGTAGCCTCTGAAGAAGGAACCCAGTGAACTCCTGACTCCATGTGTGTGTTTAGGAACCCGTCTCCAGCTCACTGATGGGAACTCTCTGCTAAAGTATGTGACCGTCAGGCCAGAGTCTTGCACCAGGTGCAGGGCGACCAGTGTCTGCCTACTTTATTGCCAGCCAACACTTAGAGCGTACTCTTGGGAGAAGCAAGGCTCCGCGTGGAAAAGGATGACTTCAGGGTTATGGGGCGAGCTTGATAGGACTTAGTAGCTAAGAGCATAGACAGAGGAGGTTTCATTCACCAAATGTTTACTACAATATGTGCCCCGCCTTCAAATCTTGGTTCTCGGCTACTAGCGGTGTGCGTTTAAGCAAGTCACTTATCCTCTCTTAGCCTCTGTTTCTTTCTCTGTGAAGTGGAGATGAAAGTACAGTGCCTTTATCACGGGGTTGCAGTGGGGATGAAATAGTGCCAGGCAAGTCCTCAGCCCAGTATGTCTAACAGTAAGTGTGTGGCAAATATCAGCAGTCGTGGTGACTAACGACAGAAAGTGTTAGAGGTGCTTGGAGTCCAGGTTCATCTTTAATGGTACTAGCTGCCCTCTCTGGCTCTCATGAATCTTGCAGATCTTCCAGCTCATCCTTTCAATATTAATTTTGAGGAATCTCAGTCCCTGCAGAGCTAGGAAAGAGCATAGGTCCCCTCATCCCCAGGGGTGGTCAGCACGTTCCTTCCTGAGCCTTGGGCCCCTGCGAGAACGAGAAGGAGAGTGGAGATCTTCAGCAGAAAGGAGGGCATGGTGCTGGTGGCTGGGCCCACCGTGGCCATGTAAGCATGCTAGTTGGCAAGTTCTTGCTCTGAGCCTTGCTTTAGAAAATATTTAGCAATAAACAAAGCCTTCTAGTAAATATTGCACTAACTAGAAAATTAGATTACCAAATCCCCCATTCCAAGGGTCCTTGCCAATCTCAGCTTGGTTGTCAGTGGGATACTTTCCCCCCAGGACCTACCAATCACGTGATTCCCAGGGTTTCTTAAATTGGATGAAATAATGAATGTGAAAGGTGGAACCTGCAAATGTCATCACGGGCTTTGGAGTCCGTCTTGGTTTTGAATCCTAACCCCTCTACTTAATTGCTGTGTATCACTGGGCAATTCACTTAATGCCTCTAAGCATACCTTCTTAAATGTGAAATTGAATTAATAGCATTTACTTCAGGTAGTGGGGAATAAATGAGATAATGCGTGTAAAACAGTTAGCACTGTGCCTGGCTGAGAGTGAAAGCCAGTGAACAGGAGTTATTTTACCATTACGATTAATAATAATATTAGAAAAATAATTGTCAGACATGGTGTTTTGCCTTTGCTGTCTCTTTGAATTCACAAAACTACCCTGTGAAGTAGGTATAATTGTGTTTTTCAAGCCAGGAAGTGAAGGCTTGGAGAGGTAAAGAATTGGCCTAAGGTCACTTAGCTGCTAAGTGACAGGGATGGGAATTCATATCCTGGCATCTCCAGCTCCAGAACTGGTGCCATGTAATTCTCCTTCTCTGCTGCCCATCGTCCTTGCTGTTCTTGCATTCTTGAAGCCCAGTTATGACCTGGGGCAGCCTCCAGTCTTGCAGCAGGGAGTCTTCCCGCACCAAGTGGGTCAGAGGCAGGACCCTGCAGCCTGGCTGTGTGTTTCCTCTCTGTGGCTGGTGTTGGATGCATGGTGAAGCTGTAGGGGACAGTCCCTGAGTGAGTTCAGGGGAGGAGGTGTTAGGAAGAGGCAGCCCAGGCAAGCCCTGTCGCCTCTTTAGGGTCTCATCACTGGACAGCAGGGCTGGGTGAGGGGGCAGTGCTGGGTGAGGGTGCAGGCTGGGTGGGATCTGGGAAGCTTGTGTATGAGAAGAAATGCCTTCGTTTAGCTCCTGGGAAATGTTCTGGGGCTGCATAATTCTCTGAGCCTTATCTTTGCTTTGTGAGGGAGAGCAGCCCTTGAGCTGTGGATAAGGGAGGAGAAGGAGCCCTGGACTGAGAGCCAACATTCTGCCATTTTAATCCTGGCTGCCTGTGAGAGCTCACACTGCCTCTCCAGACCTCTTTTATGAAATAAAGAGTTGGAGGAAATCATTTCTAAGGGTTCTTGTAGCTCTAAAGGGCAGTGGTTTTGTAATTCTAAATTGATGGCCTAACCCTCTCAGCACAGTACCAGGGCACATGGGATAAATTATCACACTAGTATGTTACTTAGACTCTCCTTAGGGTGAGAGAATGGCCACAGCTCCCTAAGCCACCTGTCACAGCTGGGTACCCTCTGCCTGGCTGGGTGGGGAGGAATTACAGCAAGAAGCCTTGGGTTGCTAAGTTACAGTCCAGGGCCTGTGGTTCTACATTTCCAGGGCCACCACACCTGCTCTGCCCTTGACTAATAAAAACTCACTGCTCTACAGTCTACTCTGCTTATCTGCCATTGAGTGTTCCTCCAAGTCTGATGACAGATGAGCACGGTACTAAGAACAAGACCTTAGTGAGAGGCAGGTTCAAATCCTGGTGGCCCTTCTTGAGCTTTAAGACCTTAAGCAAGGTACTTAACTCCACTAAAACTTGGTTTTCTCATGTTAAAAGAAAATGGGGATAATATTGGTACTGCATTGGAGGGTGAGGCTTAAATGAAATAGGTCAGGAAAAAGGCTTAAGACAGCGCCTCTCGCATAGTAGGTGCTCAGTAAAGTAAGATGGTGAGACCATTCATCTTTATCCCCTACCCAGAGGCCAACATCCTTTTTTTCTTAGTTAACCTGGACAAGTCCTTTTGTTTTCTCTGGCTTCCCATGTCTGCACTGGTACATACTCCAGCACCTCTAAGAGAATCAGATCTTTCACTCTGCCAGTGGTGACTGCCATTGGTACAAGCTTATGCTACAAATTTATCTGTTTTCTCCATTCTGAAAAGGCTAAGAGAAGGCCCCTTCTTTGCTGTGTAGTTGCTCCTCAGCCCTGAGCTAAGCCTTAGGAAGGGACTGGGGACCTGGTCTGCTGTATTGCCACACCCAGTGATGAAACACACCCCGGGGTCCTTTGACAGTGGAGGTTTGTGGCAGGAATCATGGCACATCCTGGAGTGGCATCTGGAGTTGCCACAGTTGTGCTGGGTCCCAGAGCTTCCAAGAGAGTCACACAGTAGCCATTGTAAGGAACTGGAGATGCTGTCCAAATTTGCTCTGTTCAGGGGCTTCTTTCTCGGGGGACCTACCTCCTCTCTGCTGGCCTGCAGGGATGGCCATCTCCCTATGTCCTCTACTGGTGGCTGCTTTAGACCCAGACTCCATCCTTAGTCCATTTAGCTGTGGCCAAGAGACCTGGACTCGTTTCTTGCCACTCCCACACCACAAATGGTGCACTTTGTGTGGGAAGGAATGGGTTGGGGCAACTTGTCTCAAAAGGGAGCTTAGAGTCTGGCGGACTTCTCAGATTGTCCCAGAGCTTAGGCTTATGCATCATCTTAGCAAAAGGTAGGAACAGAATTTATTTAGCCTTTACTGATACTTATGGGGAGGGTTATTCTCAATTGAATTAGTTGTTTAACCTGGGCTAGATAGAAATGCCTTGCTGAGTATCGCAAAATTGTGAAATGTTAGAAGAACCTCAGAGCAGTTCCCCTCAGTATTGTGCACACGCAAGAATCACCTGGAAGCTTTATTAAGACACAAGTTCCTGGGTCCTCATCTCAGAGAGATTCTGGTTCTGCAGGTCTGAAGTGGGGCCCAGGATTCTGCATTTCTCAGATCCCAGGTGATACTGCTACAACAGGTCCACGGATCCACTGAGTCCTGCTTTGGAAGACACCATGGCCAGCCCTATCCCCGCTGTGGAGTAGTCCACATGGGTTGTTTTTGTTTTTTGCTAGACCACTTCCAGGCAGGGGCTCACTGCCCTACAAAGTAGCTGATTCCTCCATGCTCAAACAGCTCTAGTCTTTAGGAAAGTCTTCCTCCAACTGACCATGCTGAGCTCCACCTCCCCATGACTTCTTTTTGCAGTTCTTACTCTAGGTCCCTGAGCAGCTGGCACAGCTGTGCTGGGCAGGACAGAATGGGAATCATATGTGCCCATAGTCCACACTTGTGCCTAGGGCTTGGGTTGCACGTGTCACCATCATGCATGTGTGTCCAGTCAGGTAGAAGGGGTTGCATCCACTCCTCAGGAGCAGCCTCACTCTTGTGCAGCAACTCAGGTATTTGAAGACACCATGGGTGCAGGGGCTTCTTTTCTCCAGTAAAGTGGCCCTACTCCTTCTAGCATCCTACACAGTATAGGGGTTCTCAGTCCTTCCTCATCCTGGCTGCCCCAAGGTGAGTGTCCCAGAAAGACTCACATAGGGTGGGGTTGTATTAATGACTAATTGTACAGACTCTAATTCCTCACGAAAATGCATAACCTGAACCTAATCATGAGAAAACATCAGACATTGAGGAATATACTAGAAAATAGCTGGCCCTGACTCTTAAAAATTGTCAAGATCATAAGTTGAAGATAGACTGAGAAGCTACCCCAGATCGGAAGGGACTAGAGAGCGGTGATAACTGGATACCATGCTTCATCCTGGACTGGATTCTGGACCAGAAAATAGAAACCATATGTTAATAATAATATCATTGTCATTATAGTATCAATATTCATTTCGTTAATTTTTGTGGTGTGAGAGAATGTTTTCATTCTTAGAAAATACATGCTAAAGTATTGAGTGCTAAAGGGGCCTGATTTCTTCAACTTATTTACAAATGATTCAGAAAAGAGAGAGAATTTGTATACAGTTGCCCTCCTCAGGGAGACTTGTTCCGGGATCCCCCACAGATACCAGAATCCAAGGATGCTCAAGTGCCTGTTATAAAATGGTGTCATTATTTGCATATAACCTACACAATCCTCCTGTATACTTTAAGTCATCTCTAAATTCTTTATAATACCTAATACAATGTAAATGCTATGTAAATAGTTGTTATACTATATTGTTTTTAAATTGATACTTTTTTTGTATTTTTAAGTTTTTTTTGAATATTTTTGATCCACAGTTGGTTGAAGTCACATATGCAGAACCTGCAGATATAGAGGGCTGACTGCATATAGAGAGAATGATTAAACAAAGATGTCAAATTAGCAGTTGGTGAATCTGGGTAAGAGTGTAGGAGAGTTCTTTGTCCTATACATGCAACTTTTTTTGTAAATTTAAAATTATTTCCAGATAAAAAGAAGGAGATCGCAGACCCTGTAGCCAGCCTACCTGGGTTAGTCTTATCATTGCTTCCTCTGTAAACTTGGCTTTCTAACCTTTCTGAGCTTTGATTTTTACCATCTATAAAATAAAGATTATCATTGCAAAGTGAAGAATCTGGCACCTAGTGATTGGCCAGTAGATCTTAGCTATGATAATATCATTATTAT
This sequence comes from Homo sapiens, assembly GCF_000001405.40. NCBI lineage: Eukaryota > Metazoa > Chordata > Mammalia > Primates > Hominidae > Homo > Homo sapiens. Next base: position 43,099,853 of record NC_000003.12, on the reverse strand, counting down.
TAGGAAAGGGAGGAGTTGAGGGTGACATGGTGGTAATGAGACCAAAGGAAAACTCAGCCTAATTCTGTCACCTCCTTCTGCTTGCTGATGTGGGATCTCAGGGTCCCTGGGTATCTGGCAGGGACCTGGCTGCCATAAAGCGTCACCCTGCAGAAGGCTTTGCAAGTAGTCACCTGAGCCCATAGGGCTCTACTGTTGAAACCCAGGTCTCCTGGCAGCTTTATCTCCTGCCTTCCCTGGCACTTCTGTGCCTGCCCCACAGCCTGGGCTCCCCGACCTTTACCTGTCTGGGTATGCAGTGCCCACTGAACTGCACATGGCTTTGGGCCTGGCCATCACTGCCCATGGCTTGGAGGCCTCATGGTTTGCTGGACATTTGTGAGAACTAGACAGTGATGCTTGCTGCAGACAGATTTGTAGCAGTCATGAGTAATTGGGACATGTAGACACATAACAGAGATGCTCATCTTATCCTCCATCACCACCAAAACACCTCCAAAAACTTGCTCAAAACTCACCCACCCTCCAGCCAGCTTCCCTGGATGATCTCTTGTTGTGCACACTTCCTCGTGTTTCTTTGTGAATGTTTTATGCTTCCTATACTGGGTGTTTTTGGCTCTCTTGATCAGTTCAACCCTCTCAAATTGGGCCTGAGGGTCCATCTGGATTTGTGTACACACTGGGGTCTGAGCATTCCCTGTAAGAATTGTTTTCATTTGATTTTGTAGTTCCACCTAGAAAACCTGGTGTAGGCGTGTTCTCCATTACCTTTGTGAGCCACACAACAGAGGTTCCCACCGTTCTGTTCCCTGTTTCATCCCCGTTTATGACCACACTGGTACACAGTGATGCCAGAGAGGACCAATACAGGCACATGTCACTTCCAGGTGACCCATTTGTGCTAAGCAAAAGCCAGATGACACGGCAGGCTGTGTGGCAAGCAAAGGTTTCTGCGTTATTTGGAGGCTGAAAACCGGTGAGAGGGTTGCATATGAGCTGGTGGAAGGCCGAACGTCCTGCCCCACACTCAAGCCTTGGTTTATCCTCAGCAAAGACTGACATCACCCTTCTCACCAAAGTAGTACAGACTTGAATTCTGTTGGAGTTTTTCCTGCTTTGAAGGGGTTCCTTTTCTATTGATAAGGCAATATAGTCACAGTCATCAGCTATTGATGGTGGATTAATGTCTCCAGCTTTGACTTTGCTTTGCTCTTTATTCTAAAGCAAGAAGATACTACCCATGTCAAAGTTTTAATCTAAGAAAGTGAGCCCTTAACTAAATGTTAAATATGCCTTGATAATTAAATGTGTTAAGTTTTACAAGAACCACTCAGACTGCCAAGATTTTGCCAAAGGATAAATACCTTGGTCAGAAAACCTGATCTATAAATGCCGAATTTATCAATAGCATTAGGTTAATATTTAATTTAGGAGCAAATGTAAGCATTATGTTATTAATACCAGTTCCATATACTACTTCAGATAACCAAAAAAAAAGGAGGGGGAAAGAGATCATTCTGAGGATAAGCTTGAGTTAGTGAAACATGTTTACTCCTTACTAATTTACAACATGTAAGACAACAAATCAATACAGGACTGAAAGCTTCCACAATCTAGCACTAGTACTTCAGGCTGCATTTAGGACAAAAACACTTTTCAGTGACAAAATAAGATTTCTATAATTTTCAATTGGAAGTGTGAACAATCCTTAAAAGTCAAATTGCTGTGAAAGTAAAATATAAAACCTTCTGCACCGTTGCTGACCCCCTCCTGGCCTGGGCCCTGCCTGATCTTCTGCAGCCTGGGTCTGGCAGGTGCTGGCTGTCTGGTCCCTCCACCTCTGTAACCCTTCTTGTGGAGGAGTGACCGGTGAGCTGCTGGTTCTGGCAGTCACAAAACTGGGAACCCGGGCACAGGCCATGGTGAGGCCAGCAGGACAGGGGATTTGCTTTAGACCAGAGCTTGCAAATGAGCATCCGTTTTTAACTGGCAACCATGAGGCCAGCAGCCCCAGGCCTTGGTGCACGTTGTCTTCACTCAATTTGAATAATTGCCAGAAGTTACAAATGAGGACATTTCACATTTTAAATAGATTTTTGCTTCTCTGGGAAAATCAGAAGAGTATTGCTATGGACTGAATCATGTTCCCCCCATTTATATGTTGAAGATCTAACCCCCCTGTGATTGTGTTTAGAGATAGATCATCCTAATAATGAAGCTTAAATGAGGTCATAAGGGTGGGGCCCTAATCTGATAGGACTGGTGTCCTTATAAGAAGAGGAAAAGAGATCAGAGTGTTTCTCTCTCTCCCCACCTCCCTCTCCCGGCTTCCTTTCTCCCTCCCTTTCCCCCTTGCTCACCTGCCCCTCTCCTCCCTCCCCACCACACAGAGAAGAGGCCATCTACAAGCCAGGAAGAGAAGCCTCACCAGAAACCAACCCTGACAGATCTGTGAGAAAATTCTGTCATTTAAGGCACTCAGTCTGGTATTCTGTTATGGGAGCCCAAGCAGACTGATACAGATAGGTACCACCAGGCTGCTTTCCCGCCATTCTCTCATCAGCTGGCATTAGGTGTTCTGTCTCCAGGTCACACAGCCCACCCTCAGCTTTACTTTCTCCATTGGCTCCGGCCCTAGCAGGCATGTGAGTGTGCACCTCCTACTCTGGGCCCAGAATTCCTGGAGCTTTTACTCCTTATCAAACCTTAAAGCCCTTATGGGCTTTTCTGTGCCCGTGTCTGGGGCTGGCCAGGGCCCCCAGAAGTACAGCCTGCACCCAGCACCAATGACCACCCTCACGTGGTGAGCTCCCCAAGGCAAGTGGCCCCACCCCACCTGCCCAGCTGTTACTGGGGTCTGCAGTTGCAACAGCATTTTTGACATTATCCTCTGATGCTCGGAACAGCTGGGATCCTAGAAAGGAGGATTCACTAAGTCTGGGGATCTGATAACATTTAACTGCTCTTGGGAGCTTAGTAAAGTGGTTTGGGGGAGTGAATTGGTAGCTTCCTCCTGTCTGCCTCAGTTTCTAAAGGGATTTTCTAGGCATGTTTTTAATCTCTTGTTGATTTCTTTTTTCTCTTTCTTTTGAAAAAATTTTTGTTTTATCATGCTTTGTCCTGGCTGAGCCACTAAGCCCTTTGTTCCCCACTCCAGTTGGTCTCTAAATTTGGTGCCCAATATAGAGGAGGCAGAGGCAGATAAACATGGTGGTGTTGAAGTACCCTGGTCTGTGTGGCCCTGGAATGCCAAGAAGGTGAGGTCCAAATGGTGCCTGGGCTATTAACATAAGACAGTGCTTAGAATCCATGTTCAGATCCTGCCTCCATTCTGTACATGCTGAGGGACTTGGACACATTTACTTAGCTTCTCCCAGCCTCTGTGTCCCAATCTATAAAATGGAGTAATAGAAATAGTGTTAGCCTCTTAATGTTGGTTTGAAGATTGAATGAGAAAATATACCTACAGTGTTCAGTATACTGCCTGGAACATAAAGTGTTAGAGGCTGGTGATTTTGAGTGTGTTTTTCAAGGTAAGAGTGGGTTCATATTTAATAGTTGTTGGTAATCTGGGAATCAGTTTCAGGTGCCGATTGGATCCTTGGTAGCAGGATGGGATGGGAGGTACAGCACGGGAATCAGCTGCTGGTCCCAGAGCAGTGGAGGGGCCAAAACTCCGCTTAGGGCACGAGTAAGAGGAGTGATAGGAAGAGGCAGCTTTTCCTAGTTTGATTACCTCCGCTTTTCTAAAGGAAAGCAAACAAATAAGGATCAAGGTTGTTGGGTCCCCTTTGAATCCCTTTTGTCTCCTTCAAGAGTTTCACCACTGAGCACTGTGATCACATCCACCCAGCATTCACTCATCTTCCCTTCTCCCTGCCCCATAGCCTGATGACTTTCAGCTGGTCAGCCAGTGGCATTCTCTGGTCATTGTCATGGGTCCAGGAGGGGACTGGGCTGCAAAGTAGGGTGGGATGTGCGTGCCCTTATTTGGGCTCGCTCCTCCCTGATTGAGTTCTCTGAATGTCTGAGGTGTTTCTTTCTCTTCTCTGCCCCTTGCCCCACTTTAATGAAGACTGGATCTTCTGTATCTTGAGGGTGGTTTTCAACACAGTCTTTAGAGTCCAAGAACACTAGGTTAAGACCTAAGCTTCACACCTGTTGTAACCTTGGGCAAGTCACTCAACCTCCTCAACCTCCGGTTCCTCATCTAAAAATAGGGAATAATGATACTTCATAGGGTTGGGGCTAGTACATAGAGGAACGCTTTAGGGCAAGACAGCCGAGAAGCACTGAAGCATGCAGCTGTCCTGGCATGGAGCAGGGGCAAGGCTGGAGGACGCTTTGTTAGGGCACCTGTCATGTCCTTGCCCAAGCAGGAAAAGGGCTGATCTGTTTTTTATTCCTCTGTGTGGAATGGCTCATGTCAAAGACCATCTGTCCTGTACGGATCCCATCTCATTGGAGGCTCTGTAAGCCCAGAGGGCAGTGGGGTCCTTTGCATCAGTGACCATTGGACCTTCATGCCCACCCGCACATCCTAAAGAATCAGCCTCTGTTTTCAGGAAGGCACTAAGTAGAGACAAAATGTATTATCCTGGGAGGCCCATGCCTCCAAGTGCCACCTCTCACCTCCTCATGGCAAGACTCCATCTGGGCAGCCCTTGTCTCTGAGAGGCAGCACAGGTGGACGTGCTTGGTGTTGAATCCTGGACTGTTGACACATGGTTCAGCCTCTGAGCCTCTCTCTGGATGGAAAATGGAGACAAATTGCACCACCCTGCTGAGCAGGGGCAAGGAAGGATTTAGCAAGGCTGTGTATGCGTGTGAGGGACCTAGCATAGCACTGAGACGCAGCAGGAGCTCAACAGGCTGGGGTGCCAGCCAGATCTGACTGCAGACAGGGTGAGCTTGCATGACTGCTCAGAAGTGGGCTCACTGGGAGACAGGATTACGGACAGCAGGTGCAGGAGAGGCACATTCCAGCTCTGCTTTTGTGCTCTCAGAGTAAGTGTACAAAGGAGGGTGGGCTGCTTAAAACTGAGAGGGAGTTCCTTGTCACTGCACAGTCATATTTCTTGTGATGCTGGGATCCTGGCCCCTGCACATTTCAGCAGAGCCAGGAGACAGATGAAGTGGGGCATGGAGGCCTTCAGTCTGAAAGAATTCTTATCCCTTTGTCGCCAGTGCCCTGGGGAGGCAGTTGGTGCACAGACTGCCCTGAACAGTCAGACATTAGGACCAAGCAGACAGTGTCAGTCAGACCAGGCTGCAGTCCTGTGGAAGACAGCGGCTTAGCTCCAAGTCTCTTCAGTCTCTAAGGCCAAGGAGGCCCACCTGGGCTCTCTCACTTCCCTTGCCTCCTTGCTGCTGTTCTGTTGTCAGTGAGACTGGCAGCCTCTCCAGGCTGTGATAGCCCCACAGCAGTGAAAATTGGTCTGGAGAAAGGGGAAATCACTGGGTCTGTTGCCCAGTAAGCAACTTGGCCCAGTTATTCTCCAACATTGTGAATTTTCCTCCTAGAGAATTGTGTGTTTATTATCCAGGAACATTTCGATGTGGTGATGGGGAAAGGCCTCTTTATCTTCTTTAGGGCTGGAGATCCGATTAATGTACTCCTTGCCTCCATCTGTTGTCTTTTGAAAACCTTCCTGAAGATTTTGCATGATCCTTCAGTTTGGCTGGCTTATGCAGGTTGTTGGGAGGAGGGGCAGGTGCCACAGGAGTGTGGGAAATAGACTGACAGTGTTTTGTAGTGACCACTGACTGCCCAATTGCTTGTTGGCTTCCTACTACCACACTTTGGCTACCTAATTCACAGTAGGTAGAAGTGCAAGGGTGGCTTTCCATGTCTCCATAGTGACAAAATACAGTAATATCTATGTTTATTAAGGTTCTCCTCTGGATTCAGGACTAGATCTATTTTTTTTTAAGTCTCCCAGGAGCAGATCCTGAGATCCTAAGACAAGGATTCTTTAACAAGTAGATGATTTGTATTCAGTCCCAATAGACTTGTAAACATGAATGGGGAGTGAGAAAGTGAGAGAGGGAAGGGAAGGCAGCCAAAAAGTATGTGTGTCACGCTTGTTACCAGTGGGTAACCCTGGGACTTAATCCCACTGGGGAACCCTGGGAACCAGTGTAGAACATGTCTCAAAGCTAACCTGCCTGGGGGGTATGGGAGTGGGGTATTCATCAGACAGCGGTGTAGACTGCCTGCTCATAAGTGGTAAAGTTGGTAGAAATCCCCAGGCAATCAGAACTCCAGGACCTATGCTCTATCCACCGTGCTGTTTCTAGCAGAATGTTGCTCTGTCCATCCCCAGCAAAACTTTCTTCCCATTTTCCCCTTGGAAGGGTAACTCAGAAACCTGAAATGCCCAGTGCAGGTCCATGCAGGCCAGTCTGTCCTGCCTTCCATCAACACTATTCTGGCAGGGCCTGAGAGTGGGGATAGGAGGATGGAGTTGGGAGGGGTTAGGGACTAGGGGATTGGGAAGACTTAGCAGCTAATTAGAAGCAGCCCCCACGTCCTCCAGTCTCAAAGGCTGGTCTCTGCTTAGTTGCCAGTTTGCCTCACAAGGCCCCCACCCATATTTCCTGGTTTATGAGCTTTGCCCTAAGGCCCTGATCTCAGTGCTTTGCTGGGATTGGCCACTGCATGTACAGTCAGCCAGGTCCAGATGTGGACCCTAGACTCCTGCCTGCAGCCACTGCCCCATATCCCCACCTGCTGCCAATTCTGCCTAAGAGAGGGGCAGGTGGCAGAATGATCACTAGAGAGATGATGCCTGGTGGCTGAGATGCCCACTCATGTTGGAGGTAAGTCTTTCCTCTCTTCTAGCTGATATTCCCTGGGTTTGTCTGTTTTGGCTTTAGCTTCTGTTGGAAGCTATTCTTTGATCCGGGCAAAATGTGCATCAGCTCATAGGGCATGCATCTGCCTCCCATCTCTCCAGAGAGGGCCTAGTTTTGTTTTTCCTGAATATCGATTTATTTCTTGTTACTCTTCAGAATTCTCTTGTAATTTATAAATAGTGATTTCTTTAATTCTTTACTGTTTCCTTTTTAACTTATTTATTTTGTCAAGTAAACACAAAAGAGTACAAATATATAAAGAACTCCACCATCTTCCACAGTGATCAGTATCCCCCTGTCGGGTTCTGTCTGTCTACTTTGTTTGCTGGAGGATTTTAGAGCAAACCACGTTCATGTCATTTTACATGTCATTAATATTTATAGAGACTCATGTTCTCAGCTGGGTGTGGTGGTTCACATGTGTAATTCCAACACTTTGGGAGGTTGAGGCAGGAGGATTGCTTGAGGACAAGAGTTCAATACCAGCCTAGGCAACATGGCCAGACCCCTTTCTCTACAAAAAATTTAAAAATTAGCCAGGCTGGTGGCCCGTGCCCATACTCCTAGCTATTTGGGAGGCTGAGATGGGAGGATCGCCTGAGCCCAGGAATTTGAGGTTGCAGTGAGCTGGTATCATGCCACTGTACTGTAGCCTGGGCAAGGCCACAGTGAGACCCTGTCTCAAAAAAACAAAACAAAACAAAAACTCATGTTTCTTATCTAATTTATTTTAAAAATAGATAATTTAAAATAACTTTTTTATTTTGAATACATTTTAGACTTACAAAAAAGTTACATAAACCATTTCTCCCCACTTCCCCTACTAATAACATCTTACAGAGCACAATGTAATGATCAAAACCAGGAAATTCACACAACACATTAAACTGCAGACCTTATTCAAAATCATCCCACTAATATTCCCTTTCTGGTCCAGGACGCAAACCAGAATCCCACACTGCATTAAGTTGCTGTGTCTCTTTAGTCTCCTCCGATCTGAGGCAGCTCCTCCATCTTCCCTTGTCTTTTATGACCTTAGCCCTGTCAAGTACTGGCCAGGTATTTGGTAGAACATCCCTTAAATTGGGTTTAAGATTTTCTCTATTAGCTAACCTACAGACCTTATTCAGAGCTAGAACTGGAGCGAGAATCACGAATCCCCATTTAGAAATGTAGATTGAAGTTACGCATTTTGGGCAAGAAAACCACAGAAGTGAGGTCTTGTCTCAGTGCATCATATAAAGGGGTACATTACGTCAATAGGTTATTACAGGTGATGTTAATTTTGATTACTTGGTTCAGGGCATGTCTGCCAGGCTTCTCTACTGTAGTTTCTATTTTTACCTTTGTAATTAATATGCACCTCATGGGAAGAATCTTTGAGACTATGCAAATATCCTCTCATCATACTTTTTCACCCACTAATTTTAGTATCTATCAGCAGATCTTGCCTGCAACAGTTATTACTGTGATGTTTGCCAAATGGTGATCTATTTCCATGATTGCTTCTACATTTTTTAATTGGAATTCTCTAAGGAAGAGCTGTCCTTTCTCTCCTAATTATTTATTCATATCAATATTGACTCATGGATATTTTATTCTATGGGTTATAATTCATTACTATTACTTTTTAATTTTGGTACTAAAATTATCCAAGATTTAGCTGTTGGGAGCTCTTTCATGCTGGCTCCTGTGCCTTTTCACTGTCTCCCCATCATTTTTTTTTTAATACTTTTACATTCTGGCACTACAAAATGTTCCAAGCTTGTCTTGTACTTTCCCTGCCCTAGCCCTGGAATAAACCATTTCTCCAAGGAGCTCTGGTTCCTTTTTGTAGAGAAAGATTTTTAGAAACACAGATCTGGGTGCTGGGTATACTGATTGCTACTGCACTGTCATTGCTTCCAGGCCCTCTTGGTGAACTGAACTAGGAACGCCTATAATTCCAACCATTTCCTTAGCTATGACAGTTATCACTAGATACTTTGTGGGAGGAGAATCAGTGTCTGAAATTAGCACCTTGATATTTTGTGTATACAAAAAGTGTTTGAACTGTGCTTGACATAGTTCCTCTTACAACTGCCAGTCCAGTCATTCCTTTAGGGTAAACACTCACAAATATTCCCACTGTTCCTCCTGCTCATGTTCCTCCCTGGTGCCTTCCTCCCTGCCACCCCAGTGTGAGTTCCTCTTCAGTTCCCTGGTCTAGATCTGAGCTGAGGATCTCAGGGTGGTCTCCCTTCCACCCCCTGGTAAGACAGTCTCTCCTTGCTGTCTTTCCATTCTCTTTTTAAACCTTTTGTCCCTTTTCTTATTTTATCCTTTTTTTTTCCTTCTCCTAACCTCAAATGTCAATGAACTCTCCCTCTTTCTGGTTTCTTTCTAGCTCCTGGCTTCTCTTCTTTCCTCCTAGAGATCAGATGTCGGAACTCCAGCTGAGGGCATGTCTTACTGGGCACGCAGGTGTCCTCTCTTGAGAAGAACTGTCCATACCATGGTGGTGGTAAGGTTAGTTGGTTCTTATGGCAGGACCATGGGACACTGGTCAAAAATGGTCATATCAGCACTTTAATGTAGTTCAGCACAGTAGTTCTTAGTTGGTGGGGTTGTATGGAGAATGTCCAGTTGGGGGCATGCCTATTTGAAAGAGCATGGCAGTGATATAATTTTACATTGAAAAGTAAAATATATAGATAGATGTTGATATAAAATACCGATTTCAGAAAGTAAAGGTTGATAGAATCCACTGGTCTTGAGGAGCAGACTTTGCAGAAGAGAGTCTTATGAATGAGGGAGAAGGGGATACTGAACTTTACAGGTCAGTTTGGGGCATGAGAGAGTTTCTCTTTATTATCAATGGGTGTATGGGTTGGAAAAGACTGAGGAAACACTGAGTTTAATTAGATTTCTCAGCTGCAGGATTTCTAGGCTCACAGGGACACTCCCCTAGAGATGAACAAGGCTGACTGGAGGTGATGTTAAAACCCAGCTAAGAAGGCAGCCACAGACCTCTGGCCTCTCACCTGTGGCTGGCCCAGAAGTTCTCAGCCCGTGTTCCACAAGAGCCTTGAAGACCTGAATGAAGGACATGAAGTCAGGGCCCCACTATATTCTCCTTTCTGCAGGGCCCTCAACATAGCTGTGACTTTATCCTCTTCTCTCACCACCAAGAAGGCCCATTAAGATGTGAATGAGTGGAAGTTTTATTAAAGGATGAGCTTTGAGTTCATCAGAATTTATTTAAATTTAAATCATCTGCAGACTTTGGGACTCGAATTGCCATCAGGAACATGCTCCTGTGCCCACTTCATGCAGAGTGTGACCCACCAGCTTCCTCTGTGCGCTCCCTTCTAGGCCCCCCATTCTAACACTCAGGCTCTCCTCTCCTGTATTAAATGGGGAGACTCTGAGCTTGGGAGCTCCTAACTGGTTTTTCTACCTCTGTTCTCCCAGAGAACCTCCAGGCTGCTCTGCTCCAAGACCTATAATAGCTCCCTATTGCCTAGAAGATACAGTTCAAACTCCTTGATCTGGCATCACACCCTCAGCTGATTTTTCTAAGTTTCTCTCTACTTCTCCTTGTGAACCATCCATTCCAACCAGACTGGATTGTGTGGTGTCCTTGGGTCACATTCCCTGGACTGCCTCCTAGCCCCTGCCTTTGTACTGTTCAGATATCACATCTCTGTCCCTCTGAAAGCTCCAGGAAACAGCCACGCCAGAGGACTTGTTTGCTCCTCAGGAGGGGTCTGGTACTTCCTGCCTGCAGGGCTCACTGAAGCCCACCTTCTGCCCGTGCTGTGACACTTTGGTGGCCTTAGTTCTCGTTCCCTACTGGCAGGTGTCACCTGTATAGAAAATTGTCGCAGATCCTCTATTTGATTGTTTTCATGTCTCATGAAAAGGTTTCTTAGGGAGGGGGCTTCATTTACCCAAGTTATAGAAGAGTCCAGGGGAAACTGATGCCAAATAATCCCCCTAAGCTAGAGCACAGAGCTCAGAAACAGGAGATGCAGCCAGACCCTGCATGTTTGCCTCATGCATGACACTTTGCAAACAAGTTCTCCCTCCATACCAGTTGGAATGTTCTGGCTGTGGGAAGCCAAAATCCCAACCCAACCTGGCTTCAGCAATGAGGAGTTACCATTTCTCACAGCAGGATGTCCAGAGATGGGGCTTGGAGATGTCACCAGGGTCGTCTGTATCTCTTTGGCCATGCCGTCCTAGGCACTGTCTTTGCCTCAAGCTGGTTTCCGCATGGTCAGCAGATGGCAGCCAGCAGCCTTAGGACAACACCTTCTTTTTCTGTCCAGTGGGTAGGAACATGGCATGCGACACCTCATTCCTCAGCTGAATTGGTCCCACTCAGGTAACTTTGCCACGGCTGGGCCAGTAACTGGCCCAAGAAGTAGGCTCTGCTGACAGTCCACCTGAGGTGCAAGGTCTGAGCTTCTCTGAGCCTCGTGGGTGTCAGCAGGAGGGTGGCTTTCTGGGCACACTAGGGATGTTGTTAGGAAAAGGAAGAGGGCAGTGGCTGCTGGGGGAAGCAACAGTGTCCATTATGTCGTCTGTCAGTACACTCGACCTGGACGCCCAAGAAGCAGAGGGTTGGCGACTGACCAGGCCCAAGGTGCCACCAATGACATAGTGACAGCGTTCACTGTCTGGTCTGTCTCCATCTTCTTTGGAAGGAATCTTCTCCTGCTTAGCTATAAAATCCTTTGTTTCAAATGACTGTGATGAAAAGTGACAGTGCCTGCCTCACCACTGATCAGTTTTTGCTTTGAGTCAGATGAAGGCAGCCACGTATGTCCAAAATGTTTTAAAATGCCAATGTTTTGTCTATATCCCAGTGGCCCTTTATTAGCTATCTGGTGCCTTAAAACCTTTTTATTTTCAGCTCCACTATATACTGCACATGTTAGGTTGAACCTGATGGAATGAAATTGTGGTTCTTATAAGTCAAAAGTGGTTGAGTATCACCATTCACAAAATTCAACTATACATCATTTCTTACCTCCACATTCCTGTGAGGTGGGTACTGTACCCCCATTTTCATTGATGAGGAGCCTGAGTTTAGAAAGGACATGCAGTAGGTCGAGGAGCTGGGGTTTGAACCCAAGTCTTTCTGTCTTTTTATCCTCAAACTTATCCAGACAGTGCATATCCTCTTCTGGGAGCTACCTGCAACCAGTAATGCATTGGAAACTGAGAGCCAGGCTGGTTTGGGAGATGATGTGATAGCTACTGATTGATCAGTGATACCTTTAAAGGTGTCTCCAGAAGAGCCAATCCACAAGTCAAACTAATGTATGGAGTTGGCTTCCCGAGACTGAGGTGTTCTGACCGTCCTAGATAGAAGTTCCCCACCCCTCAGGAGGGTTCAAGCAGCTCATCCATATCAGACTGGTCTGGGCCGTGGAGCTAGGCAGGTGGATGGCGAAGTGGAGTCCTAACTTCATGAGAACCTGAACACAGAAGCTGCACAGCTGGGCCTGCTGGTGACCTGCTGGTCTCCCTAGTCATCCCCACTGGGAGGCAGTGCTGCAGCAGGTGTGTTCTAGAACACTTCCATTCTTTTTCCTGATTTGCTGTGTGACATTGGGCAAATTGCTTCTCTGCGTAAAATGAGGACTTGCTTAGTGGTTGTTAACCTTTGTAGCAGTGGAATTCCTTCTTAAGAGCACAGAACCCCTTTTTCAAATGAATTCTTATGGTCCCTATATTAGTTTTCTAGAGCTGCTGCAACAAATTAGCACACATTTAGTGGCTTAAAATGAAAGAAATTTATTCTCTCCCAGTTCTAGAAGCCAGAAGTCTAAGATTGAGGTGTCAGCAGGGCCATGCTCCCTCTGAAGGCTCTAGGGGAGAATCCTTCCTTTCTTCTATTTTGCTTCTAATGGTTTTGGTCATCCGGGCTGGCTCTTTGGCTTATAACTACATCACTCCAGTCTCGTCTTCATCTTCACATGGCCTTCTGTTTCTCCGTGTGTCCTTTTCTGTCTCTTTTAAGGGTAGTCACATTGGATTTATGACCCATCCTCATCCAGTATGATCTCATTTCAAGATTCTTATCTAATTGTCTGTGCAAAGAGCCTTTTTCCAAATAAGGTCATCTTCTAAGGTTCTGGGTAGACATGATTGCCTGAGTGGGAGTCACCTCTCCTTTCTCCCTTCTGAGAACAAAAAATGAAGCCACTCCTTTGTATCCTGGCTTAGCTGGGCTTATGTTTATTGCTGGCATCCTGCTTCATAGTTTATTGCTAAACAGGTGAGAAGCCCAGGTCAGCGTGATGCTTTATCTGATCATCCAGGCACCCAGGAGCCAGAGAGGCATAGCAGCATGTCCAGTGTCACAGAGCAAAGTGATAGACCTGATCTGAAGTTCTGCAGGGTTCCTGCTGCAACGTTTGGCCCTTTGTCTTTCCCCCATAGTACGTGATAGGGAAGAGTCACATGCATGGCATACTCCTATGGGCATACAGGTGTTGTTGAAACCCAAAAGATATTTTGCAGTGAAGTAAAGCAGAACAGTAACTCATACTAGCTGTTGCTATTAATAAGGCATAACTAACATGTAGGCTGCTCACTGCTGCCCACAGCTTAGGCAGTGGGGTTGTGGGTTCTTGTGCAAGCTAAATGGTGATCCTCATCTTCCTGACTCAAGATGTATCAGAAAGCAACTGAGTGATGGTGATGTGATTATAAGGATGACATTGAGCCTACTCTAATTTATATACAGAAGAAATAAGAAAACATTTCCAAGCTTTTAAACTGATAAGTGGTAATGTGATTCATGGCCTGCTTCTTTGGTTAAGAGCTACTTGGTTTTCCTCAAACCTGTTTGTACCCCAGAATCACCTGGGAGCTTGGTTAAAAAAAAGCAGGATGCCAAGGATACCTCAGGTTCTGGTCAAAATAGAGTAGACAAATTTATCCCTATCCCTTTTACTAATATAGCTAAAAATACTGGACATTATATATAAAACATTGGAAGACTGAAAGGTGGAGAAAAGAGTGAACCAGCTGGGGATCCTGGAACTCACAGAACAACATAATGGTGAGTTCTCTGGGTTTTCTTCTTGCCTCCTATATATTCTACCGTGGTGCTAGAGAAGCCCACAATCCAGGAATGCCAGTGAGCACAGAACAAAACAAAGCCCCAAGGAAGCTTGGTCTCTTTTGTCAAAGGACTGGAAGAAGGAACAGTTTAGCAAAACTTTTTTTTTTTTGCTGTAAATACCCCATTCCTGCAAAACACCAGGGAAAATTTCCTCCTCCTCCACCCCTCAGTTTTAGTAAAGGCCAGATGGATAGCGTATTAGTCCGTTTTCATGCCGATAAAGACATACCCAAGACTGGGCAATTCACAAAAGAAAGAGGTTTATTGGACTTACAGTTCCACATGGCTGGGGAGGCCTCACAATCATGGGAGAGGGCAAGAAGGAACAAGGCACATCTTACGTGAATGGCAGCAGGCAAAGAGAGAGCTTGTGCAAAGAAACTCCTGTTTTTAAAACTATCAGATCTAGTGAGACCCATTCACTATCACGAGAACAGCACAGGAAAGAACCCCCCCCAACCCAAGATGCAGTCATCTCACACCAGGTCCTTCCCACAACATGTGGGAATTATGGGAGCTACAAGATGAGATTTGGATGGGGACACAGAGCCAAACCATATCAGATAGCCTAGACTTCCACCTTTGCCTAGGGGTAACCAGCTGCCCCACACCCTCCCCACTTGATGGGAAGCCTAGACTTTCACGACCGCCTAGTAGTAACATACGTCCTTCACTACCATAGTCCTCTTGGGGCCTAGACTTCCATCCACACCCCAGGGTGTCATTGGAGGCCAACTGCAGAGCCTGGGTTTTGACACCCTGACACACACTCTGTGCTGAGTATCCCTCCCCCTCCCAGCCACGATGGTATTGGTGGAGGCTGAGTAGGGAGCCTGGATGCCCACCCCCGCCCAACAGTAAAGAGTCAATGCTCTCCTTTCCCCCACCAGTACAGTTTTAACAGAAGCTACTAAAATAGAAGATTTAAGTAAGATCCAGAGTATCATAACATTATGACCGAAATGTCCAGGATAAGTTTTAGCAAAAAAAAAGAAGTTATAAAAACTAAATGGAAATTTTAGATATGAAAAATAGAGTAAGCAGAATTTTAAAATTACTGAATGGGCTCAATCAGGAATAAAAAGGACACAGGAAAGAATCAGCGAACATGAAGCCAGAATGATAGAAATCATCCAGTCTGAACAACAGGGAGAAAAAATACCGGAAAAAAATTAACAGAGCTTCAGAGATCTGTGGGACAGTACAATTTTTTTTTTTTTTTTTGAGACGGAGTCTCGCTCTGTCTGTCACCCAGGCTGGAGTGCAGTGGTGCGATCTCGGCTCACTGCAAGCTCCACCTCCTGGGTTCATGCCATTCTCCTGCCTCAGTCTCCCGAGTAGCTGGGACTACAGGCGCCCGCCACCATGCCTGGCTAATTTTTTGTATTTTTAGTAGACATGGGGTTTCACCATGTTAGCCAGGGTGGTCTCGAACTCCTGACCTCGTGATCCACCCGCCTTGGCCTCCCAAAGTGCTGGGATTACAGGTGTGAACCACCGCCCCTGGCCAATACAATTTTTTTTTTTTAATCTAGCATTGGTGTAATTGGAGTCCTAGGAGAGCAGTGTGGGGCTGAAAAAGTTTTCAAGGAAATAATGGCTATTTCCCACATTTGGGGGAAGGCATGAGCCTACAGATTCAAGAATCTGAGCAAACCCCAAAGAGGATAAACCCAAAGAAACCCACACCAAGGCACCTCAGAGTCAAACTTTTGAAAACTCAACAAAATCTTAAGAGCAGCAGGAGACAATGCATTCCCTCCAGGGAAAAACAATTCGAAGGGTAGCAGTTCCTCATCAGCAGTCACAGAGGCCAGAGGAGGTGTCACAGCATCATTTTTCACATACTGAAAGAAGGAAAATCTGTACCCCAAATTCTATACGCAGTGAAAATATCCTTTAGGAATGAAGCTAAAATCAGACATTTCGACATGAAGGAAAACTAAGAGAATTTGTTGCCAGGAAGTTGACCTTAAAAGAATAGTGAACTAACAGAAGTTCTTCAAAGAAGGGATATAGGAATGGAAGGAAACCTGGAACATCAGGAATGAGGGACGAACATAAAGAGTAAAAATATGGGTGAATATAATAGATGATCCTTTCCCTCTTGAGGAAATCATACTTGACAGTTGAAGCCAAAATTACTGTCTGATGTGGGTCTCATTATATGTAGAGGAAACACATAAGACAATTATAAAGGAACCTAGGTGGAGGTAAAGTTTCTACACTTATTCGAAACGTAAAATGTCAATACCAGTAGACTGTGATAAGTTACAGATTATAGTATGATGCCTAGAGCAACCACTAGAAAATCTATATCAAGGGATATACTCAAAAACACTACTGATAAATCAAAGTGGAATTCAAGTAATTCACAAGAAGGCAGGAAATAAAAGAAACAAATAATGCAGATGCCTGAGCCATACTCCAGACCTACTGAATCAGAACCTCCAGGACTGGTGCCTGGGAATATGGATTTTTATTTAGCAACTACTCCTGAGGATTCCAGTAATCAGCCAGGCTTGAGAACATCTGGAGTAGACCAGTATTTTTTAAACAGTAAGTTGCCAACCTGGTGAGTAGGTCGGAAAGTTAATTAAGATGATTATGGGCAGGTTTTTTGTTTTGTTTTGTTTCTGTTGTTGTTAATGAACTTAGAATACAGTGTACTAGAAAAAAAAAGCTAGAATGTATGATACTTGGTCACGGTAATTTTCATTTCCTGAAGTTTGGAGGTGGGGAGTATATGATATATTCATATGTGTGGGCCCAACCTTTGGATAAGAGTAGGCCAGAAGAGATCTCATGCCTCCAGGAATGACCTTCAACTAAGTAATGCCCAACAGGAGTTGATAGACATGTATCCCAGCTTCCATACTATATCCAGCATATGATCATGGGAGGAAGGCTACACATGGCATTAACTGCTCATTAATGTACCCTGTATGTGTTGGCTTTGGTCCCTTCTCTGTTCTCACTTTCCCATTCCCCTACACGTGTTTCATGGGATAATTTCTCAAACTGTTTTGATTCAAATCCTTGCCCCTGACTCTACTTCTTAGGGAACCTAGCTAAAGACACCTTCTCTTTCTAGGCAAGATGCACTTGGATTCTTTTCATTGCAGGGAGGCAGGAATTGCATCAGGACCTAGCCACAAGGGAATAAAGGAGCAGCTACTCCCTCCCGGTGCAGTGCCCTGCAGGTGTCAGCTGTTACCTGTGCTGCTCCTGTGTCACAAAGGATGAGCTTCTTCAACTGTCTGAATAATCCTGGGTCCCAGAGCAGGCATGATACCCTTCACAATATCGCAAGAAGAGGGAGTAAATGCTTACCCCTAGCCAGGCCTCTCTGTCAGTGTGTGTATATGGGAGAGGGCATTTAAAACCCTATTGGTTTTTTTTGCCTCAGTACACAAAACATTTTTCAATGATGATACCCAGATACAATTATCTTACCACTGAGGGGACAAGTTTCTACCCTCCTCCTAAGGGATTCTGAAAGCCAGCAGGCATGATTTCTAAAGGAGCTTTAAGCAGGAGCAAAGCTTAGCTGACCATACGTGTGTGTGTCTCTCAAAGGCGGCATACTGGGGTCTTGGTGTGCAACCTGGGAACAGTGTTCACAGATCTCCAATGCCAGTTGTTCTCATTTAAGGAAAAGTCATTACCCAGAGTCCAGGAATGTCAGGCCCCTGCAAGGGATTTTCCTATGGCCTGTCTTTCCTATGGCCTCTCTTTGTTAGCTTTTGCTGCAGCAGTGCTTCATCACAAACAGCCCCAGAATTTCAGGGATGTTTAATCAGCTGTTGCTCAGCCCTGATGTCTATGTGTTGGCTGATCTTGGCTGCGTTTGGCTGATCGCACTGCTGCTCTTGGCTGGGCCCACTCAGTCATGAGGGATCAGCTGAACTAGAACAGGGCATGGCCGGAGCAGTTCTGCTTCATGCGTATCTCGCTCCTCTTGGGGCCAGCAAGTTAGCCTGAATACATTCTTCTTATGGCAGTGTCATAAAGAGGGCAAGGCCAGCCCAAACACTTTCCAAACCTTTGATTATGTTCTGTCTGCTGACATCTCACTGGCCAAAGCAAGTTAAATGGCTAAGCCCAAAGTCGGGTGTGGGGATGCACTTTCCAACATGGAGGCGATGGGGAGGGAGAGAATATTTTAAACAATGGTCTAATCTACCACGCCTACCAATGTGCACAATGGCTGCAAGGATCCAGTGCTGTAGCGGGCACACAGAGCCTAGCTACCGTGCCTGGCACATAGCAGGAGCTTGTAATGATGCCAGGAAGACTGCCAATTCCTTTTTCTTTTCCTTCTCTCCTCCTGCAGGCTTTCACCAGTTCTCAGGATGCCCATAGGGATGGGTGAAGCCTGCCTGGCCTGTGGTGCTTCCCAGTGGCCGTCATCTCATTAGGGCCCCACAGTGGCATTAGGATGCACCTCTCGGCGGTGTTCAACGCCCTCCTGGTGTCGGTGCTGGCAGCGGTCCTGTGGAAGCATGTGCGGCTGCGTGAGCATGCAGCCACACTGGAGGAGGAGCTGGCCCTCAGCCGACAGGCCACAGAGCCAGCCCCAGCACTGAGGATCGACTACCCGAAGGCACTGCAGATCCTGATGGAGGGCGGCACACACATGGTGTGCACGGGCCGCACGCACACAGACCGCATCTGCCGCTTCAAGTGGCTCTGCTACTCCAACGAGGCTGAGGAGTTCATCTTCTTCCATGGCAACACCTCTGTCATGCTGCCCAACCTGGGCTCCCGGCGCTTCCAGCCAGCCCTGCTCGACCTATCCACCGTGGAGGACCACAACACTCAGTACTTCAACTTCGTGGAGCTGCCTGCTGCTGCCCTGCGCTTCATGCCCAAGCCGGTGTTCGTGCCAGACGTGGCCCTCATCGCCAACCGCTTCAACCCCGACAACCTCATGCACGTCTTTCATGACGACCTGCTGCCACTCTTCTACACCCTGCGGCAGTTTCCCGGCCTGGCCCACGAGGCACGGCTCTTCTTCATGGAGGGCTGGGGCGAGGGTGCACACTTCGACCTCTACAAGCTGCTCAGCCCCAAGCAGCCTCTCCTGCGGGCACAGCTGAAGACCCTGGGCCGGCTGCTGTGCTTCTCCCATGCTTTTGTGGGCCTCTCCAAGATCACTACCTGGTACCAGTATGGCTTTGTGCAGCCCCAGGGCCCGAAGGCCAACATCCTCGTCTCAGGCAATGAGATCCGGCAGTTTGCACGGTTCATGACAGAAAAGCTGAACGTGAGCCACACAGGAGTCCCCCTAGGCGAGGAGTACATTCTGGTCTTTAGCCGAACCCAGAACAGACTCATTCTGAATGAGGCAGAGCTGCTGCTGGCACTGGCCCAGGAGTTCCAGATGAAGACAGTGACAGTGTCCCTGGAGGACCACACCTTTGCTGATGTCGTGCGGCTGGTCAGCAATGCCTCCATGCTGGTCAGCATGCATGGGGCCCAGCTGGTCACCACCCTCTTCCTGCCCCGTGGGGCAACTGTGGTAGAGCTCTTCCCATATGCTGTCAATCCCGACCACTACACTCCCTATAAGACGCTGGCCATGCTGCCTGGCATGGACCTCCAGTATGTAGCCTGGCGGAACATGATGCCAGAGAACACAGTCACACACCCTGAGCGGCCCTGGGATCAGGGGGGCATCACCCATCTGGACCGGGCTGAGCAAGCCCGTATCCTGCAAAGCCGTGAGGTCCCACGGCATCTCTGTTGCCGGAACCCCGAGTGGCTCTTCCGAATCTACCAGGACACCAAGGTGGACATCCCGTCCCTCATTCAAACCATACGGCGCGTGGTGAAGGGCCGGCCAGGACCACGGAAGCAGAAGTGGACAGTCGGCCTATATCCAGGCAAGGTGCGGGAGGCACGGTGCCAGGCGTCAGTGCATGGCGCCTCCGAGGCCCGCCTCACTGTCTCCTGGCAGATCCCATGGAACCTTAAATACCTGAAGGTGAGGGAGGTGAAGTACGAGGTGTGGCTGCAGGAGCAGGGGGAGAACACCTACGTGCCTTACATCCTGGCTCTGCAGAACCACACCTTCACTGAGAACATCAAGCCCTTCACCACCTACCTGGTGTGGGTCCGCTGCATCTTCAACAAGATCCTCCTGGGACCCTTTGCAGATGTGCTGGTGTGCAACACGTAGCGAGCAGGCCACAGCCTGGCCTCGGGAAGGTGGCTCCTGCAGTTCAGCGTCCCTGGGCCCATTAATCCCACTGTGGAGACTTCTGGGAACTATTTATTGAGCAGGCCTGTGCCTCCACATCATCTTGTTGTCTCTGGGGTGTGGTGTCACAGCACTCCTCTTTGCCCTAGAGATAAGGGACCTGACTTCCCCTTCTCCCATCCTGAACATTTGTACCCCTGGAGAAGTTCCTTAGCAGGGAGGAGGAAGAGGAGAGGAGGAAGCAAAGAATCACAAGGAACCTCTGGCTAGGTGATCCTGATGTTTCCTACTGAGTTTTTCTGGTATCCAGATTTCTGGAAACCGAGTAATCATGTACTGTTTGATTGGGTGGTTCATCTGCTTCCATCCCAGTGAAATTTACCTGTAGCCCAGTGAAGGGTGTGTTTGGAACATTCATTAAATGATTCTAAGCATCTTGGTCAAGTCTTCTTATTGGATGGGAGGAAGGGGAGCTGGTCGTCAAAACCCAGGTGCCCTTTAATCTTGATTGTTAGCTAGGGAGACGTGGCAATGGGAAAGCGCCCAGGATGGCAAAGTGAGCAAGCTGGTTGGATTTCATCTTGACTAGCTGGACTAATATCACAGTTCCACCTACATGGGATAAAAGCCTAGAAGTAGGTAGGAGAGGGCTGAGGGGAGGAAGAGCTGTATCCACCATGGGTTTTTTTTTGGGCTCAACTAGACATTAAGACTCGCAAGACCTGGACAGATCATACCTGGCATCAGAGTTTCTTAGAAGGATGGAGAGAGATGCTCAGCATGCCAGCAGGGCCATGTCAGCAGTTCCCTTCCACAGGAGCAGTCCTTACATCAGTACTCCTGAGGGCCACCTTGATTCAGAAGCCCATGCCCCATAGGAGTCAATGTGTTTTCAACAACCCACAATCAGAGTTCCCAGGGTCCCTCAAGGGACATGCCCAGTTATGAGTTTCTGCACTTAGGGAAGCCTAAGGCCATGGTTTCTTACCAGATGGTATAGCTTATTCTTTGTCCTTCCAGCCCAGGTGTAGCTTATCAATCAGAGGTCAAAAACTCCCATGGGCAGTTTGGCCTAATACTGTACCTGACATTCAGCTAACTGGCTTGTCTGGCTTCCATGGGAGCAGAGCTAGAAAGTTAGCCCAAGATAAAATCTGTCCTGAAGAAAGAGGAGTTTTGGCCTTTTATTGTTGGGGAGACCTGCTGCAGGTCTGACTCCTGTAAGGGGGAGAGGGAGAGAAGCTGGGGAGAGGAGGTAGAGCCTCAGGCTGTAGCTCAGTGCTGAGAACCTCTCAGCAGGCTGATCGGGGAGTTTTGAGCCAAAGGTGTCCATTAGATAAGTATTCCCTCCCACCCGCCGATGCTAGTCGTCACCTGGGAGCCGCAGTGGGAAGTGTGGCCTCAGCATCAGTACCTTGGTGGATTCAGCATGGCAGCTGAGCCATCCCTTGTTCTCTGCTGCAGGAGATCTGAATGGTGCATTTTCATGGTCGCCATGGATCTTTATGACATTCCTTTCATCCAGAATATCTTTCTCCCTAACTGTAGCTTCCATCTGCTGCCACCATAAACTGCCATGAGAATCCACACATCAAGACTCAGCTCAAAGCCAGAGATCTCATACACTGCTGGGGCTGGGGGAGTGAAATGGTACAACCACTTGGAAAACCATTTGGCAGTTTTTACTAAAGCTGAGCACTTAGTTGTCCTATCTCTCAGCAATTCCACTTCTTGAGATATATACCCAAGAGAAATGAGTGCTTATGTCAGCAAAAAGACATGTCTTAAAATGTCCATGGTTCTACTCTTAATGGCCAAACACCATAAACAATTCAAGTGTCCATCAACAGGTATATTCATACAATGGACACAACAATTTTAAAAAGAATGAAGTGAATCTCAGACAACATTGAGTAAAAGAAGGCAGACCCAAAATACTTACTGTATGGTTCCATTTGTATGAAGTCCTAGAACAGGAATACAAACTTATGGCGATGGAAGTCAGAATGGTGGTTACCGGGAAAGGAGGTAAAGACTGGGATGGACACAAGGGGGTTGTGGGTTGGCAACATTGTGGTCTTGGATGGTGGTTGCACCGTGGACATTGAGGAAAGCCATCATCCTGCTTACACGGTACATTAGTGCACTCACTCACCTCTGTGCTTTCTGTATGGCACACCTTGATTTAAAAGGAAGACCACTTAGCCCAAGGGCCAGCTCTCCTGAAAACCCAGTTTGTCACACCCAAAAAGCCTTAACTCTGCTGGCCCCGCCACTGTCTCCCAGGAAGCACTTACCTCTCCGCAAGACCTTGCTCACAGGCTGGGAGCTCAGTGAGGGTTTGTGTCATGTGGGTCACAGCCAAGCGAAAGCTCAATGAATGGTTCCTTGCCTCAATGAATATGTGTATCTCTGCCTTTGTCCAAACTTTTTTACAAATTGGGAATCCGCTTTATGTGAAATTTTGCCCCCCTCTTTTTTTTCCTCTTTAACATTAAGACATGAACACTCTGCCATGTCACTGATGACTATTCTTTGGAAACAAGACTTTGGTTAGCTAGAGAACGTTGTGTACAATCACTAGGAAATTAGCCTCCTTCCCCCAGGCTCCATGGAGGAGCTGGATCCATGCCCAGCAGCCCAGGCCACCCCTTGATAGCACTGAATAGTAGCAGCATTTTTTCTTTTGCTGCTGCTGCTTTTTTTAAAAAAAACCATTTATTGGTGTTTATGGTGAAATACTCAGATCGTCAGTGTAGAGTTACGTGAGTTTTGACAAATACATACATCCATGTAACACACACATCCCTACACGATAGAGACCATCTCCATCATCCTCATATTCATAGGGGGATGAATGTATAAATAATCTCTTATGACTCCTATATATACATACATACACAAACACACACAGGAGTGATAAGAACTTACGTAACATTAGGGGCATTTACATTTCTCTATCCTGTTTATTATAAATCTGCATCTTAACCATCAAAGAGTCAGGTGAAGGTAAGAGCACAAGAGAGAGCTGAGGTCTGGGATATGTAGGCAGCTACTAGGCCAAAGCCTGTCACAAGTAACCCAGCAGCTCCCTGGGCCAGAGCTCCTCAGCCCTTGGCCTCTGCTCCTCTTCCCCCTGACCTCCACCATGAGTCAGCTCTGAAAGCATCCTTCTGGCTGTAGGTGGGGTGGCAGCAGGGGTGTGCCACGTCTGGGCAGGGGGCCCATGTGGGAACTTGAACACATAAGGAATGCCTCAGGTAGGTGTTCCTCAGCCCCTGACCAGCTTCCAGCTGTTCCCAATCAGCCACAGCCCGATATAATCAGGCTGTCCAGGTGCACCAACCTCTGCACCAGGCCCTGCCTCACAGTCCATGTGGCCCACAACTGATGGAAGACCTAGTTAAGCCAGGGTTTCCACCCTTCAGGATAGGAGGGCAGTTTCAGGCCTCCAAGTAGTCCTCTTCCAGATGCAGGGAAGGAAAGAAGGGAGGCAGCCTCCTGCTGCCACCATTGGTCTCTGCAGAAGTGCAGCCCTGCACCCTCCCAGTCCCCACCACTGGTGATCATGATGGCCTGGCCAGGCCCCTGCAGTCAGCACCAGAGGCAGCGAACCAAGGCTGCATCGACCTGTGGACTGGCACTGTGGGCCTCCCTTCAGGAGGGTACAGGTTATGGGGCCCAGGTCCCACCACAGCAGCAGCATAAAGCCAGCCTCGCAGTCAGCTCTGGCCACACTGAGCCTGTGGGAAAGCAGGTGGGCAGAGTAGTTACCTTAAAGGGATGTGGTCTGAAGCCTCCTGTGTCATTTCTGTTTCCATTATGTTTATGAATTTTCGAAAGCCAAATAAATTCTAATTAACATTTTAAAAAACACACCCCTTCCAAACAGCAGTATAGTCAGAAAGCTGTGTGTCCTTTAACCAAAGGAGTTTCTCTTCTCAAAGAAAAAAATTTCATGAAGTCACACACAACTAATTTAGAATTTGAGATAATTCTATCCTGGATCCTGGGAATAAGAAGTACAAGAAGATGTAATCTTTGCCTTCTGGGAGCTTATATCTAGTGGAAATAATCAAATGATGTGTTTTTGAGTCTTGTACTTTCAGACTTTTGACTGGTTTGGGTAGGTCAGCCTTTTCCTAGGGTTGCTAAATTTAGCAAACAAAAGTAGGGGACACCCAGTTCAATTTGAATTTCTGATAAACAATATTTCACAATGCTACCTTTTCCAACTAATGGAAAATGAGGGTGGGGGTGGATTACTGTATAACCGTGAGGTTAATATCCCCAAATCATTCCCATTTTCCAAGTTCAAATATAGAGACACTGGTGGAGAAGGAAGACTCAACCATGCCTCCACTAAAATAAGAAACAGCGACAATACCAAATGCCAGCAAACATGCAGAACAACTGGGTTTACATTCATTGCTGGTAAGAATGTAAAATGTACTCTGTGAAATACATGAGCAGTTTCTTGAGAAATTAAACATATACTTACCCTGTGACTCAGAAATTGGACTCCTGGGCATTTACCCCAGAAAAATGAAAATGATGTTCACACAAAAGCCTGTACACAAATGTTCCAAATGTTCCAAGCAGATTTATTTGCAATAGCCAAGAACTGAAAATGACCCAGATGTCCTTCAATGGGCAAATCGTTAAACAAAACGTGGTACATCCATACCACGGAATACTACTCAGCAACAAAAGGGAGTGGGTTACTGATACATCAACAACTTGGATGGGTCTCAAGGACATTGTGCTGAGTGGAAGAAAAGCCAACCTCAAAAGTTTACATCCTGGGTGGTTCCATTTATGTAACATTTCTCTTGAAATGACAAAATTATAGAAATGGAGAACAGATTTGTGGTTGTCAGGGTTTAGGAATGGCAGAGAGCGAAAGGGGTAGGTTGATTATATAGGAGTGCAGGAGATCTTTGTGGTGATGAAACAGTTCTTTATCTTGATTGCCGTGGTGTTTGATGAGTGTACACGTGATAAGAGGACTGTGGAATCACACATATTGTACCAATGTCAAGTTCTTAGTTTTGATATCACACTACAATTAAGGAAGATGTAACTACGGGAGAAACTGGGTGAAGGGTACACAGGACCTCCCTGTACTATTTTTGCAACTTCTGTGAATTTGTAATTTTTTCCAAAACAGAAAGTGTTTAAGAAATCCTTGGAAGGGCTGGGGGAGAGTGTTCCAGGGTGGGCCTCAAGGAACAATTCTGCAAACACAACCCCAGAGGCTGCTGCTGGGGCTGTGAGTTCAAGAACCACAAATGGAGCTGGGATTTAGGGATCAGGATGCTGTCACCAGTGCCACAACCACCTCTCAACCATCACAAAGGTGGTGACTGGGCACTGGAATCACAGTCCAGCCCCACTCTGCCAACCTCCCACCCTTGGGACCCAGAAAGCTGTCAAGTGGATACTGAAGCCTGCTCTAGAACACCTCTCATCTCCACCACTTTGCCTGTGAACTGAAAATAGCTAAAAGGTACAGGAGGACGTCTACACAGGAGGACGGCCCTCCCAGGAGAGCATCTGAATGGTAGAATCTAATTTGCATCCAGAGCCCAGCTGCAAGGGAGCCTGGGTAATGGAGTGTGCAGCTTTTCAGTCTCAGCAGCGCAGGAGGCTGCAAGGGAGCCTGGGTAATGGAGTGTGCAGCTTTTCAGTCTCAGCAGCGCAGGAGGCTCCGTAGAAGGAGGGTGGGTGGAGGAGGTTAGGCAGCCCAATCCCTGACATTCACCATGGTCACCCACCAGAACTAGATGTGCCTTCATGTGGGCTGCAGAACTTCCATGTGGGCAGGGCAGAGAAAGGATGCATCCATTCATTCCTGATGTGAAAATCATCCAAGATGCCTGGGATCCTACCCCACTGTTGTGTGTGGGTGCATGTTTTAAATGAAGCAGCAGTCATGAGAACCAGACAATCAGATATCCAAGAAGCAGGGCACCCTTACCATTCCCTTTAGGCATGGCTTCCCGGGTCATGCTCCTCGTACCCAAGGTGATGCCCAGTGCACCACTCGCCTGACACATGGACACATGGAGGGCAAAGCCCTGTTTCCTGTTGTTATGCAGAGTCTGTGGTATACAATGATCCCATAGCAAATGTTGCTGGGAAGACACGCACAGGAGACTGTAAAAATCCATATCCTCATATCCATCAGCTAAGTGACTTTACCTATACCTACACCTTGAGGGGCCCTGGACCTCCATTCCCTGGTGCACTAGGGACCTTCTAGAGCTCACCCACCTTAGCCTGCTCTGGGTCAGGGGACATGCCTGTGGTGGACCTATCACTCCACCTTCTACTCTCTCCCTGCACCTGCCTCAAAAGGCCAGATGTTCCCTAGGAATCCTTACGAGGAGCTAGGTCCTACAGTGGAATTTCGGACACTAGCAGCAGGTCAGTGGGGCCAAGTTAGACTTTCCTAGCATTTCTCAGATCACACCTCACATATGTAAGTAAGCCTGCTTCTTTCTTGAAGGCCAAGCCCCTCCCATCGCCAGCACCCCTCTAACCAACACCACCTCTGGGATTCCCTGGGACTCACTCCACCATCTCCCCAAGAGGTGCTTCCTCCTCTGCCCCACAGCTTCCCAGGGTGGGCAGTCCTGCAGTCCAGCACTCTCCCCTACCCAGCCTCTTCCAAGTCCACTGGACCCATGACCCCTACTGATATTTTCCTGCACAAACTGAGTGCTACCTCTGCTGCTGTGTGAGATGTCTCAAACCCCGAGTTTCCACCTAGAGACACTTTCCTCTCTGGTTACATTGCTTTGGAGACTCAGTGATTCTTCCCTGGTTGCTTGGACAAAACCACCCAATGTGCCCTGCCCAGAGGTCCCAAAGGCTGAGCTCCCAGCCACCCCAAAAGTCTTCAGCCCCTATACCCAAATGCCATATCTCCAGACCCCTGAAATGAGCACCCCTGAGCAATGCTAACCAGAACCCAAGATAGGTCAGGAGAGGCCTCAGGCAGCACCTTTGCTGGTCCAGCGTTGGGAGGAAGAGGCAACGGAGGAGGAAGAACTCCACAGTTCCTTGGAGAGATCATAAGAAATTTCCTTGGGCCTCCTCCCCTTTGAAGAGGCATTGGGGCAGGGTAGATGCATGTGTGAGGAGAGGAAAGACCAATGTCCATAGCAAGGCATCCTTCAGAGCCAAAACCTCCTGCCTGGGCAAAAGGAAAATGGGTAGTCCAGGAGAGAGATGGAGGAAGTCTACCTGAACTGGCCAGCGTGCCCCAGAGGGCCAGGCGGTGGCTGTTTACTCACCCACAAGCCCAGGCCAAGGGGAAATATCTCCAGATATTCACAGAGGTCTCTCCTGTATTTCTGTGTAGGCAGAGATCTTCCTTTGACCCCCTTTTGCCAACAGTGCTTTGTCTACTCTCCCAGGCTTTCTGGATCCTCAGTTACAGGAGATGTGCTTACCAAACACAACACCAAGACACACGCTCTGACAGCCAGAGAGAATATGGAAGACTGGTCCTGTCTCCAAACATCTGGAATGTGGGGCCACCATAGCATGGCCTCTTACTCCTTCCAAATTCTACATTCTCTGTGGGAAATTTGCTTGATAATAATTGTTGAACAAGTGAATGAGTGAATGAATATAAGAAGGAAGGAAGGATGCTATAGTGGTTGGGACCAAGGGCTCTGGAGTCAAACAGACCTGGGTTCAAATCCCAGCTCCACTAGTTACCTGCTCTGTGACCTTGGGCAAGAGACCCAACCTCTCTGAACATTGGTTTCCTTATCTGTCAAATGGGATCAATAATGCCTACCTTGTGGAGTTGTGAGAGTTTGAGATGAGGAAGTATCTAAAGCTCTTGGCATAGCGTGAGACCACTGTAAATGTTTAGAACATGCCAGGTGGTGCTTATGGCTGTCTTAGAGTGAGCCTCCTCCCTCAGACAAGCTCAATGCTGCCCATTCACAAGGCAATGCAAGGGTGACATGTTCCAGTCAGGGACGGAGGGACAGGCTTCTCACAAGCAGAGTGGTTTATCATTCCTGTCACACCCTTTGAAACATGATGTGGCCTGGGCATCCCTTCATCCCACACCAACTGCTTCCGCCGCCAGCCCCTTTGGGATAAGCTACAGCTCCTGGTAGCTGCCTCCCTGGAGTCACCCAGGCTCTCCGGTTGTGAAACAATGACCATATTTCTCTCCACCAATAGGGGGCAGCATTTTCTGCCTGGGATTCCTGCGAGGAACAGGTGTGGCTTCCCCACCCAGCTCTCTTCCCTAAGTGGACCTGAAATCTGGAGACCCCCTCTGGCATTCCTCAGGGGGACCATCCTTTCCAGCGGCTCTCCAAAGCAAAGAGTCCCGAATTGTGGCATTTACCGATTTCCATGGTATAAATACTTTTACCGTGGCAGATTCCAGGCCACCAGTGTGACATCACTGAATGCAGAGTTGGAAAGAAATGCATAGTAGTGCACAATTACATGGTGTTTCCACCATACAGATATACAATAGATGTAAATAACCTCAAGACCACAGATGATAGCAAAATGTAGTAAAATAATTGTAAGTGATATATTTTGAATACTTATTACTTTTGTTTCAATGTAATTTATTTAATGGTAATGATATATAGGTTTTTTTCCTCTTTTTTAATACCCTTCAATTGGGATATGCTTTTTAAAAAAAATAATGAGGTGGGGTCTCGCTATATTGCCCAGTCTTGAACTACTGAGCTCAAGTGATCCTCCTACCTCAGCCTCCCGAGTAGCTGAGATTACAGGCTTGCGCTACGACACCCAGCATATAGGTTTATTTATTTTTATTTTTTTATTTATTTTTTTATTATTATTATTACTATTATTATTATTATTATTTTTTAATTATACTTTAAGTTTTAGGGTACATGTGCACATTGTGCAGGTTAGTTACATATGTATACATGTGTCATGCTGGTGTGCTGCACCCACTAACTCGTCATCTAGCATTAGGTATATCTCCCAATGCTATCCCTCCCCCCTCCCCCCTCCCCACCACAGTCCCCAGAGTGTGATATTCCCCTTCCTGTGTCCATGTGATCACATTGTTCAATTCCCACCTATGAGTGAGAATATGCGGTGTTTGGTTTTTTGTTCTTGCGATAGTTTACTGAGAATGATGGTTTCCAATTTCATCCATGTCCCTACAAAGGACATGAACTCATCATTTTTTATGGCTGCATAGTATTCCATGGTGTATATGTGCCACATTTTCTTAATCCAGTCTATCATTGTTGGACATTTGGGTTGGTTCCAAGTCTTTGCTATTGTGAATACTGCCGCAATAAACGTACATGTGCATGTGTCTTTATAGCAGCATGATTTATAGTCATTTGGGTATATACCCAGTAATGGGATGGCTGGGTCAAATGGTATTTCTAGTTCTAGATCCCTGAGGAATCGTCACACTGACTTCCACAATGGTTGAACTAGTTTACAGTCCCACCAACAGTGTAAAAGTGTTCCTATTTCTCCACATCCTCTCCAGCACCCGTTGTTTCCTGACTTTTTAATGATTGCCATTCTAACTGGTGTGAGATGATATCTCATAGTGGTTTTGATTTGCAGTTCTCTGATGGCCAGTGATGATGAGCATTTTTTCATGTGTTTTTTGGCTGCATAAATGTCTTCTTTTGAGAAGTGTCTGTTCATGTCCCTCACCCACTTTTTGATGGGGTTGTTTGTTTTTTTCTTGTAAATTTGTTTGAGTTCATTGTAGATTCTGGATATTAGCCCTTTGTCAGATGAGTAGGTTGCAAAAATTTTCTCCCATGTTGTAGGTTGCCTGTTCACTCTGATGGTAGTTTCTTTTGCTGTGCAGAAGCTCTTTAGTTTAATTAGATCCCATTTGTCAATTTTGGCTTTGGTTGCCATTGCTTTTGGTGTTTTGGACATGAAGTCCTTGCCCACGCCTATGTCCTGAATGGTAATGCCTAGGTTTTCTTCTAGGGTTGTTATGGTTTTAGGTCTAACGTTTAAATCTTTAATCCATCTTGAATTGATTTTCGTATAAGGTGTAAGGAAGGGATCCAGTTTCAGCTTTCTACATATGGCTAGCCAGTTTTCCCAGCACCATTTATTAAATAGGGAATCCTTTCCCCATTGCTTATTTTTCTCAGGTTTGTCAAAGATCAGATAGTTGTAGGTATGCGGCATTATTTCTGAGGGCTCTGTTCTGTTCCATTGATCTACATCTCTGTTTTGGTACCAGTACTATGCTGTTTTGGTTACTGTAGCCTTGTAGTATAGTTTGAAGTCAGGTAGTGTGATGCCTCCAGCTTTGTTCTTTTG
Organism: Homo sapiens; assembly: GCF_000001405.40. Lineage (NCBI taxonomy): Eukaryota > Metazoa > Chordata > Mammalia > Primates > Hominidae > Homo > Homo sapiens. The sequence continues at coordinate 43,069,338 of NC_000003.12, read as the reverse complement.
GCTTAGGATTGACTTGGCAATGCGGGCTCTTTTTTGGTTCCATATGAACTTTAAAGTAGTTTTTTCCAATTCTGTGAAGAAAGTCATTGGTAGCTTGATGGGGATGGCATTGAATCTGTAAATTACCTTGGGCAGTATGGCCATTTTCACAATATTGATTCTTCCTACCCATGAGCATGGAATGTTCTTCCATTTGTTTGTATCCTCTTTTATTTCCTTGAGCAGTGGTTTGTAGTTCTCCTTGAAGAGGTCCTTCACATCCCTTGTAAGTTGGATTCCTAGGTATTTTATTCTCTTTGAAGCAATTGTGAATGGGAGTTCACTCATGATTTGGCTCTCTGTTTGTCTGTTGTTGGTGTATAGGAATGCTTGTGATTTTTGTACATTGATTTTGTATCCTGAGACTTTGCTGAAGTTGCTTATCAGCTTAAGGAGATTTGGGGCTGAGACAATGGGGTTTTCTAGATAAACAATCATGTCGTCTGCAAACAGGGACAATTTGACTTCCTCTTTTCCTAATTGAATACCCTTTATTTCCTTCTCCTGCCTGATTGCCCTGGCCAGAACTTCCAACACTATGTTGAATAGGAGCGGTGAGAGAGGGCATCCCTGTCTTGTGCCAGTTTTCAAAGGGAATGCTTCCAGTTTTTGCCCATTCAGTATGATATTGGCTGTGGGTTTGTCATAGATAGCTCTTATTATTTTGAGATATGTCCCATCAATACCTAATTTATTGAGAGTTTTTAGCATGAAGGGTTGTTGAATTTTGTCAAAGGCTTTTTCTGCATCTATTGAGATAATCATGTGGTTTTTGTCTTTGGCTCTGTTTATATGCTGGATTACATTTATTGATTTGCGTATATTGAACCAGCCTTGCATCCCAGGGATGAAGCCCACTTGATCATGGTGGATAAGCCTTTTGATGTGCTGCTGGATTCGGTTTGCCAGTGTTTTATTGAGCATTTTTGCATCAATGTTCATCAAGGATATTGGTCTAAAATTCTCTTTTTTGGTTGTGTCTCTGCCCGGCTTTGGTATCAGAATGATGCTGGCCTCATAAAATGAGTTAGGGAGGATTCCCTCTTTTTCTATTGATTGGAATAGTTTCAGAAGGAATGGTACCAGTTCCTCCTTGTACCTCTGGTAGAATTCGGCTGTGAATCCATCTGGTCCTGGACTCTTTTTGGTTGGTAAACTATTGATTATTGCCACAATTTCAGCTCCTGTTATTGGTCTATTCAGAGATTCAACTCCTTCCTGGTTTAGTCTTGGGAGAGTGTATGTGTCAAGGAATTTATCCATTTCTTCTAGATTTTCTAGTTTATTTTCGTAGAGGTGTTTGTAGTATTCTCTGATGGTAGTTTGTATTTCTGTGGGATCGGTGGTGATATCCCCTTTATCATTTTTTATTGTGTCTATTTGATTCTTCTCTCTTTTTTTCTTTATTAGTCTTGCTAGCGGTCTATCAATTTTGTTGATCCTTTCAAAAAACCAGCTCCTGGATTCATTGGTTTTTTGAAGGGTTTTTTGTGTCTCTATTTCCTTCAGTTCTGCTCTGATTTTAGTTATTTCTTGCCTTCTGCTAGCTTTTGAATGTGTTTGCTCTTGCTTTTCTAGTTCTTTTAATTGTGATGTTAGGGTGTCAATTTTGGATCTTTCCTGCTTTCTCTTGTAGGCATTTAGTGCTATAAATTTCCCTCTACACACTGCTTTGAATGCGTCCCAGAGATTCTGGTATGTTGTGTCTTTGTTCTCGTTGGTTTCAAAGAACATCTTTATTTCTGCCTTCATTTCGTTATGTACCCAGTAGTCATTCAGGAGCAGGTTGTTCAGTTTCCATGTAGTTGAGTGGCTTTGAGTGAGATTCTTAATCCTGAGTTCTAGTTTGATTGCACTGTGGTCTGAGAGACAGTTTGTTATAATTTCTGTTCTTTTACATTTGCTGAGGAGAGCTTTACTTCCAACTATGTGGTCAATTTTGGAATAGGTGTGGTGTGGTGCTGAAAAAAATGTATATTCTGTTGATTTGGGGTGGAGAGTTCTGTAGATGTCTATTAGGTCTGCTTGGTGCAGAGCTGAGTTCAATTCCTGGGTATCCTTATTGACTTTCTGTCTCGTTGATCTGTCTAATATTGACAGTGGGGTGTTAAATTCTCCCATTATTAATGTGTGGGAGTCTAAATCTCTTTGTAGGTCACTCAGGACTTGCTTTATGAATCTGGGTGCTCCTGTATTGGGTGCATATATATTTAGGATAGTTAGCTCCTCTTGTTGAATTGATCCCTTTACCATTATGTAATGGCCTTCTTTGTCTCTTTTGATCTTTGTTGGTTTAAAGTCTGTTTTATCAGAGACTAGGATTGCAACCCCTGCCTTTTTTTGTTTTCCATTTGCTTGGTAGATCTTCCTCCATCCTTTTATTTTGAGCCTATGTGTGTCTCTGCACGTGAGATGGGTTTCCTGAATACAGCACACTGATGGGTCTTGACTCTTTATCCAACTTGCCAGTCTGTGTCTTTTAATTGGAGAATTTAGTCCATTTACATTTAAAGTTAATATTGTTATGTGTGAATTTGATCCTGTCATTATGATGTTAGCTGGTGATTTTGCTCGTTAGTTGATGCAGTTTCTTCCTAGTCTCGATGGTCTTTACATTTTGGCATGATTTTGCAGCGGCTGGTACCGGTTGTTCCTTTCCATGTTTAGCGCTTCCTTCAGGAGCTCTTTTAGGGCAGGCCTGGTGGTGACAAAATCTCTCAGCATTTGCTTGTCTGTAAAGTATTTTATTTCTCCTTCACTTATGAAGCTTAGTTTGGCTGGATATGAAATTCTGGGTTGAAAATTCTTTTCTTTAAGAATGTTGAATATTGGCCCCCACTCTCTTCTGGCTTGTAGGGTTTCTGCCGAGAGATCCGCTGTTAGTCTGATGGGCTTCCCTTTGAGGGTAACCCGACCTTTTTCTCTGGCTGCCCTTAACATTTTTTCCTTCATTTCAACTTTGGTGAATCTGACAATTATGTGTCTTGGAGTTGCTCTTCTCGAGGAGTATCTTTGTGGCGTTCTCTGTATTTCCTGAATCTGAACGTTGGCCTGCTTTGCTAGATTGGGGAAGTTCTCCTGGATAATATCCTGCAGAGTGTTTTCCAACTTGGTTCCATTCTCCGCATCACTTTCAGGTACACCAATCAGACGTAGATTTGGTCTTTTCACATAGTCCCATATTTCTTGGAGGCTTTGCTCATTTCTTTTTATTCTTTTTTCTCTAAACTTCCCTTCTCGCTTCATTTCATTCATTTCATCTTCCATTGCTGACACCCTTTCTTCCAGTTGATCGCATCGGCTCCTGAGGCTTCTGCATTCTTCACGTAGTTCTCGAGCCTTGGTTTTCAGCTCCATCAGCTCCTTTAAGCACTTCTCTGTATTGGTTATTCTAGTTATACATTCTTCTAAATTTTTTTCAAAGTTTTCAACTTCTTTGCCTTTGGTTTGAATGTCCTCCCGTAGCTCAGAGTAATTTGATCGTCTGAAGCCTTCCTCTCTCAGCTCGTCAAAATCATTCTCCATCCAGCTTTGTTCCATTGCTGGTGAGGAACTGCGTTCCTTTGGAGGAGGAGAGGCGCTCTGCGTTTTAGAGTTTCCAGTTTTTCTGTTCTGTTTTTTCCCCATCTTTGTGGTTTTATCTACTTTTGGTCTTTGATGATGGTGATGTACAGATGGGTTTTCGGTGTGGATGTCCTTTCTGTTAGTTTTCCTTCTAACAGACAGGACCCTCAGCTGCAGGTCTGTTGGAATACCCTGCCATGTGAGGTGTCAGTGTGCCCCTGCTGGGGGGTGCCTCCCAGTTAGGCTGCTCGGGGGTCAGGGGTCAGGGACCCACTTGAGGAGGCAGTCTGCCCGTTCTCAGATCTCCAGCTGCATGCTGGGAGAACCACTGCTCTCTTCAAAGCTGTCAGACAGGGACATTTAAGTCTGCAGAGGTTACTGCTGTCTTTTTGTTTGTCTGTGCCCTGCTCCCAGAGGTGGAGCCTACAGAGGCAGGCAGGCCTCCTTGAGCTGTGGTGGGCTCCACCAAGTTTGAGCTTCCCGGCTGCTTTGTTTACCTAAGCAAGCCTGGGCAATGGCGGGCGCCCCTCCCCCAGCCTCGCTGCCGCCTTGCAGTTTGATCTCAGACTGCTGTGCTAGCAATCAGCGAGATTCCGTGGGCGTAGGACCCTCCGAGCCAGGTGTGGGATATAGTCTCGTGGTGCGCCGTTTTTTAAGCCGGTCTGAAAAGGGCAATATTCGGGTGGGAGTGACCCGATTTTCCAGGTGCGTCCGTCACCCCTTTCTTTGACTTGGAAAGGGAACTCCCTGACCCCTTGCGCTTCCCAGGTGAGGCAATGCCTCGGCCTGCTTCGGCTCGCGCACGGTGAGCGCACCCACTGGCCTGCGCCCACTGTCTGGCACTCCCTAGTGAGATGAACCCGGTATCTCAGATGGAAATGCAGAAATCACCCGTCTTCTGCGTCGCTCACGCTGGGAGCTGTAGACCGGAAGCTGTTCCTATTCGGCCATCTTGGCTCCTGAAAATCAGGTTTATTTTTTAATAATGGCTGTGCTTTACAACATAAGCTCTTGCAAGCCAATATGAACAGACTACAGTATTTCACTGTGGCAGGCTGAAAGAATGGCCCTCCAAAAAAATATTCACTTCCTAGTCCCCAGAATCTATGAATACTACCTTAAATGCAAAAGACTGAATAGTATTTTATTTGGTGAAAGTGATATCTAAAAATCCTGAGAGTAAACTCTTACCCTGGATTATGCGGGTGGGCCCTAAATCTAATAACAAGTGAAGTGTCCTTGTACGAGCAAGGCAATGGGAGATTCGACACAGACACACATGGAGTGGAGAAGGCAATGTGAAAACAGAGGTAGGGATTGGAGCAATGCAGCCACAAACCAAAAAAACAAAACAAGACCGAGTGCGGTGGCCCATGCCTGTAATCCTAGCACTTTGGGAGGCCAAGGCGGGTGGATCATCTGAGGTCGGGAGTTCAAATCCAGCCTGACCAACATGGAGAAACCCCATCTCTACTAAAAATACAAAATTAGCCAGGTGTGGTGGCATATGCCTGTAGTCCCAGCTACTTGGGAGGCTGAGGCAGGAGAATCACTTGAACCCGGGAGGTGGAGGTTGCAGTGAGCCGAGATCTCACCATTGCACTCCAGCCTGGGCAATAAGAGTGAAACTCCATCTCAAAACAAACAAACAAACAAACAAACAAAAAAGGAGGAATGCCAGGCAGCCAGCACATGCTAGAAGAAGCACGCGACAGATTCTCTCCAGAGCCTCAGGTGGCAGCATGAACCTGCCAACACCTTGATTTCGACTTACCCCCAGAACTATGGTTTTGAACCACCCCACTGGTGGAAGATTGTCAAGGCAGCCTGAGGAAATGGTTACGGGCCTGACGTTTCTTCTCACATGGACCTCAGATATTTGCCTTGTCCTTAAGCAAACCAAAACCAATGGCTGCCTTCTTTGCAGAGATTTCTTCCTTTGGATTAAAAGCTGGGTTAAATCTCCTATCCTTCCTAAGTCTTCCTATCAGTCTCCAAACACTCCTTTTGGAGGGACTTACATAGTTCAGATTTTGCTAGAATAAGCTGTTTGTTTAGTTCTCAAATACACTGTAGAATGATTCCATCACAATTTCCAAATTGCCTGGCATTTTCATAAACTCTGGAGAGGCTCCACCTTTTCCTTAACAGCAAAGACTTGAAAAATGTTGTCCCTGGACCAGCAGTGCCAGTAGTACCTGGAACTTGACAGAAATGCAGATTCTTAGGCCACACCCCAGGCCCACTGAGTCAGAAACTCTGAGGGTGGGGCCCAGCAATCTGTGTTTCAACAAGATCTCCAGATGATTCTGATGCTGGCTCAAGTTCGCAGCTGCAGCCACAAATGGATGGTTTCAGAGTCTGCTCAGGCTCTCAGACGCAGCAGCAGGCCAGGGGACCCAGGATGATGTCTGAGAGGTGGGGTGGGGCTAGCCCAGAGCTCCTGCACTGAGGAGGTTGCTCAGGGCTCCAAGCATGTGAGCTGCACACTGCAGGAATCAGAGCACAAGGAAGACACCAGCTCCTGCCAGGAGGGGCAGCCCCTCCAGCCTGGGTAGAGCCCTGCCGTCCAGATGGCTCAGGCTATGGGAACTTCTGCCCATTCTTCCAACCGCGACTCTCGTCCATCGGAGCACTCACTCTCTGGATCAGCCACAACCTCTCTGGTGCCTTTGAAACACAGAGTGCCTGGGGGTGCAGACAGAGGAGGATAAGCACTCATGCTTCCTACTTCCACTCAGTTGATAATAGTCTGCCCAGCACGGGCCTACAGTATGGCAGAAGTCAGTTAAACCTCAGACCACTGAGGCACGTGGGCTGGCTCCTCACATCCCTCCAGCCTCATGGGGGATGAACGGGCCAAGGAGCTGCTTGGCTTCCTTCCAATCTCCAGGCTCCCAACCCAACTCAGGGAACCCACATCTGACATTCCACTCAGGGTGGGGGCCGTGGCTAGGGGAGGAGGAGCATCGCATTCACCCCTCCAGGGGAGAGCCATCGCCTGCATCCTTGGCCAGGCCTTTCTGGACTTCAGGATCCTTGTCTGCAGAACAAAGGGGTTTCAGCCAAGTCAGGATGACTCAAAGTGCATCTTGAGGAATGCTGACAGACGTTACTTAACGCCTCTGTGCCTCATCTGTAAAACAAAGATAACAGCAACACAAAGGCCACAAAAAAACCAAAGGAAGGGCTCTTTGACAAAATAAGTTTAGGAAGGGCTGCACTGAACAGGGCTCTGGCCTCAGGACCACAGAGCCTTCAGATGCTGCTGTGGCCACATCGCCAAGATGCACCACACCCAGGGCCTCCACCTTGGAAACTTCTGAAGTCAAAGATCTCAGGATCCCTGAAGCATCTGTCCAGCATCACGGGTAAAAATTTGCTGCTCCCATCTGTGTGGCCTCAGGCAAGCCACCTCTCTTTTTTCCCTCCCCGCTACCTCTGTCATTTGTTCCTTATCTGTAGGGTAACCATAATCAAATTGGGGTTGTTGTTAGTCATTCATGAGATAAGATGTGTAAAGCCCTTAGCATGAGTTATTACAGGTCTGTCCAGAATCCCATACTCAAACCCTGGGGGCCAGATGTGATTCAGAATTCTGAATCTCTCAGATTTAGAAAGGTAATATGGTTCACATGCCGTGCATTATGCAGTGCCCTCAACAGAGTCCGAGGTTACACCCAATAACCCAACACATCACTATTTCTGCAGTAAGTTGTATAAATATTCACACTGAGTGGGACATGAGTTTTAGCACCAAACATACAAAAAAGCTTTTGATTTTCATGCTCTGGGGAATTGCTGGTATCGCATCTAGAAGGTTGCGAACCTGTGTTACTATCTTCAGCTCCTCTAGCTTGGAAACCATCATTTTTCTTGGAGCAGCCCATTCAGCTGGGGATGCAGGAGGAGCAGGTTGGACCTGGGGTGAGGCCTGTCTGGCAGCACGGAGGCTGGCAATTGTGATTGCCTCAGCAGAGCCTCTGAGGCTCATCTGTCTGAATCGGAGCAGAACCCTCACGGCACCCCACCCACTGCAGACCCATGGCAGCTCCAACCCTACAGACTCTTCTACGCTTAGTGGGAACATACTGATTCCCAGCTGTTTGCTTCACTTGGCACATGGTTCTCATTCCAGAGGGAATGGCTGGGTGAACAGCAAGCACTGAGGCAAAGAGGCTTTCTTGAAAAGGATAAAAGTGGATGAAGTTTCCAGTTTGCAGGAAAGACACAGCTAATAGATTAGGCAGACTTTAACAAGCCAAGAGCCAAATGCATGTGAATGTGCTTGGCCAGGAGTTGCAGTTTGCGGCTCCCTGGACTAGAGAACCAGCCCTGCCACATCTTTAACAGAAAGTTCTTCTCCTGCTAATCCTTCTGAATCCAAAGGGATTAGCAGAAGAGGAACTGTCAGGGTGGCTGGGCTGGGGAGTGTGGTGGGAAAAGCGGTGGTCTTGGAAGCGAGACTTGCTAGCACAGTTCCTGATGGGTTTGAAGTCCCACCCTTCTACCTACAAGCTGGGTGACCTTAGGTACGTTATTTAACCCCTCTGTGCCTCATCTGTAAAATGGAGAGAGTAACAATCACACCTCCCCATGTTGTTGCTGTGAGGTTAAATGCTTTGATCCATGTAAACCACCTATCCTAGGGAGTCTGCCCTTCTCCCCGCCCCAGGTAGGAAGAGGTCAGTGTTGATGGGAGTGCCTGGAAATGGTGTCCTTCCCAGATAAGCTAAGGAGGGAGAGCTGGGTCCTATGCCACAGTGCTACAAGTGGCTGCTGTGCACTGGGCAGGCTGAGAGGGGCCACTCCGTATCTGCCCATGTGCCCCCACTGTCTATGCTGAGCAGACCTGTTCACATCAGCACACAAAAGGGCTTGGTGCAAGCTGGGGCCTTGCTCACTGACAGGAAGAGTCTGGCTTGGTCTTTTCAAAGAGAAACTCTACATACACACACACACACACACACACACACACACACACACACACACCACAAAACCAGGCAACCCTGCCAGGCAGATTTCCCCTCCTTTCTTAGGCGGCCACCTCTGCCCCATTTCAGTGTAAAGGAAACCTGCTCTCAGAATGTGGCTCAGTTTGCCTACCCTTCCAGCTGCCGGGCCAGTGCCTTCACCTGGATTACTAGTTAACTTTGTTTAATTCTTACAGCCAGGCAGTATGGAAATCAACAAAGACCACCCAAGGGAGAACAGACAGAGGCTTGCTACGGCAAGGGGGTCAGCACCATCACTTGCATTTGGCAGGGACTCCAAGACAGGCAGGGACTGGGAAAGCTTTATAGTGAGAAAGAAAGGGAAGGCTCCAGGTGCACCCTGATTGGAGGCTGCTGGCATGAGAGACACTGGAGATGGGCAAACTAGAGGTGGGGCATCCTAACTGATTGGTTAGGGGAGCATATTTGGCTTTCTCTGATTGATCCTGAGTTGGAAGTAGGGACAAAAATAAGGAAGCTGGCAGTCACTGACTAGGTCTTCACCCTACTGAGCAGATGCTACAGACATTGTGGTTGGTTCTCTGAGCTGGTTGCTACAGAGGTGGTGGATAGAGTTTTATTATTATATGTAGTTTGGGCATTGTCCACTTGCATGTCAGTCTCTCGGTGGTGAGACAGGATTAGATCTGTTTTATTTCAAAGCGGCTGGTTAAGTCACAAAGTAGAATGAGCCTCATCCTAATGTGAGAGCTCCACATTATGTTTTGCAATGAAATGTTTCTTTGTATTCCTTTCTTCTTGCCATTTTCTAGGATGACAAGTGTCTCACTCCCACCTCTGGCTGAGTGTAGGTCTACCAGGCAGAAGGCAAAGCAGAGACTGTTAAACAGAAACTGGCTGAGGCCTAGAGGAACAGCATCACTTGATAAGGGTATCCTTGGAAAGAACTGAGAACACAGGAAGAAGAGAGGAGAAAAGACAAAAAGTCAAAGTCAAATAAACATTGGTGACCTTAAGAGAAATGCCTGAAATCTCTAAATCCAAACTCCCTTTTCCAAGGGCCTGAGTCTTGCCCAGGACACTTCTACATTTCCACGCCCACTGAATATGCCAGGCATGTTGGTTTATTGCAGGCCCCTGTTACCTATCTCCTACATTAGGTTGTAAAAGATCTAGCAAAAGGCACAGGGCCCAGATGGTTTTATGGGAGAGTGCTATAAAACTTTTGAGGAATAAATGGTTCTTATTTAAACTCTTACAAAGCATTAAAAAGATAAAATAAAATTCTGAATTTATTTTATGAGGTATGTTTAAATTTAATAGTAAGACAGCCATGGAGTGCCCAAAAAGGAAAACCTTATGAATGTATATGCAAAGATTCTAAGTAAAATATTGGCAAGTTAAATTCTGCAGTTCCCAAAATACTAACATACCTCAGCCTAATAGGTTTTTTCTGAGAATGTAAAGATTATTCAGCATTAGAAAATAAAGGAGAAAAACTATATGCTCAATAGATATTGAAAAGAGCATTTAATAAAATTCAATCCCCATTCTTGATTTTTGAAAAATGGTTTTAGTAAGCTAAGAATAAAAAGAAACTTCCTTAACTTAATGAAAGATATTTATCAGAAATGATTTCTTTAAACCTGACAAAACATAATAGAAACCACAGAGGTGTTCCCATTAAAGTCCAGAATAAGATGTGGATGCCTACTATTGTTGCTATTATTACTCAATTTTCCTCCAGAAAGCTCCCAACCTAAGTAATAAGACAATAGAAATAAATGAGAGGAGAACACACACACACTTATGAAATATAAATGTAAAATTATCATTATTTGAAAATATTATTTTCTACTTAAAAACTATAAGATATGCACCTAAAATTCTATCTAGAAAAATCTAATCAAGAAAAAGAACTCATTCTCAATAGGAGTAGAAATTGCAAACTATCTTTAAAATGAGCTTATTTGCTGAAGAAAACATTAAAATGTTACTAGAGGCCGGGTTCGGTGGCTCATGCCTGTAATCCCAGCACTTTGGAGGCTGGGATGGGCAGATGCTTTGAGCTCAAGAATTCAAGACCAGCCTGGGCAATATGGCAAAATCCCATCTCTACAAAACAATACAAAAATTAGCTGGTCGCGGTGGTGTGCACTTGCCGTCCCAGCTACTCAGGAGGCTGAGGTGAGAGGATCACTTGAGCCCAGGAGGTTGAGGCTGCAGTGAGCTGAGATCTTGCCACTGTACTCCAGCCTGGGTGACAGAGTGAGACCCTGTCTCAATAAACAAAAAAATGTTGCTAGAGATTATCAAAGAATAGGTGGATTGATAAACCTGAATGAGAGCACTCAATATTCAAATAAGTCAGATTCCCACTAATTATAAATTCTATATAATCACAATCAAAACACCAATGGGATTTTGAGGATAAAAGGAGAGGGGTGGCATGCTTCATAGACTGACATTATCACATGAAAGACAAATGCACAAAAATAGCAAAGGAAAAAACTAAAGTAGAATAAAAATATGGGAACTCAGCCTACCAGACAGCAAAAAAGAATAAAGTAACTTTAATTAAAACACTGTCATACTAATGCAGGAACTGAAAAATAATATCAGAACAGAGTTCACAAATGGACCTCTGTGCATGTGGGAACCTAATATCTGATAAAAGTATACTTTCACAGCAGTAAAGAAAGAATGGACTATGAAATAATGTTACAGCAACTAACTATCCATTTGAAGGGAAATGAAACTTGTTAGATCCCTAACTCACACCATTCTCTGCTTAAATCCATATAAAATATAGGTTTTATATATTAATTTAGAGGGAATATATATGAAATATATGAAAATATATAAGAAATACTATATAATATATAAGAAATACTGTATAATACTAGAATAAAACACAGATTATTTCAATAATCTTGAAGTGGTGACAGCCTTTCTAAGAAGGCATGAAACTCAAAAGACTTAAAGGGAAGGATAAACAAATTTGACTACGTGGAAATTAACATTTTACACTTGGCAAAAGACTATAAACAAAGTTAAGAGACAAATTAGAGGCTGGAAGAAAACATTTATACCAAGTCAGCAGAGAAAAGATTGATCACACTTATTAGAGTCAAAGATTTCCAACAAATTAACAAGCAAAGGGCAAACATCTTAAAACAAAAAGACAATGCAGAAAAGAAAATACAAATGTCTGGCAAATAAGTGGAAAGATGACTTCATTCATGATTAAGGAAATGCAGCTTTTAAAATCGGTTTTCCTCCTAAATAGGCCAAAAAAAACCCAAAAGTCTGAGAATGCCAAGTGTTGGTGAAGGTGTAGAAAAATAATCAGTCTCCTACCCTCTTGGGAGAAATGTAAATTGACACCACCATTTCAGAGAGCAATTTGGCAGTTTCTCTCAGAATACTGAATGCCCATACCCTTTGCCCCAGAAATCCCGTACGGAAATCTACCTCGCAGAAATACTTGCACGCCATGCAATCATGTTCATGGCGGCAATGTCTGTAATTGATGAAAAATTGGAGCTACTTAAATGTTCATGATTATGGGACCAGCTAAAGAAAATATGACACATCCCTGCCTTGGAATTTCATGCAGTCACCAATAAAGATTGGGTCAATTCAGATGGCTGATACAGAATATAGTTAATAAAGTAAAAATATAGTGAGTTGACAAAGCATGACCACACTTTCATTTTTTAATTTGCATGTAGTGTGACCATGAATAACACACACACACATACACACCGCTAGGGAGTTTGTGGGACTTATGCTTTTTGTCATATGCTTCTATTTTTTATGGACTTGTTTTTACTGAGCATGTATTACTTTTAGACTTTTATAATTTTTTAAACCAAAAACATAACTGAGTAATAATTGAAAATTTAAAGTCTATAAAGACAAACGCATTATGTTTCATTTCTTAAGCCTGAGTCTACTTTCAGCCAGAGCAACTCCAGGCTGCAAGTGCAGTTCTATGAAGATTGTACCTTTATTAGGTTGGTCTCAGGTATTGCATGCAGGCGGGCACACATGCCACCCACACCTACACACCTCTACACACACACAAAGTTCTCCCACTCTGCATATGCACGTGCATCACACATTTTTACAGTTTCTTGAGCAGCTCACAGAACATTTTCGAATGTATTTGTTGGTGCAAGGGAATAAATAGCCAGAGCCGAGAAGGCAGAAAGGGACGCTTTGAGATTGAAAACCCCATACTACCTCCACCATCCCAGGCAGGTGAAATATCCCGTGACATCCTTGTGCCCCTCTGGCTTCTGGCTTTTCCCATTTGTCCTCAAGATGAGTGAGCCCAAGAAAATGTGGCCATCAGGATGGATGCTCATTGACTCAGGGCTGTGTGCGGCTTATGGGTCCTCGTCCCTGAAGAGTGTGAGGTTGTGCTTTTGGATGTGTCCCAGCAGCACCTGTCCTCGCTGCTCCAGGGTCTGGAGGACCTGCTTCAGCCCCTGGGCTCCGCCTTGGCTTTCCCAGAACACTGGGTCCATCTGCAGCGACTTCAGCAGCATGTTCTGTAGACACCCTGATGCGAGAACCTTCACGGCAGACTCAGGAAACCTGGAGCAAAGGCCCCAGAGCCCCGTAACAGAAAGAAAAAGCAACAGTAATCTCAGAGAATTTCAGTAACAGGTGATGCCAGATGGCCAGAGCTTGCATAGCTGAGGAACTCTGGTAAAGTCACCTGGCAAACTCCCCAGACCTGCACCTGCTATCTCACTAACAGAGGACCCTTTGCCTGGCTTTGCTGTGAAGGCAGGGGACAGACCTTTCAGATGGGTCCCATCCTACAGAGAAGCCAGGTGAATAAATTCCGCTATCCCAGGCTCCACTTGGCAAATGCAGGGCCAGAAAGAATCCTGGGAAGGCAGAGCTGCCTGCCAAGAGTGAGCTGGGAGGGGTAGACTCTCTGGCCTAGCTCTCTCACCCAGAACAAGGGAAGGACTAGCCTTCCCACACCCCAGCAATACAGCTAGTATTCTGCAGGCACGAGGCCCTCTGGATATTGGGGTAGGCCCTGCCAACTGTATCCCCTCTCAGCTTTCCCAGGGCTCCCCACCACCGCCTAAAGTTCTGATCCAATAACTTCTGTCTGATGGACTGTGGGCTTCTCAGGGCCACAGTTGAAGGTCCCAAGGTTTGCAGCAAGGCCATCAGGTCTCAGTCCCATGAACTTCCACCCAACCCTTTTGACCCTCACCCATCTATGCCCTCCAGCAGCCGAAAGTTCAGCTTGTCCTCAGGGTGCTGAAGGTTGCCAGCGTTATCGATGTAGACCAGGTGAGATGGATCGCTGCTCCGGACCTCAGGGAAGAGGGTGGACAGAGACAGAGGTGGGTAAGGGTGCAGCTACGGCTGGCACCTATGGACTTGGTCAAGATTAAGGGGCTGACAGCCCTGAGCTGTCAGTCCCACAGTCCATCCTAACAAACAGTCCTCACCGCTGAGTGCTTACTCTATGCTGGGCACTGTGCTAAGTGCTTCCAGACATCCTGTCAATTAATTCTCCCAGTAACCTTAGGAAGCAGGCACTAGTGTTAGCCCTATTTTACAGAAATGGTGGCACCTTCTTTAAGTTAAGCAATTTGCACAAAATCACACAGCTAGTAAGTAGCTGGGCTGTTTCAAACCCGGACCCATGGGGCTAAGCCATAGCACCATCTGCTAAATCGCAAGGCCAAAGGACTGATCCTATTTTGGTGGCTGAAGGGGTGAGGAGCAAGGGTGGGAATCAGCAGTTGCCAAGGTAGCCTGCTCCTCGGGGCCACCGGCTGTGAGGGGCATCGCACATGTGCTGCTCACATGTGTACACACACTCAGTCACCCCTTTGTGCCACCTGTGCCTGTGCACCTGGGCATCCCCCTGAGCATCACTGAGATCACAGACATATCCTTTATCCTCAAAAAGCACTGACCATAATCTGATTCTACAGAAGAGTTTAGCAGCTCCTAAACCTTTTCAAAACCAAAATCAGCACCAGAAAATTCTTTAGTACCTTAAAGAATATGGTGTGGTTGCGAATGGGAGGCCATCTCTTCTGGTCCCCACTCCCATGCATGCACTCCTTTCCCAAATAGCCTCCAAAAGTCCATGGGCATTTCCCACAATCCTCTCCAGTGGCCTAGGCTTAAGCTATGAACTTCTGTTTCCAGGACTCCAGCTTCCCTTCTCTCTGCCTCTTCTCCTTTCTCACCCCACTCCACATGTCAGGATCACCTTTTGCTCAAAGCCAGGTGACTCTTCCCTCTGGAAACTGCTGTCCTAAAAGATCTGTGAAATGCCTGCTCACCAGGGGTAAACAATGGCTATTAAAACTTTGTCTCTCCCATGGATATTTACCTTTGACCAGGGAAAAGGAGAGATGGCTCTGGGGGTAGGGGAGGAGAATTCCCAGCACCACCACTAAGCAATCCTGGGCTTCGGGTGATGCGGCCTCCCTGAAGCCCATCCCTGGACACCATGCTGACAGCTACCCTCTAAGAGCAAAGGGAGGCTGTGAGGACACTATGCCTCACTGCAGGAGAAGATAGAGAAGCCCTTCCCCGGGGGAAGCACCTTGCTTCTTATGCAGAAGAAGTGGCTATTCTGCCCTCTCCAATGGCCTCGGCACATTGCTTCCCACCCTGGACTCTAGTTTTGACAGGAGCAGCACCAGCCTGTGAGCCACTGCAGTCTTGGGTTCATGCCCTAATGCTGCTAGCGTATGGCCTTGAAGATTCCTTTCCCTCCAGACTGCAATTCCTCATTTACTGGCACAACGAGGATGTTGACTAGACACACCATTCTCAAACTCTACTTCCAGGAGCCCTAGTTGTTCCCTGGAGTCTCTTAGGGGCAGTGGAGACAGTGAAAACAAGGCTCCAGCCCCCACCCCACACCCCTCCTCAGGCACATTCTTAAAGCTCCATTTTGTCAGCTTTATATATTGCGGACTCCTGGAAATATTCAAACAACTGGTTCTGCTGCTGAAAAGAACAAGACTGGGAAACCCCAGCATCAACTGATCTCTGAAACTTGTTAACAGCATCTTCTGAAGGACACAGAAAGACCTGGGTCTGGGGTGACAAGGGGATGGTGTGGAGGAGACGTACCAGGATGTGGACCAGCCGCAGCTCGGCTGGGTTCTGGCATTTCTCTCGGAGCCTCTCTTCCACACAGGGGTCTGAGGGCTCAGGCTCGAAGCCACAGCAGTAGCGATCCAAGCGGTCGTGGACCTGTGGAGACACCCAGCCTTCGGTGGGGTGCGGCAGGGGGCCTGCCTCCACCAGGCATAGCATGGAGGCCACCTGACCTGCTGTTTCCTACATGACCCTGGGGCCACAGCAGGGGTGACCCTCACTGGTTCTCTGTGCTGGTCATTACTAAATGGGGCTTCCGCTTTCCTCCTCTGGCCAGATCACTCTGCGCACCAGGAGCTGTTTGCTCATGCCTCAGGCCAGTGTGGATTTTCACCCAGTGCCCACAGCTTAACCTACACTGTTGCTCTTTAGCTCTAGCCTGGCACCTCTGAGGCTCTGAATGCTGACCGTCTGCCTGTCTACCTAGGGAGATTCCACATCACTCTATTTTTTCTTTAAGCAGCAAATGCTACATCAGGGATTCCTCCTTTCTTTAGAGGTGCAAGTCCTTCAATGATCATCTCAACAGCTCCAACTGGACAGCTCTTTCACCCTGCAGCAGGCCTGAATCAAGCCAGGGAAAGAGGAGGACATCCTCAATGTGGTGTGCAGTCAGTTCTGAGGAGCTTTGCCACCCTTCCCCTGAATAGACACATACAGATGACACCCACAGCATTTTAGAGTGGATCAGAGGATTCCTAGAATCACACTTCCCACTCACTTGCTTCCGGGATGCTTTCTTCAGAAGGAAAGGTGCAGCCTGAAAGTCAGCAATAGGAAGAATCGTGGGTCTACCCCAGCCCTGACCTACATGAGGATAGTATCTGCTGTAAGTATCTAGGACAAAGAGGTTGAGGATGGAGAGGCATACAAGCAAGAAGTGGTAGAGTCCTCTGAGGATGGTTAGGGGAGGGCTTGCTGTGGGGAGAAAGACAGGAAAGGGAGAATAGTCGAAGTGAGGAGTTGGTTTGGAGAAGGTTTGGGAGATGCTAGGAAGTGGATGAAAGATGAAGCGAGGGCGGCTGAGCAGTAGGGAATCACCATCACACACAGGATGGGCAAGCCGGGGAAAACTCATTCTATTTTCCTTTTATGAAGGAAACTTGGTTTGATGCAATACCTCAATGAATGCCTAGGGTAGAAGGTGAAATCCCTGGAGGTCTGGGTGAGGGAGGACTTGCATTGCATGGGACAAGAAGAAAAGTTAGTTTCTTGCTGTGGAAGGAGGAGGACAGAGGAATAGAGAAGGTGAAGGGAAGCAGGGAGCAGCAGGAGGCTGGGGCTGAGATGTGCCCTTCCACAAGTTCTCTGTCCTTCAGTGAAGCTGCCGCCCTTGTGAAATGTTTGGTGGATGCTGAGCTTTGAGTTCAGGTTTGGTGTGGGGCAAGTCAAGGTAGTGCTCACGGCACATGAAACAGAAAGAGTCCATCTACTCCTTGGGATTTGTCCAAATCCTAGGAAGGGCTCCAGACCCCACAGGTTATGGGACTAGGGGTTTTAGTCGTTTTCTTAAATCTCCCAGATGGTGGTGAAAGTCAGTGGGGAGGCCTTGAGGATCTCTGGGATCTACCAGTCAGGACAATGACTGGTAGGTATCTAACTCTCAGGCTGCAAAATGTACTAAGTTCCTAAAAGAGCCTGGTGTGGGGAAGACCTAGATTGGACACTCTGATCCCATCTTTGCAGAAGGGCTAGTCTGAATTAGAAAGCCTGGGAACAACACTGGAGAGGAAGACATCAGCCTGGGAACCTGGAAACTCAGTATGAAGGGAGCAGAGCAGACCTCATTGCAAGAAAATTGTCATTATCTGACGTGTCTGGTGATTCCCTGGTAAACTCCACTAAAAGGCATGGTTTTTTGGTTGCCCGGTACTAAAAGCCTTCTCCTGGAAGGGTAGAGGACATTTGTTGAGAACATTTACTGGCAAATGTTTCAACACCATGGCTGTCTGAGACAATGGATAACAATTGGGACAAACAATAGATTAACCAAAAAGCTTTAAAAGGAAAAGATAAGAAATGAAATGTCCAAGGGGCTGTGAAAAGCTCCAATATGTTCCTGGAAATCTAGAAAGCCACATGCACATGTGTAGGACTGTGCACATGTTCAGGAAAAAACTGAAAATACCCTAAGCTCTCACCTCTGGTTGACCTTGAGACTATACAAGCACAAATGAAGGCAAAAGCAGATTTGTCAATTGCATACATACGTGTTGGAGATGCCTCAACACACACACAGAGTCCTTTGGCAAAGACTAGGAGACTTACTGGCTCCGGAAATTCATGAAAATCTCCTGCTCAATCATCAGCTGATCACTGAACTAACTGAGCAGAAATTTCAGTGGCCATATACAATAAAGAATACAGATGACTATAGAATTTGTTCATAAAAATAAAACAAGCAAATAAAGAAAACCACTACAAACAAAAACAACTACAACAAACAGCAATGACAAAAATCCTGGGGAAAAGAAGAATCTGATTTTCAAAGTGGCCACCTTATATTATTTAAATACTCAGTTTTCAACAAAAAAATATGAGACAGTCAAAGAAACAAAGTATGGCCAATATGCATGAAAAAAGTCAATCAATCAAAATTTTTCCTGAGGAAGCCCAGACATTAGATAAAAAAATTTAAATTAGCTATTTTACATATGTTCAAAGAACTAAAGGAAATCAGGCCTAGAGAAGTAAAGTATGAGAACGATACCTCACCATAAAGACTACATGAATAATGAGATAGAAATTATAAAGAGAAACCAAATATAAATTATGGAGTTGAAAAGTACAACAACTTTTAAAAATTCACTGAGAGGATCGAACAGCAGTTATGAGCAGGCAGAAGAACGAATCAGAAAACCTGAAGATAGGTCCACTGAGATTATCAAGTATGAGGAATAAGAAGAAAAAAATGAAGAAAAATAAACAGTGCCTCAGAGACCCATGTAACACCATCAAGTGTACCAACATATATATAAGAGGAGTTTTAAAAGGAAGGGAGGATGATGTGAAAATAATATTAGAAGAATTAATGTCCAAAACCTCCCCAAATTTGGTGAAAAGCATTGATCTACACGTCCAAGAGGTCCAGTGAACTCCATTAATATAAACTGAAAGAGACCTACACCTAGAATAAAACTGTCAAAAGCCAGAGAGAGAATCTTAAAAGCAGCAAGACAGAAGTCACTCATCACATAAAAAGGATTCTTTCAAAGAGTAATTTGATATCAAATTTATCAAAAACCATGGAGGCCAAAAGGCAGAGGAATAACATTCAAAGTGTTGAAATTAAATTAAAAAAAAGAGAGCCTGTCAACCAAGAATTTTATATACAGCAAAACTATCCTTCAAAAATTAAGGAGAAATGAAGACATTAACAGAACAACAAAAACAGAGTTTATTGTCAGCAGGCTTCTTCTACAAGAAATACTAAAAGGAGGACTTCAGGTTGAATGAAAGGACACTAAGTAGTAACTTGAATTAATGTCAAGAACTAAAAAGCTCTGTTCAAGGTAACTACATAGATAAACATAAAAGACAGTATAAATGTATTTTTTTTTGTTCTGGACTTCTTTTTTTCCCCTCTGATTTAAAAAAAAAAACTGCTGAAAGCAATAATTATAATCTATACTGATGGGCAGAAAATGTATAAAGATGTAATTTGTGACAAGAATAGCATAAAAGTGGGGGGGGAGAGATTTATATAGAAAGAAAGTCTTTTTACACTATTGAAATTAAATTGCTGGTAATCTGACCTAGATTGTTATAAATCAAGATGTTAATGGTAATCCCAGTGCAACTACCAAGAAAATAACTACAGTTCTAGTCACCAACTAATCTCACAAAACCAGATGTTAAGAAATGAGACAGCATTCAATAGTCCCAAGTACTGTCCCCAAACATTATTTTCTGTTTTATACAGTTAAACATGGAGAAAGCACATCTCAGGTCTAGATAGGCTGAGGGCAGTAGACCAAATGGATTAAATATATCCACTGATTCTAGTAAAAAAAACAAGTTTAGCCCAGAGGCCAATGCACAAAGCCCAGAAGATTGGTCCAGCTTGGCAAAGAACCACAGCCCTGTTCATGCGATAAGCCAATTAGCAAGACTTCCTGAGGAGTACCCTCTTTACTGCTTTGGCCTCCTGAACTTTGGGTAACCAATATTCAATTTTTCTTCTTTCCTCTAATACCCTATTATAAAAAATTTCAAACAGCAAATTTGAAATAATTTTATGGTGAATATCCACATACCCATTACTAAGATTCTACCATGAATATTTTATTATGCTTACTTTATGACATATCTATTGATACATCTCTATATCTATCCATTAAGTCATCTTATCTCTTATTTTTTATGCATTTCAAAGTAAGTTGCAGACATTAGAAATTTCCCTCTAAACACATTGGCATGCACACCACTCATTAGAGTTCCTGGTTTTCCTGTAAGAGAATCAATCTTCCCTGCTAGATACAGTCTGGTGGCATCAACAATCCAAGTACCCTGCACACCCAGCCATGAAGTGAGGATGGGGTCCAAGCTCCCCTAACCATATACCCTCCATCCTTCCCCTGACTCTTCAGGCTTCCCAGGCCTTTTTCTTCCATTCCTTGAAGCCCTTAATGTCTTACCAAATGTAGATTCTTTTCTTGCTTATGTTAACCAGAGTTAGTCTCTGTTGCTTGGAATCAAACTCCCTCCAAGTGATGCGCCCCCTGAATTTTCCTTCATCCAGGTTAAACACACTTGGGTTCTGAAACTATGGTAGATGCTTTTGATGCTCTCCATCCATGAACCTAGGGCTCACCTACAGAAGGTCCCAACCATACAGTCCCCATATGTAGAGGTACTCTTGCCCATAACAGGCTTGACCCACCCATGCAGCAGGCAAATGTGCTGGAAAATAAATGCCTCCAGGAGCAAGCTTCAAACAATGACTTATGGCAGTTAGTGTACAAGTATCATAGCCCCTCACCTCCCAGGGGAATGATACCCCACAGCAGTGTTCTACACAGTCTGTCAAGGGCCCTCATCTGGGTTCAGCCTCACTTGCCCATGGTGGCAGCCTGCTCTTTACTGTACCCTTCATTAGCTTTTCTTCCTTCCCTGCTTCACTTCCCCATTTGCTCACCAGGTTTCCTAGGACCACCTCCCAGATAAATTGCTCTATTCAAATTCTAGTCTCAGAGTCCCTTTTTGGGGAACTCAAACCTAGATAGAAACCCCTCATGGTCTCTATTGCTGTCACATGTCCAGGCTCTTGTTGGTCAATATTCTTATCATACTTTAGTACCTAGCACTGGACACAACAGCTGAGAATCAAGTTACGGAGTAGCACAGAAACATCGCCTCCCTGATTCCAGATGCTAAGACTGAATTAGCATCTTCACCAATCTTATCATATTGTTGACACCTATTGTGCATGTCTAAAACTAGCAAGTCTCTGTCTCATATGTGTCCATTCAGCCAGGGCTTCATTAACCTGCCTTTATACCACTGACTCACAGGCCCTCAGTAGACTTTGCATTTAACACTATTCCATTTCCTCCTTTAATCTTTCATTGCAACCCATTGAATCTTTTTTGGATGGTTTTGCTGTCACATTCATTTGCCTTTCCTTCCCCTGCCAATTTTAGGTTATGTGCCGCCAGACCAGTAAGCTACTATACCAATGGGAGTGTTTTCAGCCACAAGTAACAGAAAAACCTGACTCCAAATGGCTTAAACCATAAGGAAGATTGAGATTATCTACAGAAGGAAGTCTTGAGGAAGGGCAGGTTGGGTGGATTTAGCAGCTCCATATTATCATGATAAGGACTTGGGTTGCTTTCTGCCCTCCACGTTACCACCCACAATGTTAACAGCATCCCAGTGTTGTCTTAGGATGCCTGCAGGTAGTTGCTGTGGGAATATGTTTCCTTGTTCATGTCCAGCAGGAAAGAGAGAAGAAGAGTATGAGAGAAGGGGAGAGAGAGAAGGAACCTCTCCCCTCAACAACCGTGGAATAGAAGGTCTTCCCTTCAGCCAAATTAAGAGGCCAATAGCAATCAGTGGACCAACAGCAATCAGTGGAAGACGTTAATGCACTGATCCTTGAACCCATTGCCTCTGAATCCAGGAATAGGTGGAAGGTGAATCAAATCAGGGCTCTGTGAGGAACGACTACAGAGAGAATGGCTGGGTCCCCTACAGCCCAGATGTCCTCATTCAGGCTACTAATAAAAATGTTGGCTAGGACAGGGTTAGAGAGTTCATTTTAAATCACTAAAGCTAGTATCATCCCACCTGTATTAGTCCATTCTCATGCTGATGCAAGAGATGGGCTCCCACAGTCTTGGGCAGCTCTGGCCCTGTAGCTTTGCAGGATAGAGACCCCCTCCTGACTGCTCTCACCGGCTAGCATTGAGTGTCTGCAGCTTTTCCAGGTGCACAGTGCAAGCTGTCAGTGTGTCTACCATTCTGGGGTCTGGAGGATGATGGCCCTCTTCTCACAGCTCCATCAGGCAGCCCCACTGGGAACTCTGTGTGGGGGCTCTGACTCCACATTTCCCTTCCACATTGCCCTAGCAAAGGTTCTCCATGAGGGTTCCACCCCTTCAGCAGACTTCTGCCTGGACATCCAGGTGTTTCCATACATCCTCTGAAATACAGGTGAAGGTTTCCAAAGCTCAATTCTTGTCTTCTGTGCAGCCACAGGTGCAACACCACGTGGAGGCCTAGAAGGTTTGGGGCTTGTACCCTCTGAAGCAATGGCTTGAGCTGTACTTTGGCCCCTTTTTGGTGCAGCTGGGATGGAGGGCACCAAGTCCTAAGACTGCACAAAGCAGCAAGATCCTGGGCCCTGCCCACACAACCATTTCCTCCTCCCAGGCCTTTGGACCTGTGATGAGATGGTTGCCATGAAGACCTCTGACATGCCCTGGAAACATTTTCTCCATTGTCTTGGCATTGACATTTGGCTCCTCATTACTTAAGCAAATTTCTGCAGCCAGCTTGAATTTCCCTCCAGAAAATGGGTTTTTCATTTCTACCACATCATCAGGATGCAAATTTTCCAAACTTTTATGCTCTGATTCCATCTTAATTATAAGTTCCAATTCCAAACCATCTCTGTGAATGCATAAAACTGAATGTTTCTAAGAGTATCTAGGTCACATCTTGAATGCTTTGCTGCTTAGAAATTTCTTCTGCCAGATACCTTAAATCATCTCTCTCAAGTTCAAAGTTCCACAGATCTCTAGGGCAGGGGCAAAATGCCGCCAGTTTCTTTGCTAAAGCATAGCAATAATCACCTTTATTCCAGTTCCCAACAAGTTCTCATCTCCATCTGAGTCCACTTCAGCCTGGACTTCATTGTCCATATCACTATCAACATTTTGTTCAAAGCGATTCAACAAGTTTCTAGGAAGTTCCAAACTTTCCCACATCTCCCTGTCTTCTTCTGAGCCCTCCAAACTCTGCCTGTTCCAACATCTGCCTGTTTCCCAGTTCCAAAGTCACTTCCACATTTTTAGGTACCTTTATAGCAGCACCCCACTCTTTGTGGTACCAATTTACTGTATTAGTCCATTTTCATACTGCTATAAACAGCTGCCCAAGACTGAGGAATTCATAAGGAAAGAGATTTAATTGACTCATTGTTCTGCATGGCTGAGGAGGCCTCAGGAAATCTACAATTATGGCAGAAGATGAAGGGAAAGCAAGGAACCTTCTTCACAAGGTGGCAGGAAGGAGAATGAATGCAGGAGGAACTACCAGGCACTTATAAAACCATCAGATCTCATGAGAACTCACTATCACGAGAATAGCATTGAGGAAACCAACCCCCATGATTCAATTACCTCCACCTGGTCTCTTCCTTGACACGTAGGGATTATGGGGATTACAATTCAAGATGAGATTTTGGGTGGGGACACAGTCAAACCATATCACCACCCATATATGAGCCTACTCCATGCTTTCATATGCACCCCATCCTTAGCAAGAGCCACCAGAGGCTACCAACACAGTGGTTTAGTGCAGAGATCAGAAAACTTCTCTATAAAGGACCAGAGAGTAAATATTTTAGGCTTTGGATGCCATACAGTCTCTGTCATAACTACTTAAGTCTGCTACTGTTGTGCATATCTTATATATTATAGATAATACATAAACAAATAGGCATGGCTATATTCCAATATGTTGGTAGAAGAGCTGAGGCAGGACTGGCTTGTCTGTCATAATATAAAAGAGTCTTGGAAGATGTCCAGGGTCCAGGGTCTAAAACCCCTCATGGCCTTTGGAACACCAAGCTCTGTGCCAAAGGGTGGAAGGCTGCCCTGCCACACCACAAATCTAAGCTCAGGGCATAAAACCCCTCATGGCTTGGATAGAATCCAGGGCCCAGGGCATAAAACCCCTGTAGCCTCTGGAATGTGCACAGATTTGCTGGTTGCTCTCCCAGGCTAGTAAACATGCTCTCCATTATCTCAAGCAGCAGAGCATATTCTATATGTGTCAAAGAAAATGCTAAACCATCACAGCTACACTTGATGCACCGCTACCTTTCTACACCCACATCCTCACACCCTCACCTGTTTACCCCCACATCCTCAATGTCCTCACCACCTGCTTCTTTGTTTGATCACCAATAAATAATGTGGGCTCCCAGAGCTTGGGGCCTTCACAGCCTCCATACTAGCGTTGGCCCCCTGGACCCACATTATGCACTCTTGTCTTTTCTCGTTCCTTTGACTCCGCCAGACTTTGTAGCTCCCACGGCCTCGTGTTGGGTGTGATCATCCCAACACCAATAAAACCTTATGTGCACTGAAATTGAATTTCATGTAAATTTAGATGTCCCACAATATTATATTTTCAATTTTTTCAACCACTTAAAAGTGCTAAAATCATTCTAAACCATTCTACAAAAAGGCAAGGAGTGAATTTGGCTGCATTGTGGGCCACGGTTTAGTTTGTGACCCCCAGTTTGAAGTCCAGATGAATTTGGGGATGAATCCTGCCTCCACTATGTCCTGGCTATGCGAATTGAGGAAATTACTAATCTTGCTGTGCCTCAGTTTTCTCATCAACAAAATGGGGAGGTGATACTCCCATGGGGCCATGTTGAGGACCACACAGGATGTAAAGCAGGAGGCGGTTGTTATGGAGAGTTCCCAGAAGTCTCTGGCCCTGGAGGGGACAGGCCAGTGGTTCCCTCCGAAAAAGCACTGTCCTCACCCCCCACTCACCCAGCACTACAGGCCTGAGAACCAGAGTCTGACATAAAGTAAGTTATGATGTGGGTCTAGCATCTCTTCCACGCACAAGCCTAGTGTTTGGAGCGCAACATATCTGTGAGACAGAAACTCACCAGCTGAATTCTCTTGGGCCAGGACAGCAAATGTCAGGGCAGCTCTAGCAAGCCCAAAATGCAATAACTGCCCTGGATTTTGCTTCACACCTGCTGCATGGTCAGCCAAACCCCCTTGCTCCCACCAAACCCTCCCTGCTCCCGTCTCAAGGCCATTCTGTGCAGATTTAAACTTGCAGCAGCATCTATTTCCAGAGGAAGCTACAAGAAATACTGGCCCATATGATGCGTGCAGTGCTGGCTTCCCAGAATCTACACCCATTTGAATGTTTCACAGTGAGGGCTTGGCTGGCACACTTGCCAGTGTGATTATTCTGCCACACTGTCTGGTTGGTTTTTTCTACAGAAGAGAAATTAGGTTTAAACAGTAGCAGACTAGCAGCCAAACAAGACCAAGCTTACCTTTCATTCCCATATTCCTTCAAGATTTGATTTTTTTCCCCTTTTTGAAAAAATGAAGAGATACCAAGAAAAAATGATAATCCTTTAGAGTTTGGGTTTTCTGGCAGTGTTACATAATCATGTGGACTGAAGTTTTTGTTTAAATTTAGTTAAGCCATTGTAATGCCCTTACTCTGTGCCAGGTATTATCCTTAGTGCTTTACATATCACAAGTCATTTGACCCCTGCTAGCAGCCAAGAGATAGATACTGTTATTGTTCCCATTTCAAAGATGAGGCTGAATAATGAGTCACACAGGCTGAGTAATGTGATCCAGTCCCCAGAACATGTTTATCATAACCAGAGACTTAGTTGAAGGTTTTTGGATGCAAGAACAAATTGAAGTGCATGACTGGTTGCCAGCATGAAGGATATAGTAGGGTCACTGCCTCTGTGACTTCCCAAACAGGACATCTGGATGGGAAAAGATACTGCAGTCTGCCAAGAAGGGATACCAGGTCCAGCTGTGGGGGTGGGAAGGTCCGGAGTGAAGGCTCTTGGGCCAAGACTCCTCAAGCAGTGCCTGATCTGGGTCTGGTAGAGTCCAGAAGAGCCATCTGCTGTCTCTGGTGGCCCATGCCCCTAGCGCAGAGACACTTCCCCAAACTGGGAGCAGTCACAGGCCTGGGACCTTCACGGTGGAAAGGGTGGCTGCTGACTAGGCAGGCTCACTGCCTGGGGGTCAGAGAGTTGCAGCATAGTTGGAGGCAGGAGGAGAGCCAACTCCCCTTCCCATACCCCAATACCTCTCTCCAAGGAGGGTGGCAGGCTGCTCCCATACTGGCTGGCTGGCTGTTGAAGAATTTGGTGAGGCTTTGGGGTGGTCAGAGTGTGAAAGAGGAGGGAGTTACTCGGCACTGACTCTCACTCTCCTCTAAGGACTCACCTTGCTGTGCTCCTTGCCTTTCCACATACATGGCATCTTCCCTGGAAGCTCCAGGGAGGGAACACCTAGACTGCTTCATCTGCCCCAAGCCCAGGGCCAGAAGCCTCAGCACCATCTTCGGAAGCCGGCGAATAGACCAGCTGATGGGCTTTGAGGAGCTGGATTGAGAAGGACTATAGCTTATCTAAAAAGACCATCTGTGGAGCCTCCTAAATTTTAAACATCAACGCAAAACCCAGCAGCCATTAAAAGATGAATCCACCACAGCAAAGTAGGTTCTGGGCAAGAAAGCTAAGAAGAATCACCATTGCAACACTGTCACAAAATGTCCCACTTTAATAATTACGGGGGAAAATATGGTGACTTCTCCCACAGATACCCAAAAGGCATTCGAAAAAATTACACATCCATTCCTGAAAATGAAACTCTTTTTTGCTTTTGTTTTCTTTTGAGACAGGGTCTGGCTCTGTCGCCAGGCTGGAGTGCAGTGGCATGATCACAGCTCACTGCAACCTCCACCTCCTGAGCCCAAGAGATCCTTCCCCCTCAGCCTCCTGAGGAGCTGGGACTACAGGTGCATGCCACTTTGCTTGGCTAAGTTTTAATTTTTTTTTTTTTTTTTTTTTGTAGGGACAAGGTTTCCCTATATTGCCCAGGCTGGTCTTGAGCTCCTGGGCTCAAGCAATCCTCCCACCTGGCCCACTCAAACTGCTGGGATTACAGTTGTAAGCCACTGCGCCTGACCTGAACACTCTCAATAAGTAGGAATAATGAATAATTCATCCTATTTTCAGTCAAAAGCCAGCATGGTGTTTAATGGTGAAACACTAGAAATTGTCCCGAATCTGTAAGAAACATGTCATGTCTCTGGGGCCAAGATGGTTTCCTCAAGCAGTGCCTGATCTGGGTCTCGTAGACTCCAGAAGAGCAACCTGCTGTCCCTGGTGGCCCATGCCCCCAGCACAGAGATGCTTCCCCACACTGGGAACAGTCACAGGCCTGGGGCCTTCAGGATGGAAAGTGCTGGGATTACAGGCATGAGCCCCTGCACCTGGCCTGAAAAAATCTTAATAAAGCAAGAATAATGAATAGTTCATCGCAAATCTGTTAGAAACATGTCATGTCTATCATTCCATTAATATTTACCATTGCTCTGTGACACCAGCAAATGTAATGAGGTAAGAGTAAGAAAGAGGAAATGAAAAGACAGAACCCCATTTGTTACAGATGAAATGATGGTATGCAGGGGAAGCCCAAGAGGATAAACTGAGCAACTGTTAAAAGCAAGATGAAGTCAGAAGGTGGATGGTGGCAAAGTTAATATGCAGAAGAAATAGCCTTCTTATGGACAAAGAGCTACCAGCCAGAACATGTAACGAAATAAAAGATCCCTAGACATTTCTCAAAAGAAGACATTTATGCAGCCAAAAAACACATGAAAAAATGCTCACCATCACTGGCCATCAGAGAAATGCAAATCAAAACCACAATGAGATATCATCTCACACCAGTTAGAATGGCAATCATTAAAAAGTCAGGAAACAACGGGTGCTGGAGAGGATGTGGAGAAATAGGAACACTTTTACACTGTTGGTGGGACTGTAAACTAGTTCAACCATTGTGGAAGTCAGTGTGACGATTCCTCAGGGATCTAGAACTAGAAATACCATTTGACCCAGCCATCCCATTACTGGGTATATATCCAAAGGACTATAAATCATGCTGCTATAAAGACACGTGCACATGTATGTTTATTGCGGCACTATTCACAATAGCAAAGACTTGGAACCAACCCAAATGTCCAACAATGATAGACTGGATTAAGAAAATGTGGCATATATACACCATGGAATACTATGCAGCCATAAAAAATGATGAGTTCATGTCCTTTGTAGGGACATGGATGAAATTGGAAATCATCATTCTCAGTAAACTATCGCAAGAACAAAAAACCAAACACCGCATATTCTCACTCATAGGTGGGAATTGAACAACGAGAACACAAGGACACAGGAAGGGGAACATCACACTCTGCGGACTGTTGTGGCGGGGGGGAGGGATAGCATTGGGAGATATACCTAACGCTAGATGACAAGTTAGTGGGTGCAGCGCACCAGCATGTCACATGTATACATATGTAACTAACCTGCACATTGTGCACATGTACCCTAAAACTTAAAGTATAATAATAAAAAATAATAAAATAAAATAAAATAAAAAAGATCCCATTTCCAACAGCCACAAGAAGATAAAATACCAAGGAATAACCCAACCTGAAAGTGAAGACCCAGCTGAAGAAAACATCAAAATGCTTCTGAGGAACGTGAACAGATGGAGAGGCATAACCTGTTCTCGGCTAGAGTGACTGTATTTCAGGGTGTAAATGCTCTCTATATTAATCCACAAAAACTTGATTTGATTTCAAGAAAATCCCAAAAGGATCTGGGAAGGGGAAGGAACAAGCAAAAAAGTACACAAGAATATCAAGAAAATTCTAAAAAAGAGCAGTGAGAAGGACCAAGTCCTACTAGTTATTAACATAAAATATAAAGCTCAGTAATTCAAACAGTGTGACTCTGGCATATAAATAGACCCTTTCCTGGAACAGAAAAGAGTCCAGAAATAGAC